>NC_000004.12:184981987-185285017 GCF_000001405.40 Homo sapiens | reverse complement strand
CTAAACTAACCTTCTTTCTTCCATAGTAAGGTTTCCTTACCTTTCCGTTTCTCTACTAGTACCATCATCCTTCTCAAAATCATCTTAGGTATATATACTACTAATAAACATCAGTTTCAAAGCCCCACGGATGGTCCTTTGAATGCCTCTAAATAAGCTTCTTGCTTACACTACCTTCAGCTACCATTGTTTCAGGCTGCCTTCTTTCCTGAGTAGGTCACTGCAATGGCTAAATGGCCTGTCTCCCTGACTTCAATCCTCTCTCCCATCCAAACCATCCTGAGCACCTGTCAACACACCCTCCTATGGGAACACTCACCTCATCTCTCCCTTGTTTACCTCCTGCACCTCCCCAAATGAATAACCCCACATTCCTGCCTACGTTCCCTTCACAACTTGGCACTGGCTCTACTATCCAACAACTTCGTTTTTTTTCTCCCTATGAATGTGAACCTAATTAAGCCAGGCTGGTTTCTATATTGCCCTCTCAAAACTACAGTCTCATGCTTTGTTTCCTGCTGGAAGGCAGTCTTCCTACTTGTCCACCTACCTAGATCTTACATATATTACTTCTTCCCTCAAGTCTTCCCCATCCCTATAATGCACACCAATATCTGTCTTCTCTGAAATCCTGAATGACTTCTGCTCTATAATAGTATCTATTTACTCTTTCATATTGCTGTTTTAAAGAGTCACACTTCCACAAAGAATGCTGTGAACAAAGAAAATGGTGTGCCCAGTCATTTCAAGGCCTAATACACCTTCAAAGAATGTTGACACATTTTCGAGCCTAAGAATGTAGACTGAAAACTACAAAACCATAGTTCTGTGTATAATAAAGATATGCTACTTTTTTCACCCCAACTAGATCAAGAGTCTCTTAAACACAGGAGTTCTGTCTTATATTCTCCTATAGTACCTAGCTTGGCACTAAACATATGGTAGGCACTCAATAGATATTAATGAGCTAAATTAACAAGAGTCAACATTTCTAACACTTAACAGGTAAAAATAATATTCTGAACAATTTATTCTTTTGATATTCTTTGTGATTCATGCTTTGGAACAAATGAGTCATCAAGGGTACCAAAGAAAATACACACCATCTGACTAAAGAGTTAAAGATTTTTTTAATGAAACCATAAAATTATAATGTAATACCAGCAAACATTCATAGATTGTACTGGGTACCTGTTTAGATATTTTAATTTACATTATCTCACTTAATCCTCATAATAAGGTGCCAGAATTATGTCCACATTACAGAGAAGGAAATTAGAATTCAGATGATTATGAGATCTATACAAGGTCTCATTGCTTTTAAGTCCTAGAGACAGAATGACAATCTAGGGCTGCCTGTCTTCTAAAGCTCATGCTCTAACCATTTTTCTGCTACTCTAAAATACAATATAGGTTAATACTTATCTTCTCTAGGGTTTTTCTAAGTACGTAAGTATGGCCAATGCCAGATCATCTTTCCAGCTTTACTGCCTTCTATATCCCTCCTGCATACTGTTTCTGCCAAACCAGACCATACGTGATACCATGAACACACTCCAGGTCTTTCCTGACTCCCTTCTCAGTAATATTTCTCCTTCTCCTTAACAGTACTCCTGTTTCTTCCTGCACACCATCACTTCCCCTTATCTGCTGAAATCCTGTTAACTCTTATTAAACACTCCATGCATGGCCATTCCTCTCTGAAGCTTTCTTAAGAGTTCTCTGCTATAGAATAAAATATTTGCTCCTACCCACTTCCTTGGTGCTTTACACTCCACTTCCAGCCTTAGGATCTTGCTTCCTACTTAGCTACTTATAGTCACATGGGTCTCCTGTGAGGAACTGCAAACACTTGACAGCAGGGGGTGGAATCCAAGGAGTGTAACCAGTTCATCTTAGTACTCACCAGACCTTCTGACACAGCACTTTGCACATAGTGGGCATCTGAAGATGATTACTGAATTTGTTTAATTCACTGTTACTGGATACCGAGAGGAAATGATTGACTTTCTCATTCTTGTTTTTTTCTCAACAAAACTATACAATATATACATCCAAACACATCCAAATGCTGGCTATCCATGAGGACACGGGGACACGGGCTTCCAGAGTTACCTGGCACTCACTCGGTTTTCTTTCTCCAGAGGAGGATACGACTTTGCAAGTGCTGAGTTCGGTTCAAGAATCAGGAGGGCTGATGTTTGTACGCTTTCCCTTGATCAAAAGTGCACAGATTGTTGGTATATGTTTTGCAAAATGATAATGTAAAGTCAAGTATTAGGGAGGAGGGGCATAACAAGAATTCAGCTGCTTTCCAACTCTGGCAAGATCCTACCTACAGTATCCTTTGTCCCAGTGACAAGGAAAAGCCACACAAAGATAACTGCCATCTGCTCCTCAGAGTGGCCACCTCATCTCTCTTTGGTATTTTACAAGTGGCTAAATAAAAAGAGCAAGTTTGTGTTTCTGAACACGTCCCAACAATCTCAAACTCACTGAAATGCTACGCAGCACTTCAAAGTCATCACCTTAGATAGTTACAGATTTGAGGCCAGGCAGGGTGGCTCATGCCTGTAATCCCAGCACTTTGGGAGGCTGAGGTGGGTAGATCACTTGAGGTCAGGAGTTCAAGACCAGCCTGGCCAACATGGTGAAACTCTGTCTTTACTAAAAATACTAAATAAATAAATAAGCTGGACATGGTGGCGGGTGCCTGCAATCCCAGCTACTCGGGAGGCTGAGGCAGGGGAATCGCTTGAACTCGGGAGGTGGAGGTTGCAGTGAGCTGAGATTCCGCCGTTGCACTCCAGCCTGTCCGGACATGCACATGCTGTAATTTCATGGCAGAGTCAAAGGCTGGCCAAACCTTAGTCTCAGGTATGCGATGTGATAAATGGTTTAAAACACTGTTTTATAAAAATTAGCAAGATTATGGAGAATACCATACACATTACGAGTGCTTATGAAAAACCAAAGAATTTTTATTTTTATTTATTTATTTTGAGATGGAGTCTCGCTCTGTTGCCCAGACTGGAGTGCAATGGTGCAATCTCGACTCACTGCAACTTCCACCTCCCAGGTTCAAGCGATTCTCATGTCTCAGCCTCTGGAATAGCTGGGATTACAGGTGCGCACGACCATACCCGGCTAATTTTTGTATTTTTCGTAGAGATGACGTTTCACCATGTTGTCCAGGCTGGTCTTGAACTCCTGACCTCAAGTGATCTGCCCGCCTCAGCCTCCCAAAGTGCTGGGATTTCAGGCATGAACCACCGCACCCAGCTTAAAGAATTTTATAAGAATGTTTTCAGAGTTGCCACAGGCTAGGAATGTTTTTGTTAGAGGGACTTCAGTTATAGAATTTGTGAAGAAATAAAGCCATGATGCTTTTAGCCAGCTAAGCTGAAGTTTTTTCCCATCCATGGCACTACTAAAAGGGACTGCTGGATAAATGAGAAAGTGTATCAGAGTAGTAAAGAATGTGAGCTCTCACAGTGGATGGCCTGTGTTCAAATCCTGTTTCTAACACACACTATGTCATCCTGGGAAAATGATTTAAGCTTTCTAAAACTAAAGCATCATCATTTATAGAAAAGAGTAATAAGAGTAATTTTTCTTTATAGGGTTGTTATACACATTAAATTAGATAATACCCTTAAAAATCTTAAAACACAGTCTGCCCCGCAGTGAGAGTTCAATAAATGTTCATTATTATTCTTCCTTAACACAGTTACTGAGTCTTTAGATATGTACTATCTAGGGAAATGGTACGTATACATGTTTGTTAAATATGTATAAATTTGAAGCAGCCTTATTTTTTCCTGATTACAGAGCATTTTAGCCCAATCAACCTGAGACCACCAAGATCACTCTAGTCCAACAAAATCAGGTCAACTGACCCACATAAAGAGCAAGAGACAGTGTAGCAGTGGAAGCTGTGGGGCGTCTCTCCAAACGAGGGAAAAGGTAACATTACTATGGGATTCTAGGGAACAGTGGAGTGAAGGTGAAATTTAAATGAAGCAGCATTTTGATAGGCCCAAGACAGGGCTGTGTAAAGCGGTCAATGTTGGGTGGATCCAGGGTCTCGTTTCCTGAAAGCTGCAAGATAGATATACTGAGTCCAGAAACCCCATAACTGCGGCTCTGCATCTGGGTCGTAAATCAAAGCTGCTTCTTTGTGTCAAGCTGACTTAGATCACCCAGGCAAAAGTAGAATCTGTCATTCTTACTGACATAATTCCAAACAGGAACTGGCAGTTGAAGATTTTTGAAAACAAAGTTTCTCAGTGAACACGAAAGCACAAAGAAGGGTATCATTATGACATTTTACTGCCATGGCAGGTACTTAGGAGAAATATTGTTTCCTGTTTACTTTGTAGGTGGCTTTAGTGTCTGTTATACCAGCCTGATAAATGGCTGGGCAGATTTTACTTTCTCAGTCTGCACCAGTTTTTACTTTCTCTAAAGTAGCATATGTTCATTGAAGAAAATGAGAAAATATACAAAGCACAACATTCAAAGTTAACCACTATTAACATTTGGACTATCTTTATAACCTTTTTCTATGCAAACATAATTTTTTTGTTTTATAAAACTGGGTTTATGCTATACATATTGCCTTAGAGTGTTTTTTATTAATTTATAATTAATATTTTCCAGCACAATTAAATATGCTAATGCTACACCATTACCAATATATGGTATTCCACTGTATAGATACACCAAAAATCTTTTTAACCAAACCCTTTTTGTTAGGCATTTTGGTTATTACAAGCTTTTCTCTACTTAAATAAAACTGCAGCATGGTGTGGTGGCTCACGTCTGTAATTCCAATACTTTGGGAGGCCAAGGTCGGTGGATAGTTTGAGACCAGCCTGGGCAACATAATGAGACCTCGTCTCTACAGAAAATACAAAAATTATCCTGGCGTGGTGGCATGCTCCTGTAGTCCCAGCTACTTGGGACTGGGCTGAGGCTGAGGTGGGAGGATTGACGGAGCATGGGAGGTCAAGGTTGCAGTGAGCTGTGATCGCGCCACTGCACTCCAGCCTGGGTGACAGAGTGAGACCCTGTCTTAAAAACACAAAACAAAGCACAGAAACAAGCAAACAAAAAAAACAACAAAACAACAACAACAAAAACTACAAGCAACATTCTTGGAGAAATCTGTCCATACATGATTATTTCCTTAAAAATAAATTATTATGAGTCATAAGTACATCAAAAAGAATGCCCATTTCCACACTACAAAATTGTGTCACAAAAAGGTAATAATTTATACTCCTCCCAACAGAACACAAGGTTCTATTTTCCTACACCCTTGCCAATGCTAGTTAACAAATTTTTAATCTTCACCAATATTATGAGCAAAGAAAAAATATCTCATTTTAGGGTTTATGTCTCTGAGTACTACTGAGGATAAGTACAAGGTTTTGCGCTATATTTTCATGAGGTATGTCCAATGGCATTAAGCAGGGAGTGTCAGGAGTAAAATAGTATTTTAAGTTAGGACTTAGAGTTATGAAAGGCTCTTTCCACTAAAGGGCTTTTAAAACTGTTTTCCCATCTTTTTAGTGTTGCAGAAGGCAGTTAATTCCACAGAAAGACTAAGGCATGCTTCCCAGTCTTTTTCTATTCATAGCACATGTAGAAAATTATATTTGAACAGAACACTGAGGTAACCAGCCATCACAAGGCCACCCCAAGGGTTGAGGAAACCATCTCCACGTACCTACAACACTATTTGAGTCACATCAGGTAGGAGGTTCTGGACCGGAGCAGCCCAGGGTGAGGTGTCCTGAACTTAGGAAATACACATGCACACCTGTCTCCCTCTCCCCATATAAAGTTATAAAAATAGACATATATAATATGTATATAATTATAAAAATATATATACAATTTGGAAATATATTAAGTATAAATGGTATTTATACATTTCTTAATCTTATCTATATTTTTATCTTCCTAAAATAAACAAAAATGTTACCATATATTCATTTCCTAGTTCCCAGAGCCTACAGAAATTACATGTTACAGAAACAATCAAATCTATGTCACTACTGGCTAGCTGGTGCCTTTTAGATAACCTCAAAAACGCCAAACATTTTTGCTGTGCTATCCATATCTATTTTCTACTACTGTTCCTCATAGTTTTATGTCAGCTGTTAGTATGACTATAATGTTTATTTATACTCATACGTATAGCACCATTCGTATATGTTTCATTCTCAATTCTTACATTAAGCTTTTTTATTCAGAATGTTTACTGAATATCACCTTTAGTTGACTAGTTTTATGTTCTATATTGAAAATGTCCTAATGGCTTTCTCCTACATTTTGAGTGAACTTTTTCTGAAATAAGACATTATCTTGTAGCTTCATCTCATCCATTAATCCTATTAAAGTCAGGATCTGAAAGTGTATTTACCTTCTCCCGGCAACTGCTATTTTTTAGCTCTCACTGAAAGACTACTATGATCCGAGAACTACATTCATTCATTCATTCATTCATTCCATGCGTCATTTCATTTAATTATCACAACAATCCTAGGAAGTAGGAAGTATTTTCTCCATTTCACAGTTAAAACTGAGGCTCGAAGTTTAAATGACTTTCCCAAGGTCATGCAGCTTCAAAAAGCAAAGCAAAAATGCAAACCAGGTCTGTTAAGTCCAGGTCTGTCTGACTCTTGAGCCCAAGCTCTTGGCCAGGGTCTACCTGAGGTGCTTGACTGATTGCCATAAGTTGACTTGCATTGTTAACCGTCCTCCACCTTTGGAAGAACTGCATTTCTCTACAGTACAGGGTCATTGAAAGACAGAACATGTGGCTACCGCTTAGTGATGTGCAGGAGCCAGCCCTGAGGCTTGTGCCACCTCATGAGACCTGGCTGCTAAATATTTAGAAATTAAACACATCATTACTAAAAATTAAATTATACAAACTTACAATTAAATAAATTTTATTTTTTAAAAGGTAATAAGGCCGGGCGCGGTGGCTCACGCCTGTAATCCCAGCACTTTGGGAGGCCGAGGCGGGCGGATCACGAGGTCAGGAGATCGAGACCATCCCGGCTAAAACGGTGAAACCCCGTCTCTACTAAAAATACAAAAAATTAGCCGGGCGTAGTGGCGGGCGCCTGTAGTCCCAGCTACTTGGGAGGCTGAGGCAGGAGAATGGCGTGAACCCGGGAGGCGGAGCTTGCAGTGAGCCGAGATCCCGCCACTGCACTCCAGCCTGGGCGACAGAGCGAGACTCCGTCTCAAAAAAAAAAAAAAAAAAAAAAAAAAAAAAGGTAATAAGTACTCAAAACTCATCATTTCCTAATAACTTTATTCATTAGTTTTATTATTACATATGCTTGTGAGGTTATTTACATCTTTTATGTCAGTATTTTGGAAATACTCTATATACTGTAATGGTGTGCTATTGCAAATCTCTCCCCAAGTCCACGTTCAGTGACGTCATGCTGGTGGCTTTAAATCGGCCATGGCGGGAGTATTAACACCACAGAGATCAGCAAATGCCACAGTCAGGGTTTCTCACCTTGCCCAAAAGCCAGTTGTTGAAAACGACCAGCACACATCTTCTACCACTCTTCTCCACCGTTCCTTCAACAGACCTTGGGAGTCACAAAATTCTTTTCAGTAGGGACTTAGCACCACTTTTTTTCTTTTTTAAAGGAGAAGATGGCCCAGGTTCAGTGGTTCATATCTGTAATCCCAGCACTTTGGGAGACCAAGGTGGGTGGGTTACAAGGTCAGGACTTCCAGACCAGCCTGGCCAACATGGTGAAACCCAGTTTCTACTGAAAATATAAAAATTAGCTAGATGTGGTAGCACACGCCTGTAATCCCAGCTACTCGGGAGGCTGAGGCACAAGAATCACTTGAACCCGAGAGGCAGAGGTTGCACTGAGCTGAGATTGTGCCACTGCACTCCAGCCTGGGTGACAGAGCGAGACTCCTTCTTGAAAAATAAAAATAAAAAAGGGGAAGAGCATTACCCACCCCCAACTCTTGATGCTTCATTCCATACATAAGAAGCCTCATCTCTGGCCCTTCTCAACCCTTCGCCTACTCCTCCTTAGGGCAAGAGGAGGCTTTTTATCTGATCACAGAAAGACAAATGAGCATGTGGAGAAGCACAGCCTTTCTTTTTTCCTTCCTCTTAAGGGTGTGTGTTCTCTGCCTCCAAGGGCAGCCAGCAGGTGGATCCTGGACCTGCCAGGGAGACAGGGCGGCGGGGAAAGCATGGTCAAGGAGGCTTATTCTGGTCCAGCATTGCTAGATGGGAAAGATGGTTTAATCCTGAGACTATTTATTTTACCTTTAAGTTTTTTTAAGAGACAAGGTCTCACTATGTTGCCCAGGCTGTTGCTCAAACTCCTGGGCTCAAGCCATCCTCCCGCCCCAGCCTCCCAAGTGTGCCATGACACCTGGCTCTGAGGTTGTTTTAGAAAGCATGCTGCTTGCTTGCACATATAGGCCACGTTCTCCATTATCTATTAGTAATGTAAGTGACATTTTGGTCTTGTTTGTTTTATTCTTTGGCTTTAAAACGGTTCCGACCTCGGGATGGGAGGAAGAGTGTTGTTATTTATTGGAGCTTCTCAAACCCCAAAAATAAATATTGCACTCCAGTTGACCACTAGAAATTGATCACTGTTCACAGTAAGATTAAATCTATTTGCTATCCTTGGTCTAATGATCATAACAACAACTACAGTGGTGGCTAATAGAGGGAAATGTGCCATATCTTGAGTTAAGTACTTTATATAAACTGACTCACCCTTACTCATTCATAAAGCAGATATGCATACCTCAGTGCAGTGTTGCTCCAACTACAAGAACATAATAAATTCAGAGATCATAAACTTCTTTATACCAACATTTCCCCTTCTTACATCAAATTTTATATTGCTGCCAATACATAATTATCCTTCTTGCTAAATGAAAATAATGTGTGTTCTCTGATATGTGCCCTCTGCTATTTCTCAGACACCAACTGAAGGAGGTATATTCTGAAGTCAATGAACTTTTCTCATAAAACTGAAAGATCTTTTAGAGTATTTTTCATAAACAGCCTCACATTTTGAGTTTTTTTGGAACTAAATTTATATTCATTCATTCTTTTCATAAAAATCTGCCAGGATTCTTTTTGTTTTATATATTATGATTTTTCATCTCCTTGTCCACCCACAACTAACCTTTTCCTTGGCAGTTTATATGTGCTCACTGATTGCTGACATGATGTATTAGTTTGTATGGAGGTACACTTGATTTCTTATTTCATGTTCCTTTACAACATAATCCTATTTTACTGCTCATGAGTCACAATGTATTTTCAGAATCACTGTTCAAAACACTGAACATTCAAATAATTTAAGTTCTTCAAAGAAGCATGCTATTTTAAGAATTTTCATGTTTTAATACATTATCTTCATGTGCAAGCAGACCTGAACTAATTCAAAGAAAAAAATCCATTCCTTTAATAGCTAAAGAGAAAATAAGCAAAATAGAAAGCTCCATCAGTAACCCACTTTATTGTTAATTGCAATCTTTTACATTAATTAATTAATTATGCCCCTTTCCTCTTGCTTTATCCTAGTAAAACAGAAACCACCACCTTAATCTCATGTATTATCTATGTATTAGATAAAAAATCTTCTTTTCTTCTCCAAGCTAAATAATCCTTAATCGTTTGAATTTTAAACCTTTCAGCCATTACTAAAATTCCCTCTCTACTATTTTCAGATTCTCCATGTTGATCTTCAAATGAGGGGTCAGAAATAAACAAATCCAGAACTGAAACATCGAATAAAGACTAGATCGGTGGTAAATAAAATTATGGCAGTAATAGGCTGCTCTGATTTTCTTTATCACTACCTGCCTCTCTGGCAGTCTATCACTGTCCTAATAATAGCTGTCAACACTTCTGATGTTATTATTTGTCCTCTGTGCAAAGGTTTAGTGCCAGCCGAGACTCACAAACAGTAAAGGGTTATCTCCACACTTGAAGAAAACCCCCAAAAGTTAGAGCCCTGTGTCACTGCTGTTTTCTGCCCACCTGGCTAGCAAGTCACCCAGCCTTAAATATGGGATTTGAAGTCAGGCCGACCTCAGTTCAAATCCCAGCTCTGTTGTTTATTATCTATGGGATCCTGGGCAAGTCAGTTTACTTTCTACAACCCTAAGAAGGGAAAAAATACTACCTAATTCATATGCTTGTTATAATGATCAAGAAAGATGATAATTATTAAGAATCCAACACTGTGCTTAATACATAATAGATATTCAGCACATGGTAGCTTAGAAAACAAAGTTTTCTCCTCTTGAGTATTTGCTTGGCATCTCTTTAACTTTGGCAAAGAGTTCGAGTCCAGGAAAGCTGCATGTTTCTCATGCTTGTGTGGGAAGTAGAGCTATTCTGCCTCACTAAACTATCCATGTGCTATGGCAGCAAAAATGGCTGCTTGCATATCCCATATCCATTCTTCCTGCTTTCTAAGTAATAGAATCCTCTATTTTTTAACTAGGTCTAAGGCTGCCCAGAATAAAATTACCCATCATATCTCAAATGTTCTGACCAATAAAATAAAAGCAGAAATACCATGCAGTAGTTTCCAGAAAGGTCCTTAAAAGACAGCCAGTGTTGGCTGGGCATGGTGGCTCACGCCTGTAATCCCAGCACTTTGGGAGGCAGAAGCGGGTGGATCATGAGGTCAGGAGTTCGAGACCAGCCTGGCCAATATGGTGAAATCCTGTCTCTACTAAAGATACAAAAATTAGCCAGGCGTGGTGGGGCGCACCTGTAGTCCCAGCTACTCAGGAGGCTGAGGCAGAAGAATCGTTTGAACCCGGGAGGTGGAGGTTGCAGTGAGCTGAGATTGCGCCACTGCATCCCTGCCTGGGTGACAGAGTGAGACTCCATCTCAAAAAAAAAAAAAAAGCCCGTGTATAACCTTGTCATCTTTTTTCCTTGCCTTCAACCTGCTTGCTGGAATTAGGATATGATGGGTGAAATTCTAGAATCCACCCTGGACCATGAAGACTCTGGACTATACTCTCAGGATGGCAGAGCAGTGAGCTGGAAGGAGTCTGGCTCCTTGAGAAGGATGGAGCCCCCACACCACAAGTCCCGGACTGCCTGCTTTACTATTCAGCCTTAACAAAGAAGGAAATCCTGCCATTGGCAACAATGTGGATGAACCTGGAGGACACTGTGCTAAATAAAATAAGCCAAACACTGCATCATCTCACGTACATGTGGAATCTAAAACAGCCCAACTCCTAAAAGCAGAGAGTAGAATGGTGGTTACCAGGGGCTGAAGGTGGGAGGGAGATTGGAAGATGCTGGTTAAAGCGTACAAAGGTGAGTAACTTCTGGAGAGCTAACACACAGCATGGTGACTACAGCTGGTAATACTGGGTATGATACACTCGAAATTTGCTAAGAGTTGATCCTAGGTGTTCTCACCACACACAAAAAATGGTAACTATGTAAGGTAATTGATATGTTAATTAGCTTGCTTGTGGTAATCACTCCACAATGTGTACATACATCAAATATCAGCCAGGCATGGTGGCTGACCCCTGGAATCCCAGCACTTTGGGAGGCTGAGGCAGGAGGGAGGATCCCTTGAGCCCAGAAGGTCAAGGCTGCAGTGAGCTGTGATTGCACCACTGCGCTCCAGCCTGGGTGACAGAGTGAGACCCTGTCTCTAAATAAATAAATGACACTGTACACCTTAAATATACAGAATTTTTATTGGTCACGTGTATCTCAATCAATCTGGGGAAAAAACTGCTATACTTTGGATGCCATCATTATTTGGGAGGTTTTTGGTAACCTTCAGCTGAACTGGATCCTAACTAATTTAAGTACCTCCAATCTATTCATGGGTTTAAGCCAGTGGCTCTCAACCAGGTGCAGCTTTTCCCCCTAAGACACTTGGCAATGTCCGGAAGCATTTTGTTTGTCGCAACTGTAAGGGTACAGCAGAATACCACTGGCATTCAGTGGGTAGGGGCAAGGCATACTGCTAAAAATTCTACAGTAAACAGAACAACCTCCCACAATAAAGAATTATCTAGCCCCAAGTGTCAATTTTACCAAGGTTGAGAAACCTTAGGTTAAAAATGTCTCTCAGGAAGGTCAGTGAGAAAACACCCTTTGTTCATTGCAATAAACGTGGTAAAAGAATGAGGTATCCCGATCAGTCAATATTCTCCTCAACAGAGTTTCCATATATCTCAAATAGTACAACCAGTTTTCAAATAATTAGGGTGCAATGAATTATACAACAGGATGTCTAGTCAAGACTTCAGATGGGAAGCAGGTGGAAGAATACTCCATTTACAAGAGAATCTCAATATTAGTTGCACGTTACGATCACCAGGGGAGCTTTTTAAAAATCCTGATGCCCGGATTCCCCTCCAGACCAATTACATAAAAATTCCTAGGGGTGAAGCCGAGGCACCTATTTGTGGAAGAACAAACCATTTTCATTAGCACACAGTTTACAAATGCACTGCAGGATTACACAATGCAGGCAGCAATGGATGTTTTCCTGGGCCACAAGCTGTCCGCGCATTTATAAGAGGTTCTGAAAGGGCAAACCTTTCATTTCTACTGTAATGTTTGCTTTGACCCCACTTTATCTTGAAAACAAGGGAACACTCAGTCTATTCTCTAGTTTAATGGCAATTGTGAGTTTCACTAACAGATGCACCTTCATTCTGAGCTCTGGTTTGCCTTCCTTGATTGTGGCATCCCTCACCACCTACACCAACTGTGGGAAACCCATCCAGCTGCCCTTTAATATCCGGAACCAAGGTGGCATTCACATTTTTGGCTCTTGTGCTATTAGCAGAGTCAGTCACTGCTCCTACCAGAAAACCATGGAAAATTCAAAATATCACACCAGTATAGCCACCACATCTTCACTTCAACATCCTGCATCCAGAAAAGAAGACAAAGGAAAAGCTACAAAAGCTAGTGGAATATACAACTTACTTTTTTAAAAGGTCTCAGTGGTTCTGACATACAGCCTAGGTTAAAACCACTAATTTAGTATATTTGAAGGATGCATTTCTAGTTCTACTGTGAAAGCACTTCATGCTGATTCAGAAAATAACCAAACTATTCCAGAACTACAAATATCACCTTCAAGGTTTTTTGTGTTTGTTTTTAGCGCATTCCGCCCTAACAGAGTTGAATGACTTCATTTCCTTTAGAAAATACGCATCTCTCAAATATGTAAAAAATAAAAGTGGATAGGTACATCAACTGCTTAGTCTAAATAAAACACATTACCTGCCTCAGGCAGCCTATCCCAAAATTGTATTGAGAGCAATTTGAAGATAGTAATGTAAAACACCAATAAAGTCAGATAGCAGAGTACTATAATTGTACCAGAAAAACAACAGAATAGCTCAGTCTATGAATTAAGAAAACAGTTCCAGGCCGGGCACGGTGGCTCACACCTGTAATTCCAGCACTTTGAGAGACCGAGGCGAGTGGATCACTTGAGGCCAGGAGTTCAAGACCAGCCTGGCCAACATGGCAAAAATTAGGCGTGCTGGCGTGTGCCTGTAGTCCCAGCTACTTGGGAGACTGAGGTGGGAGGATCGCTTAAACCCGGAGGCAGAGGTTGCAGTGAGCTGAGATTGCTTATAAAAGGATGCAACCTAATTAAGTCTGAGAATGTATCCCTTTTGCCTCTAATAGACTAGTCACCTGTCAAGCTCGATTATCTAATCCAAATACCTCCAAGTGCCCTTCCCACTGACTCTGCAAACTCTGCTGGAAACACAAAGCCTAGTAGTAAGAAGGAAGACAGAGGAATATACAACATACAGAACAGGAATAGTGCACAAAAGGAATGCACCTTCCTGGTGCCTGTGTCCCATCACTCCTTGGCAGCGGTGGGTACGCTGTGGCAGGAGGCCATACTAGGAAGAGGTTAGGAACTGCAACATTTTATTTTACTCTCACTTGTAAACAGTCACTGACAACGTCACTGAAGATGCTCAACGGTCACTCAAAAGGCATCCTTTAAATGGCAGACAATCCAACTTGCCCATGGACCGGTGAAAGGATAAAATGTGCTATATTCATACCATGGAATATTATTCAGCCAAAAAAAGGAATGGGGCACTGATACATTATACAATGCAAATGAACCTTGGAAACATAATGAGTGAAAGCAACCAGACACAAAAGGCCACATACTACATGATTCCATTTACATGAAATGTCCAGACTAGGCAAATCCATAGAGACAGAAAGCAGACTGGCGGTTGCCAAGGGCTGGAGGGAGGGAAGGAATGGGGAGTGACTGCTAGTGGGCACAGGGTTTCTTTTTGGGGTGATGAAAATATTCTGAAATTACATAGTAGTGACAATCAGAGTCTCTGAATACACTAAAACCACGGAATTGTACACTTAAAGGTGGTGAATTCTATGGTACGTGAATTATATCTCATTTTCAAAAGGTATTCTTCAGTTTAGCACTTCTACTGCCTCTTAAGTCCCTCAGTGCTCAAGACCAAAGGGCCTGCTTCCCAGGGCACCCAGGTGCTATCCCTTTAATCTTGCCCTATTTATGACGTCAAGAGGAAGCGATCTTTGAGAAAGATTAAGGGCTCACACTATTTTTGTTTCATCACATAGTAGCAGGGAAAGGAAAAACATAAAATCAGAACTTCAGTGTAATCTTTGGTCAATCAAGTTAAGGCAATCCATGATGTGCCTACTGCAATAAAAGTAAGCTGTTCAATCATCCTGGGGCAGTGTACACCATAGTTTTATTGTTTTTTATTGTAGAGACGGGGTTTCGCCATGTTCCCCGGGCTGGTCTTGAACTGCCAGGCTCAAGCAATCTGCCCTCCTCAGCCTCCAAAAGTGCTGGGATTTTTTTTTTTTTTTTTTGAGCTACTTCTTTGTCTACCAGATGATGAACTGTATATAGTATTTAAATAGTTCTGAATCTTTGGCTGGTACATTTTGAAGAAGATAAACCATTAATTCTTATCAAGATTCATTCATCTTACAATACAGGAACTGTGTTAAGATACAAAATAACAGATGGTGCTAGAGAACCAGTGGTAGATCATTCAAAATAACTAGTTCTGATTTTTAAAAAATCAGGAGCTCGCCTGTAGTCCCAGCTACTTGGAAGGCTGAGGGAGAGGACTGTTTGAGCCTTAGAGTTTGTTTCCAGTGTGGGCAACACCACAGGACCTTGTCTCTTAAAAAACAACAACAACAACAAAACAACAACAAAACTCTGATGCCTTTCTGTTTCCTCCATTAACTATTAAATACATCCCTATGTGCAGTGCTGGAATCTTCAGTTTGGCACACAAAATAGAACACTCATCCACAAGTCTGTAAGAACAAGGAATACTGATTCTCTTAATCTGCCACTATTGACTCTAGATTGTTATCTTAAACTCACTTGGGGTTACCAAATAGTCCACACCTGCCTTTACTGTGGAACGACTATTTGGTCAAAGAAAAATGCTCAGGAATTCAATGAAGCCACAAATTATCAACATGAGTTATCTGTTCATAAACAATGACTTAGGAAGAATTTATAACGTTGTGGGGCATAGTCATCATGTCACCTTGTCACACCATGCACAGCAAATCCAGGAACAGCAGGCACGAAAACACCAGGTAGATGAGTATTCGAGTATAGGTTTGAATAGCATCCCTACAACTAGAGTTTGGGGTGTGTGTGTGTACGTACAGTTTTAGGGAGAGGAGAGGCAACAAGGGTGTTCTACCACTGAGCTCTTTCACTTTTATAGAATGATGCTTTAAAAGGAATCGAAGGACACTATGATAAGGATGACTTGAGTGGATGTAACCTGTGAGCCTCACATAACAAACCTGGAATACTGGCTCTTGGGTTCTAGCTCAAGCATCACACTTACGAAAAAGAAATGTCTAGACTCAGACAGAAATAAAAACAAATCTATAAAGAATATCATGTAGTCTATTCAAAATTATGCATGGCAAGAGAAACATTAAATCTCCAGATATTACATCAGATATATATTATACCCAAAATTAAATTCCTTGTAAACAAATCCATTTACATTGAACTCATCATTATATATTTGAGTATATATTTGTAAATTGAACCCGTCATTATGTATTTGAGGTATGTATTTGTAAATTGAAGCTGTCATTATGTATTTGTGACACCTAGATTAACACATGACACCATGTATAAGAACACAGTGCCATCTACGTCTATGCCTCCTTAGATGGTGCTTTATTCGAATCAGAAAATTAAACAGCATGAGTCATCTTAATGTTAACCCTAGTTCAAAAGCAAATGTCACAAGTTTAAAAACCTCGACTAATTCAAACACCCAATTTCAACCAATATTTTACTTTTCCATCAGGGTTTTACCAAAATTATTAATGAAAAGCAAAATGAACATATAAGAGTTTTCTTTCTTTCCCCTATATTATCATTTGGGAACATTAAAAAGAAGGGTAGAGAAACAGAAGCCTAGAAAATTTACAAACTAGATAATACTATATAATCATACTAAATGTGTATATACTATTAAAAATACACAAAAATACACACCCCCTAAAATATCTCAGGTATAACAAGGGACACTGTGCTCCCCTATAAAAGATACTCCTATGGTATTTTCAAATGTGTTTTCTCAAAATAATTAATCTAGAACCTCTTATTCCCAAACCCAAGCCTCTGTACTGTCCAAGACAAACAAAAACCAACACAATGTTCTACTCTGTAATTTGAAACACATCTTCTCCTTCTGATGTCCTTCCAGTGCTTTTCTAAGGTAGTCATCTGAGCAGCTAAGCAGGTACTCCCGACATCTGAAGAGCTTTCAGTCTATTATAGCCTCATTACAGCTGACTCTTGAAAAACATAGGTTTGAACTGCATGAGTCCACTTACACAGGATTTTGTTCTGCCTCTGCCACCTGAGACAGTAAGACAAACCCCTCCTCATTCTCTTCCTCCTCAGCATACTTCCATGTGAAGAGATGAGGATGAAGACCTTTATGATGATCTACTTCCACTTACTGCATAGTAAATATATTTTCTCTTTCTGGTTTTCATAATATTTTCTTTTCTCCAGCTTACTTTATTGTAAGAATACAGTATATAACACATATAACACACAAGATACGTGCTAATCAACTGTTTATGTTATTAGTAAGGCTTTGGTCAACAGTAAGGTATTTAGTAGTTAAGTATTTGGAGAGTCAATTTTTTTTTTTTTTTTAGAAGGAGTCTCACTCTGTCACCCAGGCTGGAGTGCAGTGGTGTGATCTCAGCTCACTGCAACCTCCACCTCCCAGGTTCAAGTGATTCTCATACCTCAGCCTCCTGAGTAGCTGGGACTACAGGCATGTGCCACCACACCCAGCTGATTTTTGTATTTTTAGTAGAGATGCGGTTTCACCATGTTGGCCGCGCTGGTCTTGAACTCCTGACCTCAAGTGATCCGCCCACCTCAGCCTCCCAAAGTGCTGGGATTACAGCACTTTTGAGCCACTGTGCTTGGCCCAAGTCAAATGTTATATGTGATTTTTGACTGGGGGTGGGGGCGGTGGGGAGCGTGGGTGCCCCAAATTGTTCGAGTCAACTGTATTTGAAAAACCTAATACTTTAAAAAAATTCATTCTAATTACACTGCTAAGGAGACGCTGGATAAATTTAGCTGTCACTAAATAGTAAGATTTATAGACTTGTTTTATTTCTGCTTCCCTGACAACTACTTTTTTTTTTTTTTAACCTAACTAGGCAGGGGATGATAATCAGTAGCTGTTGCTGTGCTATAATTGAAGACCAAATACCTTAGTTGCTTCAAGAACTCCACATCAGAGTTGCTGTTAATGAGCTTGATGAAGTCCTCGTAAGAGGGGGCATAGGTGTAGGCTCTCTTGTGATGCTCATTCATTTGCTCTCTGTACGCCAGCTGGGCAAGCAGCATTTGGTTAATGTAATCTGGATTACTCAGTAACTCCACTACCGGCTTCAAGACTACAGGAAGAAGAAGAAATAGCCACTGAGAAAGGTATTCTTCTTTAAGGGAACTGTTTATGTATCACATAACTGAGACTACATTTGGGAAACATTTTTCAAGTAGTCAAACAGGGGAATATCTATATAATACAATAAACAATTCAAAAATGTACACACATGCACACATACAGCTGCCTATCCCTCCAAATATGTTATCATCCATGGCTATAATCAAGTTGTCATTTTAATAAATAAGTGAAATGTAAAAGAATCATGAAGGGAAGTCATTTGGAACTCAAGTTGCTAACAAATCTATCAAAATTAAGGCCGGGCGTGGTGGCTCACACCTGTAATCCCAGCACTTTGGGAGGCTGAGACAGGTGGATCACTTGAGGTCAGGAGTTTGAGACCAGCCTGGCTAACATGGTGAAACCCCAATCTCTACCAAAAACACAAAAATTAGCCATGCATGGTGGCACATGTCTGTAATCCTAGCTACTCGGGAGACTGAGGCAGGAGAATTGCTTGAACCCGGGAGGCAGAGGTTGCAGTGAGCCGAGATCTCGCCACTGCACTCCAGCCTTGGCGACAGAGTGAGACTCCATCTCAAAAAACAAAAAACCACAAAATTACAACAACCAAAAAAACACTGATTTTTTTCTTTTACTTATTTTATAAGGCTCAATACGTTTTGACAAGCTTAGTCTGCCAAAGGATGAAAGTCAACATTCTCCCCAACTGGTTAAAACAGACCTCAGAGAGGAAGTTAAAAAGTCAATGACACTATTACAAAGCCATCCTTGTAACTTGAGATTAGAAACTTCCTCTCTTCTCTGTGGTTGGTTATAATAGCTGATGGGCACAGCTGGCTTATCCTGAGATAGTAAATGAGATAATCACTGCATCTCAAATGCAATGCTATTTGTCTGAGACTGAGATAGGGAAAGTTTCTCTTATCCTGACTAAGCATTTCCCTGGATATAGTTAACTTTTTTCTAGTAATCACATTATATTGTGGTACAGTTCCTTTTTACATATTCCAAGTTCACAAAATTATGTACAGTCATGCGCCACATAATGACATTTTGGTCAACAACAGACTGACTATATGACAGTGGCCCCCATAAGATTATAATGAAGCTGAAAATTTTCTACCATTTAATGAGGTCAAGCTAGTGTAAAGAAACCTATTGCACTGTCAATAGTATAAAAATACAGCACATACAATTATGTACAGTGCATACTTGATAATGATGATAAATGTTATTACAAAAGAGTCAAAAAGTTTAAAAAAATTAAAAGTTCATAAAGTAAAAAAAGTTATAGTAAGCTAAGGTTAATTTATTGAAGAAAATAAAATTTTAAATAAATGTAGTGTAGCCTAAGCGTACACTGTTTATGAAGTCTGCAGTGGTGCACAGTCATGTCCTAGGCCTTCACAGTCACTCCCCACTCACTCAGAGCAACATCCAGTCCTGCAAGCTCCATTCATGGTAAGTGTCCTATATAGGTGTACTGTTGTTTATCTTTTATACCATATTTTTACTGTACCTTTTCTATACTTAGATACACAAATATCATTGTGTTACTATTGCCTACAGTATTCAGTACAGTAATATGGTATAAGGTTTATAGTCTAGGAGCAATAGGTTACACCATATTGCCCACATGTGTAGTGGGCTATCCCATGTAGGTGTGTAAGTACACTCTATGATATTTGCACAATGACATTGTCTAATGACACATTTCTTCGGACACATCCCTGTTGTTAAGCAATGCATTACTGTATACGCATTATCAACAAATCATATAGCAAAGATATTTTAAGTAAATATGCTAATCAGAATTTGACTGTGGTCAGGGATGGTTGCTCACACCTGTAATCTCAGCACTTTGGGAGGCCTAAGTGGGAGGATCACTTGAACCCAGGAGTTCAAGACTTGCCTGGGCAACATAGTAAGACCCCCATCTCTATTTAAAGAAAAAAAAAAGAATTTGAACACACACACACACGTAATATATAAACATACATACTATGGATATTATATAGATATTATACACACATACACATACTTTCATTAATGTATATATTATTGGCCTAGATAACTCAAAAGCTATCCCAAATGAATGCTTCCCTGTGAAGAGCATAAAAACTTGTTTTCTATGTCAAAACATGCAACTTAATGGACTGTGCATTTGGCGATATGTCATATTAAAAATTTAAGTTTATCCTGAATGGCCAAATAGTTTTAGAGACATATAAACAAGATTTTGAAAATACTTCAAATCCCATATGTTCAACAGTAAACAAGGTCTGCATGTAGCACATTAGTTTGCACACTTATTGAATTAGTGAAATCAACTGTATAAGTCTACCTTTTGTTGTGAGAATTTCTGCAAGCATTATACGTAAGCTGAGAGACTGCACATCCTTTGAGGGGAGGAGACAAAACACCAGAACCCGAGAACACGTTTGTAGAAATCTTACTTCATCATCTGAGTTCCTCAAGCATGCGTGCAACACAAAAGGTCTTGGCTGTTCTTCATGTCTAAATAAAGAGAGTGAAAAAGAAGGAAAGAAGTTTCTAGAAACAATTCAATTATGTACTATTAGGTAAAAAATATTTCAAATGAGAAACACATTGGTTATAGTAACTGCCATCTCCTAAATAATCAAATTTCCTCAACCATCAACTCATCTGGAAAACTTTTGCTAGAATAAATGCAAATGCATGGCCTTTTTTGGATTTCAAATGAAATCATAACAACGAACTTCAGTAGCATCAAAGGGTCTATATAACTCCAAAATCACAGCAACAATCTAAAAAGGTACGAGTATTTATTTAGTAATTTTTAAGTCTTCTAGATGTTTTCTTAAATATGACCTGCAGCTTCATTTTTCAAAAAAACCTAACAAAGCATAAACCAGGGTTGCCAGCCTGCTTTCTGACTGGGAGATAATAGGATAAAAAGTCTACAGGTATTTCTAGTGAGCTAGAGGGTCTATAAACTCGACGTTATCTAATTTGATGGCAAATTGCCTTCTGTGAGGCTCCAAAGTATTTTTCAACCAGTCTTGACAACCTTGGTTGTGCACTTCCCTGTACTGACTCCATCCCAGGAACATTAATTTGGAGGATCTGAGTGAAGAGGACTGGAAAACAGAACTTTCTATACTTCCCTTCCCATAGTATCTTGATAGTGATTCAAGAAAGCCTGGGATGCTGCGTTTTCTAATATGTTCTAGATGAGGAGGCAAAGTATAAGAGATTTTTACAGTAACTAGTAGCTAACAATGAGAAAAAACATGAAGCAGAGGGAGAGAAACATACTAGGTACTGCACAGGAAATGAAACTAGTGCATATTAGTACCTTTAGGACCCATGCCTCTCAGGTGTTAACTGAAATTTATTTTGCACTGGAGACTGAAACTAGTTTCTAGAGTGTATAACGCTAGAAAAGAAAGGTTTCCTCTGTCTTGTACAACCTGAAGGAATTCTATCCTAATGTGTAAAGCCAGCAACATGAAAGGAAATTTTTAGAATAAGCCTTTATGCATATACTGATACGCTGACTTTTTAAAAATGGCATCTTCAATTATTTTAAACTCTAGCTTTGCTGCCAGCTAGGTTGATATTTCAATATAGTAAGATTAAGATGCTACTCCTTTATCATGTCAAGCACTTTTAAAGGTAATTCTTTTTTTAAATATATATTTAGCTAATAAGCACTGGAGGAAGTTGGAAAAAAAAACCACTTTTACAAGAGAAGCTTATTTAAACAATATCAAAATCTCTCTCAAACGGTACACAGTCCCTTCTCCGTTAACAGTGGAAGGCAGATAATAAAGGAGCCTGGTACTCAGACTGCCACAAGTTCCTCTCCCTCCTACAGCTAAGTTAGGGAAAATACTTCTGACTGAGCCAAAGGCCAGAGGGCTGGCCAAAGCAGCTTGATCTATGGAAGAAGGAATGGCAGATCTCTCCCTGGAATCCTTCCACTAACTCCAAGCAGGATATTCCTATGATGTCCTCTAGAAAGTGGACATCAAGTATTGCTTTAAAGCCAAGAAAGCACCACGAGGGGTGGGGCTGCTTCTGTGGCAGGAGGCATCTACTAGCCTTCTGGTGGGTTGTAGCATCAGTCTTTGCAGCATCCTTACTGTGTTCCGTGTGGATCAATCATTTGTTTGCTGTGATTCCTACTACGTACCTCTGGGTTCTCATTCCTTGAGTGAGCAAAAGGACATTAATCTTTTATTTAAAAAGTTTCAAATGTACAATGACTTAATCCTCCCACCTACACCAAAAAGTAGACATCATCACGTGTATTCTATAGATGAGAAAATTAAGATCTGAATGATTATGTGAACTGTCAAAGTCACAGAGGTAATAAAAGGTAGAAGTAACTCTCTCAAGTCCTGTTCTGTTTCAATCTCAAGTCCCAACTCTTTAAATTACACCACAATCAGAAATTACAAAGATGAAAAAGAACATTTCAGAGACAAAGAAGGAAAACACACGAATAAAAACATTCTTTTTTTCCCTCAAACTGTATGCCAGTACTCGACCAGCAAAGAAAACTATGAAATTAAAGATGCTATTGAAATAATAGTATAAAAGCAATCATTTTTAGATTTTCCCAAAACATGCTGGAGCGAGACAGATGGGACAAAGGAAGAGGAAGCAGAGGCAAGAATTAAATGTGATCTGGATTGGCTTAAAGCAGCAATAGAATGATGGCCTAGAAATAAACACAGGCTGACCGGAAAGCTGCCTCCACAAACAATTGCCCAACAGTCAACTAAAGGACGTGTTGTTTTATTAAGGCAATTTATTATTCTTTGTCTGATAGTGGCCAATTCAACTGGGTGCTACCCAGGCTACCAAAGTCATTCTGCAGCCACTAGAGATCTGCACACTACTGGAGATTTCTAGGACAAAGCACTGTTTACCTGGGGCAGGCAGATACAGATATTTGCCATTAAACCTGGACTCACTGTCTGCCGGTCTCATTGTATGGTTTGTATAAGATGCTACACAGACAATATTAGACAATATTAGTTCTCCAGGACACAATCATCTATATGAAAAATGCCAGTGACCTACTGGTACTTTTTCAAATATCCATAATCCAGGAGAAATGTGGCAGGATTTTTTTTCTTTATTTTGTTCTTTATTTTTTATCATCAACTACAGGTTCTAGGCATAGCCCAGATGCCAGTAAAATAAATCTACCCTTGGCATAAGAAAATTAGAAGCCCAAAGAGAAGGAGCTTCTAATATTAAATCACTTTCTGTTTCTATTATTCTGATGCTTTATCCATATCTTTATATTATCCACAAAAGCAGTAATTTCAAAAGCTAGTAAATGTCTGGATGAAAAATATATTCTCATGTTGAAATTAGATAATCATAAAACCACTGAATTTTTCTAACCACTTGCTCTTCTCCCAAATCTAAACCCATCAGTTTTCTAACTGGAATAAACATTGATTTAAAATACTGTCCTCAAGCCGGGCACAGTGGCTCACTGTAATCCCAGCACCTTGGCAGGCTGAGGCAGGTGGATCACTTGAGGTCAGGAGTTCGAGACCAGCCTGGCCAACATGGTGAAACCCCATCTCTACTAAAAATACAAAATGTAGCTGGGTGTGGTGGCACATGCCTATAATCCCAGCTACTCAGGGGGCTAAGGCACAAGAATTCTTGAACCAGAGAAGCGGAGGTTGCAGTGAGCCAAGATCGCACCACTGCACTCCAGCCTGGGTAAAGAGTGAGGCTGTCTGAAAAAATAAAAATAAAAATAAAAAATTATATATACATACATACACACACACACACACACACACACACACACACACACACACACAGAGACAGACAGACAGACAGACAGAATACTGTCCTCTTACTGGACCATCATTTACATACTTTCAAATGAGCTTTCCCTGAATTCAAACAAGTCTTTCACAGTATTTGTCAGGTGGAACTATGGAACACTTGAAATAACGGATAGCACAGCAAATTAGCAGGTGCTTGCAGAGGTTGGTGAACACTTCGAAAGGAGAGGCTGAAGTTTTTGAGATTCTAGGAGGTAACTCAGGAGCCCTATTTCTCTCATTTTCCTTATTAATTCACACCCCTCCCTGCTTACTGGAAGTTACTTTCTCTATAGGCAGCAGTT
Source organism: Homo sapiens (assembly GCF_000001405.40). Lineage (NCBI taxonomy): Eukaryota > Metazoa > Chordata > Mammalia > Primates > Hominidae > Homo > Homo sapiens. The sequence continues at coordinate 185,260,803 of NC_000004.12, read as the reverse complement.
TTCAAAGGGTGGTCCAGAGACTCCTGGGTGTCCCCAAGATCCTTGTAGGGCATCTGGGATGTTAAAACTATAGTAAAATAAAAAGGTCATTTGTCTCATTCTTCCAAGCATAGTAGTTTCCTCAAGCTACATGATGTGAAATGGCATCATCACTCCCGTGGCTAAGGAAAAGTGTCCTGTGTACTCTTGCACTTTTAAAAATTCTTAGTTTTTAAATATCAAATATGGTAAATACCAATAGATACGATGAGTAGTGAACTGGCAAATGTTGGCTCTCCTGAGGAAAAAAAAGCTCTGATTTCGATCATTTGCCCATTCCATGGTGTAAACACTCTCACCATGGCCCATTTCAAGCTCCAATCTGGTATAACTGAACTAATGGTTGGGAAGACCTGTGCACAGTTCACTCCTGCATGCCAGTACAAGCCAGCTCCAGCTCGCCACTAGATAGAACCCATAGAAATGAGCTCTTTGAAATTCTCAGAAACTTTTAAGAATGTAGAGAAATCCTGGGAACAAAAAGTCGGAGAACCACTGCTTTACCATAATGTTTTCAAACCATTGTTTTACTTTCTTTTAAGTAAGAAAATAAAACCAATGTTTTACTTTCTTTTAAGTAAGAAAATAAAATTGAGTTGGTCTTAAACATTATTTTTAAAAAAACGTTAAAAAAAGTGTCAAAGTTATCAGAGGTAACAAAAGTACTGTTTCATGAAACTGGGTCATAATATCAAGTGAATTTCTCACAGCGGGCCATAGTTTTTAAAAAAGTTCGCAAAACACTGGGGCAGCAAGCTGGAAAACCGTGGGCATGTCACGGCTCTGTGGATTTTGGCCTCGTAAACCTGAGGGAGGGAAGAAGAGTCCCAGGAAGGGGCAATACAGCTGGGAATGGAGACCTGCTGTGCAGCCGCATTCAGCAGCAAGGTCCCCTACACGAACAGCATCACAGGGCAGAAGGGGGACACCATCTAAATACTTTATCTCTTCCCTGAGAGTGAGAATAGGCCACATTAACTGTTCCCATTCCTGTTCCAACCGTGTCCATATCCACACAGGCAGAAGGCTACTCATTGCAGTTAGACAGCTTTTTATGTAAATTGTTATGTACATAACAATACGAAGGGCTAACAAGCCTAAATATTAGCTACTTTCATAATGAAATTTCTCTAGTCAAAGCCCACAAGCTCCAATATGTACAACTGTCACGTATGTAACAATACAAAGGCCTAACAAGCCTAAATACTAGCTACTTTCATAATGAAATTTCTCTAGTTAAAGCCCAGAAGCTCCAATATTGAGTACCTTTGAAAATCAGTTTTCAGGATATTGTGATGCAACAGAGCTCAACATAGGACTCACAAAAAGAAACATGAACCATATTTAAACGTGTCTAAATACTGTAAACTCATTCACACTGTTCATATTAGAAAACACTACATTTAAATTTTTTATTTCTAGTACTCATAATACTATAAGATCATCACAGTGCTGGTTCAGTAAAATTCATTTTACTGTTTATTTATAGAATTAATTGTATTTATAAAGTGGTTTTCCAGCATAAAGTAAAAAAAAAAAATACTCTACCAGAACATAATTATTCCCCCTTAATAAATCTACATTTTCAAGCAAGTGCCAGCAATAGGCAGAATATTCTAGAGTTTTATCTTGACTTTGACCTTTTACTCAATTAAAAAAAATTAATGCAAAAAAGGGGGTAAGTTGCTTAGAACAGTTACCTGGCATTGGCAGCTTTCAGGTCACAGAAATGAGTGAGTAAAGTCCTCACAACATCATTGCAGACAACTTTAACCACATCCACGTGACTCAGTCTGTGGTGCAGCTGTCTGGCAATTTCCCAAAAGTCTTCCAAGAGCAGATGGTAAAGTTGTCCCTCATCTCTGCTGAGGTTTCCATACCAGGACAGAATGTAATCTCTATAACTGTAGTCGAACACTACCAGGAATAAACAAAGCAATGAGTAAAACAAATGAAAGAAGCAAACACCAAGACTGCATTTCTACTGGAAACTGGCCACCTACTATTTAATATTCACTGTTTAAAATTAAAGAGAGGAGAAAACAGAACTCATGAGAATTCCTAAGTCTTTTAAAACGAAAGATTCTCATCTAACTAGAACGTTTAGGTATGGTGACCATGTCCTAAATTTTCCTACAGAGCCCTATTTTAAAATATTCTATCTTGGTGCCAAACTACCTAAATTTATTAAAAAATCAGAGCATCTTATGTAGTGGCAATACACTTATGAAGTGTACCTGATATCAGTCTATTGCCTCTTTGCTCCGAGTTCAGCTTTTTTGCCCTGCTTTATGATACTGGAGCTGGGCCCTGCAAACACCGTCAGTTTCTTTGCCCGCTGGCATAACATTAAGTCTGTCAGTAGCACATGCTGGAGGGCAACTGGAGGAGGAAGGGGCTGCTCTCCCCAGTTCCCGTGTGTTCTTCTCTGACTGTTCCTGCCACATTTAGCAGCAGGCATGGCACCCGATGGTGTTCACCCCAACAGCAAGTTCCAATGCCATCCACAGGGCAGCTTCCCACAGAATTCTGCTGGCATCCTATGGGTGGCTCTCCCTCACCGGTGGTATCTGCTCAAGCTTCTTCACCATCAACTGGGCCAAGGTTGTGCCTTCTCCAAGGCCTGGATCTCAACCCAAGGGTAAAGAAGGAAACTTCTGCCAAATTTTTTCTGTCCTAAGGTCCTCTGCCTCAGTCCTAGTGGGAATGGCTGCTCCCTATATCTGCCCTTCCTTATTCTTTAGTGTTCTCTTTACTCCTTAGTACTTAATCCCATATTGTACATTAATAATTATTTATATTTAACTTTCTCTGTTCAATTACAGTGTGGTTTCTGTCTCCTAACAAGACCTCAACTAACCTAGGAAGAATCCCATAAATCAGTCTTAGATATCACACTAGGCTCAGCCCCTGTGGCCAGTCGCCTTCTTTGGAAGATTTCTAGTGCCTATGTTCTTAATTCTGCACCTTGGAATTAGGAAAGCCTAGCCATAGACCAGTGCTATCTAATTTGAATATGAGAGCCACATATGTAAGTTTTAAGTTTTCTAGAAGACACATTAAAAAAGTAAAAAGATACCACAACAAAAAGCTCATAAAAAATAAGATAAACAATAAAAATAAAAAAGTAAAAAGAAACAGGTAAAATTCACTTTAATAATATATCCATTTAACAAAATTATGTAAAACATTATTTCAAAATGTAATCAATATTTAAAACTCACGTTTTTGAAATAAAATACTTTGCTTTTTTTCGTACTAAGCTCTGTAATCTGGTTTATATTTTATTCTTTCAGTAATCTCAATTTGGACTAGCCACATTTGGGGTGCTCTATAGCCGCTGTCTAGTGGTTACCGTGTTGGACAGCACAGTTTCTAAAGCCTATTTAGAAAGAAGGTGAAGCCAGTGTGATGTTTGCAAGAAGCTAGGTCTTTTGAAAAATAAAATATTAGTGGGCTTGGTGGTGACTCCCCACAGGGCCCCAAGGGAGAAAAACATTTAGCTACACACTCCTGCTCCAACTCGAGGGTACCAAGGTTATTTTTTATCACTTCTTGTTTCTCAGAGGTTTTTTTTTTTTTTTTTTTCACTTTTCAAACACTGTTTGATTTGGCTTAATTGCAGATGTCATTTCAGATAAATAATTTATCCTCCTGCTTTTCTTTGCTTGTCTGCACACTACTTTATCCCTGGGAATCCTACGTGAACCAGATCTACTTCACAATTCCCTACGAACAACTAACCTATACGTGTCAAATAATTTTTTAGCCTAGAATTTGGGGTTCATTTTATACATCTTGGCCACTACACACCAAATTAGAAGCTTCAGGATAATAAATTGGCTGGGCACAGTGGCTCATTCCTGTAATCCCAGAACTTTGGGAGGCCGAGGTGGGAGGAACACTTGAGCCCAGGAGCTTGAGACCAGCCTGGGCAGCATGGCAAAACCCCATCTCTACAAAAAATACAAAAATTAGCCGGGTGTGGTGGTGGACGCCTATATTCCCAGCTACTTGGGGCTGAGGTGGGAGGATCATTTGAGCCTGGGAGGTGGAGGTTGCAGTGAGTCAAGACAGCGCCACTGCATTCCAGCCTGGGTGAGCAAGCAAAACCCTGACTCAAAAAAAAAAAAAAAAAAAGAAATTTAGGTGAGCTCTCTGGGGGGAGGGATTGGAGGGTGGGGAGAGGGAGAGTCATTTTTCTTAGAAAACTGAATGGCAATGGAATCACATATTTGCAAGTGCCCACAGGTCAAAGGAAGCACAATTTTGGTATTAATATTCTATGATGGCTTTTTTCATGGTTGAAATATCAACCATGGAAGTATATTCAATGTTTTTTCACATTTCCAGTATTTTTGCAATTCAGCTTTATAGCAATTTATAAAACAGCATTTTAAATTTCATAACTCAAAAACATGCAACAGCATTAGGATTTTTGTTCACAAACAATGACACAAAGGTTTAGATAAATTTTCAGAGTGATTCCAGCAGCCTCAGTTGTAGGGATAAGATAACTGTGCCTTCCAGCTGAGAACAATTAATTGCCAAAGACAGAAAAAAGATCTATCTCAATCTTTTACTACTCAGCAAATAAAATGTATAGAGGGCTTCTAGTCTGTAAGGTGGAATCAATATCCGTATCACTAAGCACTGGACACAAAAAGGAAGGTAAAACAAAAGCAAAACCAGAAAACAAGGCACATGAAACTCTCAGTCACGTTCTGCTCATTTTCAGATATTAATTTGAACCTATGGTTGTTATGTTTTCTAGATTTTGCAAAAAGTAGCTACATCTCATCCCTAATGGTACTATTCCATTAAGGAAAAACAGCGGAAATGGTTTCTGACCCAGATGAAACTGCAAAAACAGGAATGGGTTGATCCTATAATCTCATTTATTGGCAACAAACAAATAGACCACAGTTCCTACATAGTAAGTGAGTTTCGTCCCTTCAGGAAATTGAGGCTCAAAGAAGTGAAGTAACTTGCTCAAAGAGGTAGCAAAGTCAAGACTCCTACCTGCCAATCACTCTTTCTACTCAGCACACTGTAGTCCTGCACATAGGTGAACAAGATAAGCTGCATGAGTAAAAGATAGGCAAAACCTAAAATAGCATCCTCGTCCACTAGATATCCAGTTTGTTTAAAACACATTTACATGAAAAAATATATGTAAAAGGCTGTACTTTGTAAAACTGCTGTACAAGACACAAACAGAACCAACGAGTGAGGCCAGGTGCGGTGGCTCACACTTGTAATCCCAGCAACGACACCTCTCTTCAAGCTAAGTATCAAAAAACTATACATAACTTAAATATAAAAAGTACGGGCTGGGTGTGGTGGCTTACATCTGTAATCCCAGCACTTTGGGAGGCTGAGGCAGGCAGATCACCTGAGGTCAGGAGTTCCAGACCAGCCTGGCCAACGTGGTGAAACCCTGTCTTTACTAAAAATACAAAAATTAGCCGTGCGTGGTGGCAGGCGCCTGTAATCCCAGGTACTCCAGAGGCTGAGACAGGAGAATCACTTGAACCCAGGAGGCGTAGGTTGCAGTGAGCCGAGATTGTGCCACTGCACTCCAGCCTGGGCGACAGAGCGAGACTCTGTCTCAAAAAAAAAAATAAAGAAGAAAACAAAGCCATGATTCTAAATATACATTATATAACCATATAAACTAATTTACACAAGTACACATATCAACAAAATACTTTAAAACATACCCTACGGGTCAACTTAAGGAGACAGAGAAATTCGTAACCATAAAATTATTTCATGGCTTTTATTAAGAAATAAACATTCAAGGTCAAGACGCCAACTAAAGAAAAAAAAAAGAAATATACAGAAACAATACAATTAATCACAATGAGAAATGAAAGAACACTTATCCTCACTACCAGGCAAAAAAATCTTTCTTCTAAAGGCATGATAACACCCACCACAAATTCAGGTGCTATTATCATTCAAGTATATCTAGTTTTAGAACTGCTCTCAAAGAAATGAGTAGGTAAAAAGGAGGCCACTGGAGATGAGAGAGAATGAAGTAACATGATTGGAACTTTAGTTTTAGTTAGGTTAACCTGAAAACAGGATTTAGGGTAACAAAGTAGAGAAAAACTATAGATGAGGACACAAGTTAAAAGGCTCCCGCGTTAGTCTAGACAACAGGATGTTAGGTAATCGCTACCCACAAATTTTCAGAACAAGGAATGAGCTAAGTAAACAGTATAAGAAAGAGAGCTTCAAGAGGGCCATTTTCCCACCCTTGTCTTTTCCCCTGAGCGATTTAGAAATGCGATTCAGAGATACATGTCCTGCCCATGAGGTACAGCCCCATGATCATGAAAGTCCACGCCTGGGTCTCTTAGAACAAAGAGACAGTCCTCATTCAACCAGAAACTTGTCTAATGACAATGATAAACAACAACAGCAACAATTCTATTGTTCATTTAGATGGTCTTTTATGGTTTGTAAAGTTTTAAAATGCAATGCAAAGTTATCTTCTGGAAAGATTTGGGGTTATTAGTTTATGTGATTGATAGAGCTATGTATTTATCCAACAAAAAAAAAAGTATACATATTGCATGTCACTGGGAGAAAAGCATGAACTAGAACTCGATGAGTTGAGCTTTCTAAAGGGTGGGAAAAGTCATGCGAGCCTTGCTTCCTCTGTGCCACCATCTAATTCCCAGGCAGCCAGACATCTGGAACAGCCATACGGTGGGCCTTGGAAAAAAGACTACCACATAAAGTTTGCCTTACCTAGGACCTGTTGCAAAGCTGTTAAAAGTTCTACATAAAAGTTCTGTTCTCCATAAAATTTCTGTTATACTTTGACAATGACCTTGCAGTATCTTCCGCTGTCATGATTGTTTTCAAGTTATGACCCTGTGTATGTAACAATTACTTATGGGCATATTTACCACTGAAATTCAGAAAAGCATTAAGAGCCAATTAAAACTAGCTGAAATGTGCTCACTTTGAAATGTATATGTAGGCTGGGCATGGTGGCTCACGCCTGTAATCCCAGCACTTTGGGAGGCCAAGGCCGGTGGATCACCTGAGCTCAGGAATTCAAGAAAAGCCTGGCCAACATGGTGAAACCCCATCTCTACTAAAAATACAAAAATTAGCCGGGCGTGGTAGCTCATGCCTGTAGTCTCAAGCAACTCGGGAGGCTGAGGCACGAGAATCACTTGAACCCAGGAGGCGGAGGTTACAGTGAGCTGAGATCATGCCACTGCACTCCAGCCTGGGCAACAGAGTAAGACTCGGTCTCAAAAAAAAAAAAGAAGAAAAGAAAAGAAAAAAAAGTCTGAAATGTACATGTAACATTAATTGCAAAAAATGAGGGTAACGGTATTTAATTCTAAGATATTCAGACAGTGGGTTTTTTTGTGTGCAACGTCTGGGGTTTTGTTGTTTTTCGGAGTTTTCTGTGTGGCAGACAGGGTCTTTTATAAGACACTCTGAGGTCAGCATCCCCAAGGTCTTGAAAAAGAATTATATTTTCAATTCAAGAACTTTCAATTTAACATTGAACACACCACTGAACAAATAGCATGTACTCAATAATTATACAATTAAATTATCTGGTTCACATTAGAGATGGTTTAGGGCAGGCTAGTGAAAATTAGGCAATAGATCTATTGAGATTTAATAGTAAGTCAAAAAGATTTTTAGAAGTCGTCTTTTTCCTATCTTCTGTCAGTTTTCTGGTAAATGTAGCTTTTGGAGAATCTTCTGAAGCTATCTGGTACAGAAGGGTAACTGTTCTGCCTTCTCAAAAAGAAGAGTTCATTCATATTAGATCTGAACCCCTAAAATATAGTTTTACATTTTAAACTGGCTAACAAAACAGAGCAGTCATATGCTTTGATCACTTTCCTCAAGTGTGCCATTTAACTTCCAGCATTTGTAGCTCTAGTATTTCATATTGTTCCACAGAAAGCTGGAGTATATTATTTTGCTCTGCATTTTTGACTATTACTTCTTTCTTCTTTGTAATTCAATCTGTAAAGACTTAAATCCTAACTTATACTGAGCTACAACACAAGCACAAATTTAGTGACAAAAATATCTACACACAAACATGTAGAACATGTATACATGCAGACACACACACATGCCTTATGTGGTACTTAACTCTTTAAATGTTTTTAAATTACACACTCTAAAACCAATAAAATAGATATATAAAGATAAAATGGTACCATAATGTTCTCTAGTTTAAATTAGCTTCCAAGGAGGAGATTTTTAGGTAAGTATTTCATAAGCATTTAGTATAACCGAACTCAAATTACTACAGCCTTAACAAGTATATTGTTTAATGTTTTGCAAATGTACAGAGACCCTCAATTTGATTAATATTAAATCTATTATAGCTAGTTAATAACATTCTGAATTCCAATTAAATATATTGGTGCCGGGTTTAGAAATGTAAATCAAACCACTCCAGAGATGCAAATTATAACCACTAAAGATTTTCTACATGCTGATGAAACCTCTTAGCCTTCTCAATATACATTTCTAGATTCTAATTCTCCATAAAATTAACTGGTCAAATTTTTCTTGGAAGGTGATTCTAGTTTTGTTTGTTGTTGTTATTGCTGTTGAAGAACTACTGCCAAATGCATGAATTTTACTCCCAATAACTAACTTTCTAGCAGCTACTAGCTCTCCTTTTGTTTAGCTTATATAATGCTGAACTTCAGCAGCTTTTCCCTGAAAACCACTTTAAAGCAAAGGACAGGTAAAAAAAATTGTGAACATTAAGAATGTGGTTAAAAAAAAAGAAAAAAAAAAGCAAAGTATAATAAACTGAAACGCTTACCCAAAGGCTTTGGAAAACATTTTCCTTTCAGAAGAAATCACTGAATAGAAATTAGCTTCAGGATAATGTTTTTGCCAAGTAAGCCTCAACCCTTATCCTGTCTTTTTTTTTTCCCCACAAGTACTTCTGAAACAAACTGGTCTAAAATAAAGGTCACGTCTAAGTACAGAGAAATTTCTAAGTCTTCAAAAATTAAAGAGACACTCATGTTCATAGCAGCATCAATTACAATAGCCAAAAGGTGGAAAGCAACCCGAGTGTCCACTGATGAGTGAATGGATAAACAAAATGTGGCACACACACACACACACACACACACACACACACACACACGCAATGGAATATCATTCAGCCTGAAAACGGAAGGAAATCCTGTCACATGCTACAATATGGATGAAACCTGAGGACATTAAGTAAAATAAGCCAAACACAAAAAGACAAATACTATATGATTCCACTTAGGTAAGATACTTAGTCAAATTCATAGGGACAAAAAGTAGAACAGTGGTTACCAGAGGCTGGAGGAAGAGAAAGGGGTTGTCACTTAATAAGTAAAGAGTTTCAGTTTTGCAAGATGAAAACAGTTCTAGAGATTGGTTGCATGATAATGTGGATGTACTTAACATTACTGAACTAAGGCCGGGTGCGGGGGCTCATGCCTATAATCCCAGCACTTTGAGAGGCCGAGGCAAGCGGATCACTTGAGGTCAGGAGTTAGAGACCAGCCTGGCCAACATGGTGAAACACTGTCTCTACTAAAAATACAAAAATTAGCTGGGCATGGTGGTGTGTGCCTGTAATCTCAGCTACTTGGGAGGCTGAGGCACAAGAACTGCTTGAACCCAGGAGGCAGAGGTTGCAGTGAGCCAAGATCATGCCACTGCACTCCAGCCTGGGCGACGGAGCAAGACTCCGTGTCACACACACACACACACAACAAAACATTATTGAACTATATACTTAAAATGGTTATAATGATAAATTTTATGTTATGTCTATTTTAACACAATTAAAATTTTTTTAATATTAAGGACAGAGTTCTAATTCCAGGGGTGGTAGAATAGCTTATATCAGACTAACCTTCCTATAGAAAATAATTTGGAAATCTGGAAAAAAAAATTTAAAAACTACAGATGTTCCTCAGCTTATGATGGAGTTGCATCCTAATAACACCCCCATCCCACCCCACAAAAGTAAAAAAAAAAAAAACCATAAACTGAACTATCATAAATCAGGAACCATCTGTATTGAAAAGCACTGAGAGCAACCAAACTTAGCAATTAGAAGGGAATCTATTATTGAAAGAAAGGAATGGCACTAGGTAAGATCCATGTTTACACACAGCTTTTCCCTAAAGGCAACTGCAGTCTTAGAGGTACAGGCAGTAAACTGGAAGAGAATGTCTTTTGTGTGTTTTTTATTTTAATATATCAGGAAACAGATTTAAGAGTTGCCAGGGCTGCTGAAAATAAAGGCAAGAAATAAACACCATGAAATCTGGGTACAGATTCTCAAATTCATTGCCAACTGTGAACTACACATGTATAGGGGTAAGACTACAGGAGACCAGTGGAAAGCAACAGCTGGAAGACTCAAAGAGCTGAGCAGATACTCCAACTACTGTCCACCAGGGAGACAGAGTTTGGAGCTAGAATTCCACTAACGGTGTTGGGCTTTCCATTGCAATTGTGGAAAGGCCATGAACCAGAGGAGTTAAGTCTATGTCCTCGGACTGAGGGACTCACTTTAGGTGAAGAACAAAATCCAAACACATCCATCCTCAGAAAATGTATAAAACCAAGTATCTTCAAGGTGATCAGCCATTAATTAAACTGCATACTAAAAACCTCTTCAGAGGAAGATAAAAGAATCTAGAATGTCTAAAAAGCAGCATCCACATTGTCCAGTATACAATCAAAAACAACTGGACATCAGAAGAAACCCCCAAAAAGTGACATCTAGTCAAGAGAAAAAGCCATTAACAGAAACCAACATCAAGATAGCCCGGATGTTGGAATTAGCATAAAAGAACTTTAAAGCAGCTACTACAAAATATGTTCAAGAAATTAAAAATAAAAATGTCATAATAATTGACAGACGAGAGAATCTCAGCAGAAAAGCAAACATTGCAGAAACAACAAGAAAAAAAGAACCAAATGGAAATTCTACACATGAAAAGCACAAAGTGTGCAATAAAAATTTCACTGGATGCACTTAACTACAGAATGGAGATGAGACAGAAAAAAAATTGGTGAACTTGAAAAAAATCATCATCATCCTATCTATCTAAAGAACAGAGAGGAAAAAAAGATTGGTAAATTGGACTTTATCAAACTTGAAAACATCCACTCAAAGATAGCATTAAGAAAACAAAAGGCAACTCACAAACTAGGAGAAAAATCTTCTGTATCTACATCTAACAAAAGACATGAATCCAGATATTTTAAAAACTATAAATAAATTATAAGTTTAAAAAAGACTTGCATAGACACATCACAAATAAAAATCTGAAAATTGTCAATAACACATGAAAAGGTGTTTAATATCATAGTCAGTAGGGGTATGCAATTTAAGGCCACAGTAAGATACACCCATCAGAATGGCTAAAAGAGGAACAAAACAACAGCAAATGTTGGTGGTAATATGAGACAACCGGAACTCTCATAAACTGCTGGTGAGAGTCTAAAAAGAGACAATCATTTTGGAATACCGTTTGGTAATTTATTACAAAGTTAAAAATACAACTATCCTATGGCTCAGCAATTCTACTCCTATTTATCCAAGAGAAAAACATATGTCCACTGAAATATCTGTTGATAGCAACTGTATTGACTAACTTTCCAAAACTTAGAAATAACCCAGATGTCCCACAGGAGAAAGGGTAAACATATTGTCATAGCTGTATCACTGTAATGGAATACCACCCACCCAAAAGTAACAAAGAATAAACTGATATACACAATATGGATGAATCTAAAAACATTATGCTGAGTGAAAGAGGCCAGGCATAAAAGAATACACACTGTATGGTTCCATTTCCATAAAGTTTTAGAAGAGACAAAATGAAGTGATACCATGAAGGGTGGGTGTTGATCAAAGGGGAGCATGAGGCAGATTTTCTAGAATGATGGAAATGTTCTCTATTTTGAATGAGGTGGTTATACAGTTATGCACATTTATGAAAATTACTGAATTGTATAATTAAGATTTGTACATTTCAAAGTATGTAAATTTTACCTCAATAAAAGCAATTAAGAATAAATCCTGTACATTTTTTTTGAGACAGAGTCTCATTGTGTTGCCCAGGCTGGAGTGCGGTGGTGCAATCTAGGCTCACTGCAAATCTCTGCCTCTCGGGCTCAAGCAATTCTCCCACTTCAGCCTCCCAAGGAGCTAGGACTACAGGCATGTGCCACCACTCCCAGTTAATTTTTGTATTTTTTGCAGAGACAGAGTTTCACCATGTTGCCCAGGCTGGACTCCTGGGCTCAAGCAATTCACCCACCTCGGTCTCCCAAAATGCTAGGATTACAGGCATGAGCCACCACATCCAGCCAATCCTGTACTCTAAAAATCATGATTATGAGATTATGAATAATTGCCAAATTTTAAATCCAGTAAGTTTTATAAGTCATACTTTAAAGATTATGAATAATTGCCAAATTTTAAATCCAGTAAGTTTTATAAGTTGTACCTTAACTACTAATAGAAGTATTTTTTAAAATTTAATTATGTCCCCAAAGGTCTAAAATTCTGTGAATCCACACAATTTCAAACTGTTTCTGTACTGATACAGTACTCTCATTTTCAGATTTTGATATGGTGATTTTTGTGAACTATGATGAGTAAAACACATATATGTACATATCACTTGTTCAGCTCTCTTAACTTCACGTCTAACATCATATATTCACCTGATAAACTCATGACTTGTTTTCTGAAAATTAACTGAAACTGTCAATGTTTTTAGAAATTTGATATTTAAAATCTTTCTTAAACCTTAATTTGATGTTCAAAATATATTTTTTAAAATTTTAATATTTAAAAGTACACTTATTTATTCCCACTTCCAGACATAGCCATATTTTACCTTCCACCACCCTGCTTCTGCCTTCTTCAAGACAAGCTTCATTGTAAACTCACTCCTCTGAAAGACTACTATCACTTAGTTGGGTTTAACTGGTTTATCTATGAGTGAGCCTGAGTCTATTTATCCCAACATAGCTTCTCTAGGTTATAGTTAGAAGAAAAAAAAAATTCCTAAAACCCATTTTAGAAAAGAGAGAACAGATCTGTGCTTCATATGATGGAACTAGCTCTACATGGCTGGCTAGTTTCACATGATCTGGAAATTCCTACTCAACAAACGTGTAAATCCCTTACATGCAAACAAAACATGGATGTATTTAGTCATCAAATACAAACTCATGAAGAAAAAATTCCTAACACTACATGCAGACAAGAAGAATAAATTTGCTGGAGATTATTATTTTCCTCTTAGAACATAATGAATTGCTTTACATGGTAATTATATACTCTCATTTAATCCTTACCTTCTTTCAGAGCTTTATCCATATTATGAGAAATTACTACCCTTCTAGACTGAGCTGACTCATGTGAGTTTCCATACACAGGACTCTGAAATGAAAGGAAAAAAATACAAAGCAGATTACTGAATGAATAAATCACATAAAAAAAAAAAATCAAAGGTATGAAATGCCATCTAAACAAGCATTAAGATAAGGCTTAACGAATAACAGAAGTTTTTCCACAAAAGTAAATAAATGCTTAAGGTTAAAATTTTTTGGAAAAAAAATTAAGGAAGGATTTTCCCTACCAGATATCAAAACAGTATAATGACTGTATAGGAATAAATAAATCAACACAATGGTAGGGAGTAAACAAACCGATGTAGCTATATATGTGCAAATTAAGAACATAATTTTCTTAAGAAGAATTTGAAATTAATGATAAAAACCACACACTACTCAGCAAATGATGTTGGAATAATTTGATATTCACATGGGAATAAAAGGTTACGGTCTTACATTCTGTATATAAATAACTCCAAAAAGATTAAACAGCTAAACATGTTTTAAGCTAAAAAAGAATTAAGAAGAAATAAGGGAGCAGCTTTTTATAATCTTGGAATGGAAAAGGCTTCTCTAAAATAAAACACAAAATCCAAATGGTATGAAGGGGGAAAAAATGACAAATCTGACTACCTAAAATACAAAATTCTTGTTTCACAAAAGATGATGCAATCGAAATGTAAATGATAGACTAGGAGACAGTATCTGTAACAATGTAACAAAGAACTATCATTAAATATACAGAGACTCCAAAAATAAGAAAATAACTCAAAAGAAAACCAAAGAAGTTGAAAGGGAAATCATAAAAGATAAACAAATGACCAATAAATGTATGACAAAAAAATGCAATCCCCTTTTTTATTAGAGGAATGCAAATTAGAGCAATGAGATACCATCAGACTGCCAAAGCAGCAGAAAGGACATACCTATCTAATGTTCACCAGGACACAGGGAAATGGTTGTTTTCATATATTGTTGGGGGAAATATCTATTTCTACAAGCTTTTAAGAAGGCAACTGAGCCACATATATCAAAATTTTAAAGGACTTTTTTGAGTCTCACATGTTGCCCAGGCTGGAGTGCTGTGGTGCTCACTGCAACCACTCAGCTCACTGCAACCTCCGCCTCCCAGGTTCAAGTGATTCTCCTGCCTCAGCCTCCAGAGTAGCTGGGACTTCAGGCCCACGACACCACACCCAGCTAATTTTTTATTTCTAGTAGAGATGGGTTTTTCCCATGTTGGCCAGGCTGGTCTCGAACTCCTGACCTCATGTGATCACCTGCCTCGGCCTCCCAAAGTGCTGGGATTACAGGCGTGAGCCACCGCACCCGGCCTAAAGGACTTTCTATTCTGCAATGCCACTCCTAGGACTCTGCCCAATGGAAATCCAAAAAAGTACATGTATAAGGAATTTTACTGCTATATTAATTATAGGGGCAAAAAAAATTGGAAGTAACGCAAGTTTTTATATATACGTCAATAGTCAAAGAGTTAAATAAATTATTGGTATACCATTAAAAAGAATGCTTTAGGGATACATATATACCTTCATGGAAAGTTTTCTATGATGGGAAAATGTTTGCAAGCACAGACACTTTTAAAAGTGGTTTCCTCTAGGCGGAGGTATAGAATTTTAAGTCTATGTGTGTCTGTATACCAGCAAGTGATGTTAAAAATAACTGTATAAAGATACTGCTTTGGGCTGGGTGCAGTGGCTTACGCTTATAATCCTAGCACTTTGGGAGGCCGAGGCTGGTGGATCACTTGAGGTCAGGAGTTTGAGTCCAGCCTGGCCATCACAGTGAGACCCCCGTCTCTACTAAAAATACAAAAATTAGCTGGGCGTGGTGGCGGGCACCTGTAATCCCAGCTACTCGGCAGGCTGAGGCATGAGAATAGCTTGAACCCAGGAGATGTAGGTTGCAGTGAGTTGAGATCTCGCCACTGCACTCCAGCCTGAGAGAGCAAGACTCTGTCTGGGAGAAAAAAAAAAGATACTGCTTGGCATTTTTTTTCTTAAAGGAGAGACTATAGAATGAAAACCCCACTATCTTGCTAGTGAGACTACATTAAAAAGAGGATTTTTTTTTACTTGATCACATATCACCGTAATCAAAAGCATATACAATGTAATTGGGGTCTACTTACTGGTTTGGAACGAAAAAAAGAAACAAAAAAAATTGCAGAACATTTTTTTTTCACGTGAGAAATATTACAAGTTCTTGACCAGCACTGCCACATGACTTGGAGAGCTAAAAGGCTAATGTTACGGTTGCCCTCATCCTACAAACAAGTGTGGAGAACCACTTCGTTCTCAAGCAGAGGCCAGACCAGCACAGATGCAATCAATCCCACAGCCCCAGGCCACCCAACTGGGAGTGGAGAATTTCCAGTCCTTGATTAGTCTCATGGTATCTATGATCAAGTGCCAAGGATGTCATCCCTGTTCGTGCTTACTGTTATTAAAAACAAACAAAAGTCTCCTGGTGACCTTATAAAAAAAGAGGAAAAAAGCCATAGATTCAAGATTTCTTAGTGGAATTTTTTTTTAAAACCTTAAGATGTACATGTTGCACCCAAGAAAGAAAAGATATTCCTTTATGCTCAAATTAATATATAGCATTCAACATTTTCCAAAGGAATTTTTTAAAAATCTTAATCATAATCATATATAGACAAAGACATTTAATGCATAAAAGAAAATCATGTGACCTTTTAAAACTATTTTCTAGTTTCTGGGTAGCTCTCTATGAAATTAAATAAATGGTCTAGATTTTATTGAAATTTAACATTTTTCATTTAGTTCACAGAAAAAAAAATTGAGGAAATGAGGAATTTTCAAATTCTACTGCTTTTAAAACATCAGGCAGATATTTAAACAACTTACGAATTTTGGGGGTAATATTTAATGGAGTTAAATGCTTTCAGAGGTCTACACTGCTAAATAATTTTAATCACAACTTCTCAATGCTTTGGCAAATAGTTAAATGAACAATACTGATCAAATGATAAAACCAAAGCCAAAAAACTTATTGAAGAAGTTCCTGGCCGGGTGCGGTGGCTCACGCCTATAATCCCAGCACTTCGGGAGGCAGAGGCGGGTGGATCACCTGGGGTCAGGAGTTTGAGGCCAGCCTGGCTAACATGGTGAAACCCCATCTAAAATTTAAAAAATTAGCTGGGCTTGGTGGCAGGCACCTGTAGTCCCAGCTACTCAGGAGGGTGAGGAAGGAGGTCTGACTGAGCCCAGGAGATGCAGGCTGCGGTGACCCAGGACTGCACCACTGCACTCCAGCCTGGGCAACATAGCAAGACACTGTCTCAAAAAAAAGAAAGAAAGGAGTTGTTCCTGAATTTGAGTTCTTAAAATGGAAACTGCCTGTAAGGGCTGGGTATGAATATGACTGACAGTACATGCATATCTGAAGCATATTCTTTGGATATGTGTCTATCTTTATAACTTCCTTCAAAACTTTTAATTTTTTATTCTTATTTTTTATCTTCCTAGTTACAGATCTACTACCTCTTGCCCTGTGTCTGTATATTTCTTTTATCTCACTACTTCATACTTACATGTAACATGCAAACATATGTTTGTCACTACTGACTACATCTGAATAAGGCCTTTCATTTATTTAATGATAAAATGGTGGTTTCTCTAAGAGCTAGGGGAAGGGGAGAATGGTGAGTTAATGTTTAATGGGTATAGAGTTTCAGTTTGGGGGTTTTTTTGTTTTTTGATAGGGTCTCACTGTGCCACCCAGGCTGGAGTACAGTGGTGCAATCTTGGCTCACTGTAGCCTCAATCTCCCGGCTCAAGCAATCCTTCCCCCTCAGCCTCCTGAGTAGCTAGAACTACAAGTGTGTGTCCCGCTATGTTTTAAGTTTTTTGTAAAGATGGGAGTTTCCCCATGTTGCCCAGGTTGGTCTTGAACTCCTGGCCTCAAGCGATCCTCCCACCTAGGCCTCCCAAAGTGCTGGGATTACAAGCATGAGTCACCATGCCTAGCAGAGTTTCAGCTTTACAAGATGAAAAGAGTTATGGAGATAGATGGTGGCAATGGTTGCACAACATTATAAATGCATTTAGTATCACTGAACTGTATACTCAAAAATGGTTCAGACAGCAAATTTTATAAGTATTTTACCATAATAAAAATCAAATTGCAAGGGAGATGGGTTTATGAGAATAATGTTTTCTATTTTAGCTCTATTTAAGCAAAACCCCTACCTATTATTCTTTCAATCTGATTTTCCAATCTGGTTCTGAAGTTCCCACATCCCACCCGCTAGGAATCACTGGCCCTTACTAGAAAGAAAACAGTTCTTTTTTCCTATCCCATCCCCATAGCCTGATGGAGAATCTGTAAGCCAGGAGAACAGGAAAGAGAAAAAAACACCTCATGGGCCAAAAATAACTGGGTTACTATGTGCAGTGTTATGATATATATTGGTTTTCATCCAGGGTTCCTGGCTCCTAACTCCCACAGCCCTTGTTACAGTCTTTTGTTATAATGTTGGGTGTGTCGGGCCTCGGGGGCAAGTCTCTGACCTTTTTCTGCCCTCCTTCTACTCTCAGGGGCCCCTGCCTCTCTGACTGTGGGTCTTAGGACCCTCCCATCAGAGATCCCACCCTATACTCTAGAGGAAGGAAAGCTCCAGAGGACAGGGCTCAGTGAGCTTCGGGACAGCTGAACATGTGAGGTTCCTGGAGGGTGGTGCCCAGGGAGGGCATGAAAGCTCCGCACCCCTCCCCCATACCTCACCGTAGCATTTCTTCATCTGCATCCTTTGCAATATCTTCTACAATAAACCAGTAAATGTAAGTAAGCGTTTCCCTGAGTTCTGTGAGCTGCTCCAGCAAATTAACTGAACCCAAAGGGGGCTCATGGGCACCTCAAATTGAAGCTGGTTGGTAAGAAATTCCAGCAGCCCAGACTTACAGACTGACGTTGGGGGTGGGGGGTTGAGGGCTCTTGGGGACTGAGCTTCACTTAATCTATGGGCTCTGACACTGTCTCCAGGTAGACGATGCTGGAACAATTAGAGGACACCCAGCTGGTGTCCGCTTGCTTGGTGTGTGGGGAAAAAAACCCCACACATTTGGTCACAAAAATCTTCTATGTTTATGTTTGTTGTGGTATGAAAGTAGAGGAAAAAGTTTTCTGTACACATTCTGCATGGAAATTCCTTTTTACGGATTTAATATTTCTGAAGCCAGAATCTCCTCATGTCTGAATGAGCAGCCACTACATACTCTTATTTCTTTCAGGTCAAAAGGGTAGAATCCACTAATCATTTTCCCCAAGATGAAATTTCAGAAAAAAAGAGAAAGAAGCTAATGAAAATTCAACAAATTTAAAACATGAATAAATTCCTGTGGCTCTGAGGATAACCAAACAATAATTGTCTTCATTCTCCTATTTATAGGTTTGAAAAAAAGAAACTTCACAAGGCAGATTTCCCCAAAGACTTACTCTATTATGCTAGCATAGGCTTCAGGTAAAGACAACCTCTTCCTGACAATCATCTTCCTAAAATGCCTGTTTTAGGAAAGATGAAAGAAAAATACGTGTACTTTGCCCACTGTCACAAAGGATAACTGATAATCTTCAGTATCCTGGTCCAGAAACGAGGACAGGGTACTCTACTCTTGCTTTAAGTTTTCAGTATGCGTATCACAATATTAACTCATAAAAGCTCTTGGTGAACCAGACCGCTATCCTGTAAAAAAAAAAATACACCTGTCCTCCTCTCCCTCTCCCTCCTCTCCCTCTCCCTCCTCTCCCTCTCCCTCCTCTCCCTCTCCCTCCTCTCCCTCTCCCTCTCCCCACGGTCTCCCTCTCCCCACAGTCTCCCTCTCCCTCTCTTTCCACGGTCTCCCCGATGCCGAGCCAAAGCTGGACTGTACTGCTGCCATCTCAGCTCACTGCAACCTCCCTGCCTGATTCTCCTGCCTCAGCCTGCCGAGTGCCTGCGATTGCAGGCGCGCGCCGCCACGCCTGACTGGTTTTCATATTTTTTTGGTGGAGACGGGGTTTCGCTGTGTTGGCCGGGCTGGTCTCCAGCTCCTAACCGCGAGTGATCCGCCAGCCTCGGCCTCCTGAGGTGCTGGGATGGCAGACGGAGTCGCGTTCACTCAGTGCTCAATGGTGCCCAGGCTGGAGTGCAGTGGCGTGATCTCGGCTCGCTACAACCTCCACCTCCCAGCTGCCTGCCTTGGCCCCGCAAAGTGCCGAGATTGCAGCCTCTGCCCGGCCGCCACCCCGTCTGGGAAGTGAGGAGCGTCTCTGCCTGGCCGCCCATCGTCTGGGATGTGAGGAGCCTCTCTGCCTGGCTGCCCAGTCTGGAAAGTGAGGAGCGTCTCTGCCCGGCCGCCATCCCATCTAGGAAGTGAGAAGCATCTCTGCCAGGCCGCCCATCGTCTGAGATGTGGGGAGCGCCTCTGCCCTGCCGCCCCGTCTGGGATGTGAGGAGCGTCTCTGCCCGGCCGCCCCGTCTGAGAAGTGAGGAGACCCTCTGCCTGGCAACCGCCCCGTCTGAGAAGTGAGGAGCCCCTCCGCTCGGCAGCCACTCCGTCTGGGAAGTGAGGAGCGTCTCCGCCCGGCAGCCACCCCGTCTGGGAGGGAGGTGGGGGTCAGCCCCCCGCCCGGCAGCCGCCCCGTCCGGAAGGGAGGTGGGGGGGTTAGCCCCCCGCCCAGCCAGCCGCTCCGTCCGGGAGGTGAGGGGCGCCTCTGCCCGGCCGCCCCTACTGGGAAGTGAGGAGCCCCTCTGCCCGGCCAGCCGCCCTGTCCAGGAGGGAGGTGGGGGGGTCAGCCCCCCGCCCAGCCAGCCGCCCCATCCGGGAGGTGAGGGGCGCCTCTGCCCGGCCGCCCCTACTGGGAAGAGAGGAGCCCCTCTGCCCGGCCAGCCGCCCCATCCGGGAGGGAGGTGGGGGGGTCAGCCCCCCGCCCGGCCAGCCGCCCCGTCCGGGAGGTGAGAGGCGCCTCTGCCCGGCCGCCCCTACTGGGAAGTGAGGAGCCCCTCTGCCCGGCCACCACCCCATCTGGGAGGTGTACTCAACAGCTCATTGAGAACGGGCCATGATGACAATGGCGGTTTTGTGGAATAGAAAGGGGGGAAAGGTGGGGAAAAGACTGAGAAATCGGATGGTTGCCATGTCTGTGTAGAAAGAGGTAGACATGGGAGACTTTTCATTTTGTTCTGTACTAAGAAAAATTCTTCTGCCTTGGGATCCTGTTGATCTATGACCTTACCCCCAACCCTGTGCTCTCTGAAACATGTGCTGTGTCCACTCAGGGTTGAATGGATTAAGGGTGGTGCAAGATGTGCTTTGTTAAACAGATGCTTGAAGGAAGCATGCTCGTTAAGAGTCATCACCACTCCCTAATCTCAAGTACCCAGGGACACAAACACTGCGGAAGGCCGCAGGGTCCTCTGCCTAGGAAAACCAGAGACCTTTGTTCACTTATCTGCTGACCTTCCCTCCACTATTGTCCTGTGACCCTGCCAAATCCCCCTCTGCGAGAAACACCCAAGAATGATCAATAAAAAAAAAAAAAAAGAAAAAAAAAATACACCTTATTTTCTATTTAAATAAGTGAAAAACACACACAAAAAAAAACCGAAACAAAAAAAAAGAAAGCAAAGCATAAAAAAGATTTAAAAAACAACAACAAAAATAAAATAAAGTTTTGTCTTCATTTTAAGATTTAAACCTATTTGAAAACAACGTATCAAGATCATTTTTAATCACCCAGTGAGTTTTTCTGCAGAGAGAGAAAATTTTAAGAACATTTTCAGAGTATTTTTCTAAAGACAGAGCAAAACTTGAAAGCTTTTATTTTTTTTCTTTTTGAGACGGAGTCTCACTCTGTTGCCAGGCTGGAGTGCAGCGGTGCGATCTCAGCTCACTGCAAGCTCCGCGTCCTGGGTTCAAGCCATTCTCCTGCCTCAGCCTCCCGAGTAGCTGGGACTACAGGTGCCCACCACCACGCCCGGCTAATTTTTTGCATTTTTAGTAGAGACGGAGTTTCACCGTGTTGGCCAGGATGGTCTCGATCTCCTGACCTCAAGTGATCTGCCCGCCTTGGCCTCCCAAAGTGCTGGGATTACAGGTGTGAGCCACCGCGCCTGGCAGAAAACTTTTCTCTAATATATGTGACAGATCCTCAGCATGAAAAAGCATGTACGTTTTATCAATAAACCCTTTTCTGAATATATATCAGCTTTCTGTTTACTCCAGAGTACCAGCCGTAATGCGCTCAAACTGTCTTTGTGTCAAGGCTACTACAGACCCTCTTATGAGGAAACAACATCTAGAGAGAAGCCAGGCAGAGAAACCTGAGTACTCACACCAGAAGCAACTGAACAATCAGGAACTCCCTGGAATCCAGCCAACATACACACCTCATTGTCCACTGTTTTTAAGTAGGACACTGCTCACTGGGAGCCAGGGCAGCCAACCTGTAACGTGCAATTTTCTTCATGCCTATTACCTGGTCTTCTCAAATAAACAAGTGTCTCTCACCTCCATTACATACATTTAAAAGTTTGATGTATTTTTGGTGCTATTTTGAAAAGGAAAACAGTTGTACAGAGTTCAAGGGGTGACAGGTGTAATATCCTATAAAGCTACTGAAATGGTTCATCTTACAAAAGCAAACACAAACTCCCCAAAAATCATCATTAACCACATGGAGCCGTCCCATGGCTGAGTCTCTCCAAGTATATGCAGCATCTGACAATCTACTGGGATCTCATGACTAATACTCTCATTCTTAAACTATGATAGTCTCAAAACCAGGACCTCTTTCGAAACAACGATATTCTGCCTCAGCCTCAAAGACTAATTTATTCAAAACCAAAGAAATGAAGAAAATATGCATATCCCTCCTCAGAAGGATGAGAAGGGACTAAGAAACTTCAAAGGCCACCTACACCTAATATGATTAAGATTCTGACAAAAGATCATGACATGAGCAACAGTGTCACTCCCCACCTGGAAGCCAAGCAGCCGTGTTAAGAGAAAGAACACAGGCTCCCATGGCAGGCGGGCTCCACTCTGCCATTTACTAATGGTAGGTCCTTGACCCAGCCACTCCCCTCTCTAGCTTGCTTATTATGTGGGCTAATATGCCTCAGGAGGATCAAATAAATAATATCAGGGATCTAAAAAAAGATGATAGGGGCCTGACAAGGACTCTAAATGTGTGAAGGGGATTGCAACTACTGTGCTGAGAGGTGCTCTAAATTTTTTTTTTTTTTTTTTTTTTTGAGATGGAGTCTCGCTCTGTAGCCCAGACTGGAGTGCAGTGGTGTGATCTCGGCTCACTGCAACCTCCGCCTCCTGAGTTCAAGTGATTCTCCTGCCTCAGCCTCCTGGGTAGCTGGGACTACAGGTACGTGCCACCACGCCCGGCTAATTTTTGTATTTATAGTAGAGACGGGGTTTCTCCATGTTGGCCAGGCTGGTCTCGAACTCCTGACCTCAGGTGATCCGCCCACCTCGGCCTCCCAAAGTGCTGGGATTACAGGCACGAGCAACCAACCATACCCGGCCTGATTTTTTTTTTTCCAACAACAACACCAAAAAAAAAAGTCATGAATTTTGGACGATATCTCCAACTAATTCAACGTTATTACAAACTCTGCAGGCTGCCACTGTTTGGGCTAAACTTTGAGCCATGTTCAAGCCGTGGGCGTCTAGTCTGTAATGGCTGCTCTCACAAAGCTCTTAGAGCGCCCACCAGACAGTATCACAAATACAACTCAAAATGTTTACCAACTTCCAACAAATCCAAAGTGGGTTGATTGAGGGGTTTTCTAAAGGCACAGGAATGGCAGAAATAAAAGCACGGAGGGGTTGAAAAGTTAAGCAACCAGTAAGACACAGCATAACAGAGCACATAATTCTTGAAGTATTTTTGCCTTTGAGGATGTGCTTTACAGAGAGGAAAGCGCACATTCCCTGGAGATGTTTTGCTGTGACGTAAAGCATTTAAGTATCCAAACAAAACCTGGTTTGACAGTTTCCTGAGTTGTGCTTTTATTGTGCTGAACCATGAACTAAAGAATATCTTACTTTCCTTATCAAAAAAAACAGAAAATTGTTAACATGATACTGAGAGGTTATCATTTAGGGAGAGTGTATTAATAGAAAATAGTGGATTTGTGCCTTTTTTTCCCTCTTAGTCAAGCACAATTTCTACTTTAGATACAGGAAGGAGCAGCTATTCTTTAAAATTCAACCTACAAGTTTTCTCATATTACTGTTTTCCTAAATTTCAAAAATGCTATAATTTCTTTTTAAACTGTTATTTCCAATTACATAAACAGCAGAAATACATTCTCTATTATAGATGTAAGGAATTAAACTGACTCATAATGATGATCCAGATGATCACTAATAACATTTTGGTACATTTCCTTCTTGTCAGTGATTCCAACACTTACTATGTAACCTTGGGCAAGTTACTTTTCCATACCTCACTTTCCTCATACGTAAAATAGATAACAATAGTACCTACCTCACAAAATTGATATGAGCATTAATTAACACACACCAAGTACTGTAACAATGTCTGACAACAATAAATTATTGGTAACTTTTTCATCTGTATACTTTTTAAAAGAAATTGGGATCATGGTATACATACAACTTTGCATCTGGCTGTTTACACTCAGTATTTTATCATGAATATCTTTTATAATAATAAAAGACTCAGACAATGTTTTGAATAGCTTATATCATAATTTATTCTCTTATTCTATATTTAGTTTGTCTCCATCTTTTTTTTCTATTTAAATAAAAAATGTGGCCACTGTTATGCTACTGGTACCACCAAAAATGTTCTAAATCATACTAAAAGCGTCTATAAAATATATAGGTGGATTTGGACTCTGACTTGATTCAAAAGATTAAATGCCTCAAGAATTTTCTTTTGCTTCACAGGGGAGTCTTTTTTTTCTTCAGTCAGGGTCTCACTCTGTTGCCCAGGCTGGATGGAGTGCAGTGGCACAGTCATGGCTCACTACAGCCTCAAACTCCTGGGTACTATAGGAGATTGGTCAGGGTGGTGGGAAAAGTTATAAAAAGTTATAGGGAAAGATGCAAACCTTCTTGGAAGGCCAGGAGGTTTTGCAAAACTTCGGGAGAGAATAAAGCTGAAGGCAGCTAATTCTCTTACCCTGAGGCAGAGGGTGAGAAGTAGGTGCAAGGGAATGTAGAGGAGTTTATCTAGATAAGTTTATTTACTTATGTTGCCCGGAAACCGACCTTAGATCATCCGCACACCAGACTGCTCCCTGCAAGGGGGGACAACAATGTTAATTACCACAGATTGTGTTGACTCCAGGCCTCTGTCAGTACATCTGTACTGAACATAGACAAGCGGCTCTGGTTTATCAGGACTGCACTCTCTCTTCGGCCCCTAGCCACACTCATGCAGAATACCTGCATCTGCATATTCCTTTCATCCCTTGCTCAGCCAGGGTCTGCAGGACAGTCTCCGCAGGGCTCAAGCAATCCTCCCACCTCAGCCTCCCAAACAGCTGTGACTACGGGTGTGTACACCAATCCCAGCTAATTTTTTATTTTTATTTTGTTTGTAGACACAGGGGTCTCACTATGTTGCCCAGGCTGGTCTTGAACTCATGTCCTCAAGCAATCCTCCCACCTTGGTTTCACAAAATGTTGGGATGATAGTTGTGAGCCACTGCAACTGGCCAAAAGGCGAGTCTTCTATCGGCTGAGAAGAAACCGAAGGAACAAAGGAGAGAATGGGGTGGGAGGTGAGGTACTCTCAGCTTTTCTGGCCTTGAAGCACGAATTATGCATAGGTGAACTGGAAAAATCCCTTTTCAGCCTCTTTGGCCAACCCTAAACCATGTCCCTTGAAAGCCCAGGTCCTCTGAGCAGGGCACCTCCAGAAGAAGAACTGAGTAATGAACAAGAGAGGCAGTGTGAAGGCACAGGTCAGGGCCTTCTATTCCCGAGGGGTACTTAGTAAGACCAACACAGCTTCCAAAAGCCTACATCTGTATCCTGATTTTACCTCACATGAACATAGAGAAAGATGAATGGCAGATTAGATCAGAAGCTTCTGTAGCTTATTACACCATGTATCAAAGTATGTTTTGTGTCCAGGCCAAAGGCCAACCATGCCTACATGCATCAAATGTATGATTCTGGTTCTGTTGCTACTTCCATAATGAAAGACAATTCTCTATTAAGATAGACCGAGAGACTACATCCTATGAAGGGATATGAAACCATTAGATCTTTTCTCTGAACAAATACGAAATTAAAATGTGCTTCATGCTGGGGCATAATCCCCTTATTATTACCATGACAAAAGCATATTACATCACATTAGAGTGGCAAAAGCATTCAGTTAAAACCCAGAATAAATGAAGCTGCAGTTGATTATTCCCCATTAACTTGCTGGGCTATGATGAACATGTCCACCTCTCTGAGAGTCACGTCAATGTAAAATAATAATGTCTGCACTATTTAAATTAATGAATTATTATGCATTTGAAGAAGGATAATATGCACATAAAAGTGCTTTAACAATTATAAAGCAGTTCAGAGATACAGGTTACTATTATGGTTCCAAAAGTCATAGCCTAAACTTTTTTTTTTTTTTTTTTTTTGAGACAGAGTCTCGCTCTGTCGCCCAGGCTGGAGTGCAGTGGCGCGATCTCGGCTCACTGCAAGCTCCGCCTCCTGGGTTCACGCCATTCTCCTGCCTCAGCCTCCCGAGTAGCTGGGACTACAGGCGCCCGCCACCACGCCCGGCTAATTTTTTGTATTTTTAGTAGAGACGGGGTTTCACCGTGTTAGCCAGGATGGTCTCGATCTCCTGACCTCGTGATCCGCCCGCCTCGGCCTCCCAAAGTGCTGGGATTACAGGCGTGAGCCACCGCGCCCGGCCAGCCTAAACTTTTTAACAACGTTAATTTCCTTTCCGAAAAATGATTATAGTTATATTACATGGGATTGATGTTATGACCTCTCATGCCGTCATATTTTACTTTCATAGCAGGTTCCTTTCGTAATGTTTCCTGGTGAATAACCTGCTTTCTAAAAGAAAAATAAGTATTAACACAAAGGCAAAATCTTCATTAAGTGATCAATAGAAGTAGATTTTGAGGTCGGTTAATAATACTTAGGTTGTTTTTGGGCATGGTGGCTCACACCTGTAAACCCAGCACCTTGGGAAGCTGAGGCGGGCAGATCACGAGGTCAGGAGATCGAGACCATCCTGGCTAACACGGTGAAACCCCGTCTCTACTAAAAATACAAACAAATCAGCAGGGCATGGTGGCAGGTGCCTGTAGTCCCAGCTACTCGGGAGGCTGAGGCAGGAGAATGGTGTGAACCCGGGAGGCAGAGTTTACAGTGAGCCAAGATCGCGCCACTGCACTCCAGCCTGGGCAACAGAGCCACACTCCATCTAAAAATAATAATAATAATAACACTTAAGTTGTTTTTCCATTCAATTGGAAGAATTAGATTCATGGGGAGAAAAAAGAGCTTTATCTCTAATTTCTAAGATTCAAATCTGAAGATCTTTACAAAACACACTCCATTTGATTACAAGAGAAATTTAAGTATATTTCAAATCAGACAAACACTTGAAAATTGAAATCAGAACATGTACTTGAAAATACACAGGCAGATAGCAGTTTGACTAAATTGGCAAGTAGAGAACGAATAGAAGCTAGAAAAAAAGAATGAAGAAAAGCAAACTGGCTTAGAAAAAGGTAACTGAAAACCCTGACAATAATTTTTGCATTTCTAAAAAAGTTTATATGATAAAAAAATTCTGTAACTATTTTATCACTGGCTTCTATTGTAATTTTGAGTTCATAAGGGAAATCATAGGTTTCTATGATATGAATCATGTTTCCATCAGTTTATTCAATCATCTAACATTTACTGAGGACTCACTCTGGGTGCCTGGCACTTAGCTGGGTACTGGAGAGGGAACGGTAAATAAATTATGTTCTCTGTACTCACAGGGCTTCATTTATTCTTTTTTTTTTTTTAGACTAAGTCTCACTCTGTCACCCAGGCTGGAGTGCAGTGGTGCCATCTTGGCTCACTGCAACCTCTGCCTTCCAGGTTTCAAGTGATTCTCCTGCCTCAGCCTCCCAAATAGCTGGGACTACAGGCATGTGCCACCATGCCCAGCTAATTTTTATATTTTTAGTAGAGACGGGGTTTCACCATGTTGGCCAGGCAGGTCTCGAACTCCTGACCTCAGGTGATCCACCCGCCTCAGCCTCCCAAAGTGCTAGCATAACAGGTGTGAGCTACCACACCCAGCCTTGGCTTCATTTATTTTTGATGGAAACTCATAATCGGGTAGCTAATGAGCCATACCACCATGGAAGGCTGGGCTTAGGAATTCTAATATTCTTCCTATTCTGGCATGCTCTCTACATTTCACTTTCTAGCCCAGGTCACAGAAGATAAATTACTCAAGTATACAACCAATCTAAGAGAATTTTGAAGTTCATACATATTAAAGTATATTGGAAAAAGAATTCTCATGTCATAATAGTTCTCGCTGATAGCACTGAACATAAATGCTGAAGGAACCAGAAGAGCTGCCCCTGCTTTAAAGCTGTCCTGTAACTCAACAACTGGATGAGTCACGTTGAATTGCTTTTTTCACAGAGATCTTTAGTCATGAAATCAATCACTGTTTTGTACTCCATTACTGTCCTGGAATACCATAATGCCATTATCTTAGTTAATTTGTTAACTGTGAGGAAACATTTTAAATGGTCCATTTTTGAAGCATGATAAATCTAAGTACTGGTATCCGGCCTGTGGACATGACAAACTGCACGGCTCATGCACCTAGAAAGTCATGATAAGCAAACAGGATGCAGAGGAGGGGTCGGCCCATAAAAGGGAAGAAAATTGCATTATTGGGAAATTGAAACTTAAGCGGGGAAGGGGATGGATGGGGTATAACCTTATAAGGGGGATAATAAAACTTAGGCGATGTCCGGGAAGATTGTAACCCCGTAGTACTAGACCAATGAGGAACTGGGCAAGGGGACTTGTGTGCTAGGAGATAAATTACCTGCTGTAACTGTCCCAGGTGTGCCTGCCTACCAGACACCCCATCTTGCAAGACCACCATTAAAAGTCTCTCTTCTGCTGTTCTTCATGTCTCTGAGTCCATTCTTTGGGTTTAGACGGGTGAGTGTGTTTTTCACATTAACTAGCTTTTAAATAAAAACTGGTGATAAAATACTTAGAAAAAAATTACATTGGTAATTTGATTTACTGGGACCTCGACTTCCATAATTCCTTTGAAGTGAAAAGCTGGGCCCCACACCTAGCAGCCCAGATAGCATAAATGTGTCATATTAAGATATGGAATGAATTACTGCCATAAAAGACTAGCTGCATAAAGACAAAAATACAATGCAATTAAATCTACTCAAAGAGACAGACTTTTATATCCCTTTTAATTGATGAGTAAAAGTTATTTACTCCAGCCCAGATCTAGATCATACAAATTGCTTCTTCTGTTTCTATCTAAAATTCTAAAATAAATGTGTTGACATTCAAAGAATAAATCCTGCTTTTTTTTTTTTTTTGAAGATGGAGTCCCACTCTGTCGCCCAGGCTGGAGTGCAGTGGCGCCATCTTAGCTCACTGCAACCTCCACCTCCTGGGTTCACGCCATTCTCCTGCCTCAGCCTCCCGAGTAGCTGGGACTACAGGCGCCCACCATCAAGCCCAGCTAATTTTTTGTATTTTTAGTAGAGACGGGGTTTCGCAGTGTTGGCCAGGCTGGTCTTGAACTCCTGACTTCAAGTGATCTGCCTGCTTCGCCCTCCCAAAGTGCTGGGATTACAGGTGTGAGCCACCGCGTCCGGCCAATTTTGCTCTTAAAAGAAACAAGTTATTGGCCAGGCATGGTGGCTCATGCCTGTAATCCCAGCACTTTGGGAGGCCGAGGCGGGTGGATCACGATGTCAGGAGATCAAGACCATCCTGGCTAACACAGTGAAACCCCGTCTCTACTAAAAATACAAAAAAATTAGCCGGGCGTGGTGGCGGGAGCCTGTAGTCCCGGCTACTCGGGAGGCTGAGGCAGGAGAATGGCGTGAACCCAGGAAGCAGAGCTTGCAGTGAGCCGAGATCATGCCACTGCACTCCAGCCTGGGCGACAGAGCGAAACACTGTCTCAAAAAAAAAAAAAACAAAAAAAAGGAAAAAAGAAACATGTTATTAAGACAGGCCTTTGTGCGACAGCCATTCCACTAAGTAGAGAGGACTGAGCAATGCAGCCTGGTGCACGTGGATATATACATGTTAATATTAGACATGACTTAGTTTCCTTGGGCCTTGTTGACATCAGGAAGCCCCTATCTGTAACTTGAAAACATTCTAAATCAGTTTTCTTCAAGAATCACTTGGGGAATTTGTTCAAATGCAGATTTTTAGACACTATTCCCTTATATTCTTAATTCACAAAATTTAGGATATGTCTTTAGAGTAAGTATTGTATTTTTAACAACATTTCCTAAATTATTTCTGTGAACCCTCAGACTACACTTTAGGAAACACTGCGAACTGGTCCTGATGATAAAGATTATGATCCCTGGGCCAGGCGCAGTGGCTCACGCCTGTAATCCCAGCACTTTGGGAGGCCGAGGCAGGTGGATCACCTGAGGTCGGGAGTTCGAGACCAGCCTGACCAACATGGAGAAACCCTGTCTCTATTAAAAAAAAAAAATACAAAATTAGCCAGGTGTGTTGGCTCATGCCTGTAATCCCAGCTACTCGGGAGGCTGAGGCAGGAGAATTGCTTGAACCTGGGAGGCGGATGTTGCGTGAGCTGATATTGTGCCATTGCACTCCAGCCTGGGCAACAAGAGCAAAACTCTGTTGAGGAAAAAAAAAAAAAAAATTATGATTCCTGAAAAAAACAGAAGTGTGTTATTATTAGGAAAATCAGAAAGGTTTGTTTGAATGTAGAGTCATTCTTGGACTTTAGATTAACTAAAATGATAATTATAATATTTCATTTGTATGTTCATAAAGACAAGAGGCAGTATGAACTCTTTCTCTACAGAATTTTATTCCACAATGGTATTAACAAGCCATTAATCACTTTAAAAGGCAAGGAAAATCAGTTAAATGTATGAGAGGTAGTTTTAAATACAGTGCTTAGGCCAGGCACAGTGGCTCATGCCAATAATCCCAGCATTTTGGGAGGCTAAGGTGGGCCCTTGACTTGAGCCAGGAATTCAAAGCCCAGCCTGGGCAACATGGCGAAACCTCATCTCTACTAAAAATTTTAAAAATTGGCCAGGCATGGTGGCACGTCCCTGTAGTCCCAGCTACTCAGGAGGCTGAGGTGGGAGGATCACCTGAGCCCAGGTAGTCGAGGCTGCAGAGAGCCATGATTGCATCACTGCACTCCAGCCTGGGTGACAGGAGTGAGACCCTGTCTCTAAATAAATAAATAAATATAGTACTTGAATCAAAAATCATTTATTTTCCTGGAATGGTCTACACTATGTAGAGGCGATAAATAAACCCATTCTTGGAAATTTAACATGGTTAAAACCTACTCCTCTAAAGAAGAAACAATTCTCCTTCCCAATACCTGACTTCTGTAGCGTTTAGTCAGCAAAACTGTGCCTGAGCACAGCCACAAGAGAATGGCCTGAATGACGCTGGCACACCCAGAGACAGCCGTGGGCAAATCAACAGATGGCAACACCCATTCTACCCACCCTCAGCCTCCTCAACTCCCTCTGATTTAATAATGGATAATGCAATCTTCCTTTAACATTTTACCAGAGAACTTCTGGGGGCAATTCCTTCAGTCAATGAGAAAAAAGACAACAGACATAGAACATGGGGCAGATTCCACCCACACCGCAACTGGACCTCCTCACCTCCAGCAACCCTCATCTCCACTCCACGGCGCTCGCCCATTCTCACGGCCACATGGAAGGCTTTTGCATGCCAGCAGATAGGAGGCCTCGCAGGCCTCTGACCCTTCCCTTCTCTCCAAGCTCTCAGCTTCCTCCCGGCCTCGGCTCCTCCCTTGGCTTGATGAGGTGTGGGCAGCTCTCATTAAACATTCTTGTGCCCTGGCCCTCTGTCGTACCACGCCCACAGATGAGATCTCCACTGCTTCACTCCAGGAGTGTTAGTGTTCCACCTACAAAAATTCCACAACCACACCGCGGGCGTTGCTAGTCTTTCATGGCCTCCAACTTCACATCTTGGCCCTTAACTCCTCAGCACTCAGCCCACGTACCTTTGCGATGCTGCTTCTCCCTTATGAGACAGCAGAGCACAGAGATCAAGAGGGCTGGCTCTCCTGTCAAAGAAAGCCTGGCACCATCCCAGCTAGCTCTGTCACCTTTAGCTAGTCACCCCATCTCTCTAAACCTGCTTCCTGATCCATACAATGGGGATAACAGTAGCTTTCTCATAGGATAACTGTGAAGGTTCAATGAGAATGTAAAGTGCCTAGTGAAATGCTTGGTTCACAATGAGGGCCCAATAAACGGTTCTGCTCTTATTCTCTCCAATGATGTTTTTTCCAAACCTTTTATCGCCTCTCTTAAAATTACCCTGTACAGGCACAGCACAGTGGCTCACACCTGTAATCCTGGCACTCTGGGAGGCTGAGGCAGGAGGACTGCTTGAGGTCAAGAGGTAAAGGCTGCAATGAGCCACAATCCTCCTCTGCACTCTAGCCTGGGCTATAGAGCAAGATGCTGTCTAAAAAAAATAAAATAAAAATAAAAAAATTATCCTCTACACGTTATCATAGTTCTCACTATCAGTAATTAATTTCGTCTCCCGCTTACCAAAATATTTGAGACTATCCAGCTTGAAATACCTTAATTCCCTGCCAACCTCCACGAAGTTCTCTCCATGTGCCCCCATTTTTATCTCCTACTAAAGTCGAATGCCCCCACCTATGCTCTGATCCTGCCCCCCAGGCATGTCTCCATCAATTACAATCTATCTCTGAGATGTTCAGGCCCTTCCTCTCTACTTTTCCATCTTTCCCTTAACCTAAAAATGTGCTTAAATATCTCTCCCTGACAACAACAAAAATCCCATAACACACACTCCCCTCTAGGTACCACTTTCTCTTCTGGCCTTCTCAGCCAGGCTTCTACAGAGCACAGGCCACACACTGTAAACCTCTCCAGTCCCACCCCCAAACCACACTGGCATGGACCTCCAAAGGCCTCCCAGTTGCCAAGTCCGGGGCACACCCTCGGTCCTCCCTCTGCACCTCTCTGCCCCACTGGATACTGTTGGCCATCTGCTCCCTCTTACTCTCTGAGCTTCTCTCTTCATCTCACGGCCTCTAAATGCTCTTTCTCTCCTTGGTGGGCTGCTCCTCCCTTGCCTGCGCTTGGACTCGCTGCTTCTCAGCCATCCTACTGCTCTCGGCAGTCTCATTCCCCTGTAGCCTTAACTGTCACGTGTACACTGACCACCAACAAATTGACCTGCTTAACCCTGATCTCTCCTGCAAACTGCACGCCTGCAGACCTAGCCGCCAGCTGGACAGATCCACAGGCATCTCAAAATCTACATGGCCAACATGTACCACATCCTTAAATCCCACCGTCCCAAACCTGCACAAAGGGCACCTGTACACATTTAACCCCCAAGCCAGAAACCTGGAATTACCTAGATCTCTCCCTCTCCTGCCCACAATAAATGCATGCTTACTGAGCAGAAACGAAGAACATAATGAAGCTGCCTGGATGGAAGGGCAATTGAGCTGGACCTTTAACAAGTAGAGCTGAACATACAAAAATGCAGGCAAAGTCCTTCCCGGGTGAATGCACACCCACCCAATGGTAAACTCGGGAACAGCAAGTAGTTCAGCTTGAAGAAGAGGAATACAAGTGAAGGCTAAAAAGGTAAGGCAGCCCTGTCTTGAAGACCTTGACACAGGCCAAGTGTTGTGAACCCACAACCTCCCTCCTCTCTAAGTGACTGGCCTAGTTCTCCACACAATGAGGTAAGGGAAACAAAACAAGAAAGATAAATGACTGGCCTAGGCCAATGACAGAAATCCTGTCCCCCATGCCAACAACGGGTAACAAACGGGCACCTGCCCAAACCTGGCCAGTAAGATGTGAGGGGAACACTGCCAGAAGCATTTCTGAGCACATTTTCCTTGCTCCAAAAAGGGACTTTCTTCTTCTGGGTATCATCCTGCGTGGCTGTGGTGCCTAAAACTGATACAGTCACCTGGTCAACAGCCCGCAAGCTCTTCCGACTCACGGGGCTAAAAAACACAGAGAAATGGTCCTGGAGGCTCAATGGTCTCCACATGGAGCCTGCCCTAGCCCTGAGCTTGTCCTCTCTCTGGACTGTGTATTCTTTCTTAAGAGAATACATCTCCTTATTGTTAAAAATAAAAGGAAGGGGATACAGGAATCAGTCATGTTTACAAAACATTGGATTAAAAAGCTAAGCAGATTTCTTTACAGTAGGATTTCTTACAATGTTAATTTAATAACACATGTTGTAAAGCTTTAAGAATTAGTTTTTCCAAGGCACAGTGTGGTGGCTCATGCCTGTAATCCCAGCACTTTGGGAGGCCAAGGTAGGAGGATCACTTGAGCCCAGGAGTTCAAGACCAGCCCGGGCAACATAGTGAGACCTTGTCTCTACAAAAAGTTTAAAAATTAGCAGGGCGTGGTGGCACATGCCTGTAATCCTATCTACTCAGGAGGTTGAGGTGGGAGGACTGCTTTAGTCCAGGAGGTCAAGGCTACAGTGAGCTATAATTGTGCCACTGCACCCCAGCCTGGGCAACACAGTGAGACCCTGTCTCAAACAAACAACAACAAAAAATTTAGTTTTTTCAGACTTATGTGACCACCAAACTAGCCTCCCAAGCTTCCTCTTCTTTGTTTTTGCAGTGTACCTAAAAGCATCTCCCAGAACTAAGTGTTAATGAATCACAGTTTGGGAAACACTGATTTTTACCAGAGAGACTAAAAAAGTATATGCCTGGCTGTTATAATGCAGTGATGACAGAGTAATACAGCCGCAGAAAAAGTGATCGCAGAATCCAAAAGGCACCACCGCCATTCTACTAGGTTCTCACTCAAAATGCCTGATGGGTTTCACGCTATGTGCCAACTCGGTGAATTTTCAGCGGCTGCCTGGAATGCTGTATTGAGAGAGAGTCTGCAGTCACAACCAGGTGCCTTACTTGATTAGTAAAGATCCTCCTGAGCACAGAAGGGACAGCTGTGACATCATTCAAGTTCATTCTGAGACCTCTGAAGTGACATTAAGTCCTAAGCAGATCCTAGAATCATCCCAAAGCTTCCCAAGTTGTTTTAAATCTGAATCAGGCCAGACTAATTTTTAATAATTAAAAGGGTAATAAAGTGTTTAAGTGTGTAGACTCCAGAGTTAATTAAGAGAGACGTGGGTTTAATTCTTAGTTTTTTCACTGATTTTATAGCCTGAGCACATGGTTTAACCTCACTAAACCTCAGTTTTCCCATCCACAACATGAGAATAACAGTCCCTACCTCCCATGATTGATGTAAGAATTAAACTGGGTAACGTAATGCAGTTAATACACCTGCAAACAGCAGGTGCAAGAAATGTTAAGTTTAGCTCTACCCATTACTAAGGGATTCACTTCACGACGTTCACATTACATAACTCCTGTAATACACCTATTTGTCCACTGTATTCATAGCCATAGATTACAGTGAAATCAATCAAACTGGGGCCACAGGAATGATTTCCCTGAACCCATTAACAATGCCAACATATGCCATGCTAAGCAAATGACATAGAGGATTACAAAGCAGTGTTCAAAGGAAGTGTCACTGGCCTTTAAGAAGAGAGAATATACTGGCCGGGTGCGGTGGCTCACGCCTGTAATCCCAGCACTTTGGGAGGCCGAGGTGGGCGGATCACGAGGTCAGGAGATCGAGACCATACTGGCTAACACGGTGAAACCCCATCTCTACTAAAAATACAAAAATTAGCTGGGCGTTAGCCCGAGTAGTGGGCGCCTATAGTTCCAGCTACTCAGAAGGCTAAGGCAGGAGAATGGTGTGAACCTGGGAGGTGGAGCTTGCAGTGAGCCGAGATGGCGCCACTGCACTCCAGCCTGGGCAACAAAGCGAGACTCCATCTCAAAAAAAAAAAAAAAAAAGAAGACATAGAATATAAAAATCTAACTACTGGGTGATTGTGTTTTGCAATACATAGATCTCATATGTATTTTTTTCAGATCCTTCCATAGAGGAAGTCAAGAAACAATGACCAGTCCAATAGCAACAAGCCTCCCTGACACTCTGAATGACTTCTTGAAATGCCATTTCCCACTTTAAAAAAACAAACAGGGCTCCTCTTGGAGAAATGGTTAATTCCAGATATAAGCAGAAGACATTCAAAATGAGCCTGAAACATTTTGTTATACCACATAGCAAGAAAACACTCAAAGACCACAAGGGTTATGTCCAAAGGATGCAAGAGTCAACTAAAAAGGGCTCCCACTGGCCAAAGATGGGATAACACAGGCTTCAAAAAAAATATTAATCACAACTTATTGAAACCCATCAAATATGTTCAAACCCATGAATTCATAATTATTTATATATTTTTATATATACTTATATATATTTTTATATCTATATATACTTATATAAATTTATATATCTATATATTTACATATTTATATATTTATATATATTTATATACACTTATATATATTTATATATATGTATATATATTTATATATATGTATATATATTTATATATCTATATATTTATATATCTATTTATATATCTATATATTTATATATTTATATATCTATATATATATTTATATATCTATATATTTTTATATATTTTTATATATCTATATATTTTTATATATTTATATATTTATATCTATATATTTTTATATATATATATTTTGAGATGGAGTTTTGCTCTTGTTGCCCAGGCTGGAGTGCAATGGCGCAATCTCGGCTCACTACAACCTCTGCTTCCTGGGTTCAAGCAATTCTCCTGCCTCGCCTCCCGAGTAGCTGGGATTACAGGCATACGCCACCATGCCCAGCTAATTTTTTGTATTTCTAGTAGAGACAGGTTTCACCATGTTGTCCAGGCTGGTCTTGAACTCCTAACCTCAGGTGACCCACCCGCCTAGCCTCCCAAAGTGCTGGGATTACAGGCGTGAGCCACTGTGCCCAGAATTCATAATAATATTTTTTAAAAACACACAATGGGGGAATTGGTCACCTTCAGAGGATAAGGAACCAACTCATTGTGGAAACTGGTAAAGTGAAGAATCAAGGTTTCATCCAGCTTTTCTACCGAACTGTACCTTTATGTAACCGAAGAGTACAGGAGGGACAAGAGACAATACTCTTCTAAAAGTATTTAAGTCAATAACTGAAAAATGACAAAATATCTCCATCTTGTCACTCCTAATAAATTAATGGATCTAGGTATTGAGTGTCAACAGCTACTAATATCACAAAAGGAAAGAGAACCAGGTACAACATGACTTTTTTTTTTTTTTCGGCACGATCTCGGCTCACTGCAAGCTCTGCCTCCCAGGTTCATGCCATTCTCCTGCCTCAGCCTCCTGAGTACCTGGGACTACAGGTGCCCGCCACCACGCCCGGCTAATTTTTTGTATTTTTTAGTAGAGACAGGGTTTCACCGTGTTAGGCAGGATGGTCCTACCCTTCTCGGCCTCCCAAAGTGCTGGGATCACAGGCGTGAGCCGCCGCCCCCGGCCACCGTGACTTCTAAGAGCACACCACTAGCCAAAGTTTTGCCAAAGGAATCAAACAGGAGTTTGAGCAGGCCTCTGGACCCACTGTCAATTTGCAGGACACAGAGCACACAGAGGAGCATGTTGAACTGCACCACTGATGTGCAATCAGCAAAATCCAGACTACAGGACACTCTACAGGACAAATCCTCTAAGTTTTTCAGTAGATAAGCTGAAGAAAATAAAAGGATAGAAGGGAAACTTTTTTTTTTAAAGAGACAAGACTAAACTATTATGTTCACTAATGCACATTTGAGCGATAAAACTATAATGACATGCAAGGAAGTGATTCCTATAAAGTCAAGATGAGGTTGCTAAGGTGGGAGAGAAGGTGCTGATATTGGGGTGGAGATACAAAGGGGTGTATGGGGTTTCTGGAAGTTACAGGGTTTTCTCTCCATAATCATTCATCCATCTATACATCTATTTGGTTGGATTTTCTGAATCTGCATTCTTTATTGTATAATAAAAAGGTTTGTAAAAAGTAAGTGTAAAAGCTACCACTTAACATCTTCCATATCCAAAGCATTATATTATTTATTTTACATATGCTATCACATTGTTCCAAAGAACCTTTGAAAGTATTTATTATATCCTTTTTTCAGATGAAGAGACTTCTCCCTTAAGCAAGCTGCCCACTGTCACAGTTATTAGGGGAGAGCCAAGATTCACATTCAGACCAATGACTAACTCCAAATCCATTCTCTTCATGCCTATGCTTTACTCATTCCCAGTTATTCATTCTTTTAAATATGTACTTCTTACCTACTAAATCATCCAACTAGGCCTTAAAGACACAGAGGGAAGTTTCTGCCTTCATATGGAGTTCAATAACTAATGAAAAGGAAACACCAGGAGCCATCCAAATGAGTATAAAATTACAACTGTGACAACTACAGTGAAGGAGCGGTATATGCCGCTGTATAGCTACCACGAAGGGGATATAGGGCGCTGTATACCTACCGCGAGGGAGGGGTATACGGCGCTGTAAACCTACCGAGAGGGAGGGGTATAGGGTGCTGAATACCTACCGCGAGGGAGGGGTATAGGGCGCTGAATACCTACCGAGAGGGAGGGGTATAGGGCGCTGTATACCTACCGTGAGGGAGGGGTATATGGCACTGAATACCTGCCATGAAGGAGGGTTATATGGTGCTGTATACCTACAGTGAACGAGGAGTATATGGTGCTGTATACCTACCGCGAAGGAGGGGTATATGGTGCTGTATACCTACCGCGAAGGAGGGGTATATGGCTCTGAATACCTGCCATGAAGGAGGGTTATATGGAGCTGAATACCTACCATGAAGGAGGGGTATATGGTGCTGTATACCTACAGTGAATGGGGGGTATATGGTGCTATATATCTGCTATATATCTACCGTGAAGGAGGGGTATATGGCGCTATATACCTACCATGAAGGAGGGGTATATGGTGCTGTATACCTACAGTGAACGAGGGATATATGGTGCTATATATCTACCATGAAGGAGGGGTATATGGCGCTATATTCCTACCGTGAAGGAGGGGTATATGGTGCTATATATCTACAGTGAAGGAGAAGTATATGGTGCTATAAGAATATGTAAGTTGAAAGATAGGAAAAGCTTCCCTGCAAAACTGATGACTGTGGTATAAAGAAAGAGAAGTTAACTAGATAAAGGGGGCAGCAGCATGCTCAAGGCAGGAGAACAATATATAAAGTCCCTACAGACAGAAAAAGCCCGGCACTATGAGGACTGAGGGTGGAGCATGAGGAGTGAGGGTAATTATGACTGGAGATTAGGCTAGAGAGCTAGGAAGAGCAGGAAGTTACTGAAAGATTTTAAACAAACATGCTGCTGAAGAGGAATTTGATTAGGCTTGCATTTTCAAAAGAATCAATGGAAGAGGGAGCCAACATGGAGGCAGAGACCAATTGAAAGGTTGTTACAGTCATCTAGGTGGGACATGACGGTAGCTAAGACCAAGCAGGAAAGACTGAAAGAAGTAGATGAATGCAAGATACTCAAGAAATAAGGGCAGGCACCCCTGTAATCCAACATTCTGGGAGGCCACGGTGGGAGGATGGCTTGAGTCCAGGAGTTTGAGACCTGCGTGGGCAACACAGAGAGACTCCATCTCTAGAAAAAACTTTTTTAATTAGCCCGGGTCAGGCACAGTGGCTCACACCTGTAATTCCAGCACTTTGGGAGGCCAAAGCAGATTAATGGCTTGAGCTCAGGAGTTCAAGACCAGGCTGGGCAACATGGTGAAACCCTGTCTCTACAAAAAATACAAAAATTAGTTGAGTGCGGTGGCATGCATCCTTAGACCCAGCTACTTGGGAGGCTGAAGTGGGAGGAAGGCTTGAGCCCAGGAAGTGGAGGTTGCGGTGAGCCAAGATCATGCCACTGCACTCCAGCCCGGGCAACAGAGCCAGATCCTGTCTCAGAAAAAAAAAAAAAAATTAGCTGGGTGTGGTGGCACCCACCTGTAGTCCCAGCCATTGGCGGGGGAGTGAGGCATGGAGGATCACAAGAGCCCAGGAGGCTGATGCTGCGGTGAGCCATGATTGTGCCACTGCACTTCAGCCTAGGCAACAGAGTGACACCCTGTCTCAAAAATAAATAAATAAATAAAATTAACAAAAGAGGTAAAAGGACAGGACTTGATGGAGTGCCTATGGGGTATAAGGAGAAGATGTCAAGAAGGACTCAGTTAGGCCGGGCGCAGTGGCTCACGCCTGTAATCCCAGCACTTTGGGAGGCCGAGGTGGGCGGATCACAAGGTCAGGAGATCGAGACCATCCTGGCTAACATGGTGAAACCCCGTCTCTACTAAAAATACAAAAATTTAGCCAGGCGTGGTGGTGGGCACCCTTATCCCAGCTACTTGGGAGGCTGAGGCAGGAGAATTGCTTGAACCTGGCAGGCAGAGGTTGTAGTAAGCCGCGATCGCACACTGCACCCCAGCCTGGGTGACAGAGCGAGACTCCATCTCAAAAAAAAAAAAAAAAGGGACTCAGTTGTGGGACCTGACTTTCAGAGGTGCTATTCACTGACACAGAAACAAGAGGAACAAGCATTAGGAGATATACCTAATGCTAAATGACGAGTTAATGGGTGCAGCACACCAACATGGCACATGTATACATATGTAACAAACCTGCACATTGTGCACAAGTACCCTAAAACTTAAAGTATAATACTAATAAAATTTAAAGAAAAAAAAAGAAACAAGAGGAACAGAGACAGACACTGGTCATAAGATGTCACAGACTCAAGCTTCGGGTACCACTGGGACTGCCAGGTGGAAATGTCAAGTTAAGCAGTTGAATAAATAAGTCTGAGGCCCAAAACTAGATCTGAACCTCAGGAATAAATCTCTTAAGTCCTCAATATAGACAGGGATGATTATTGTAGGAGGCCAAAGTTGAGACTGCCCTAAAGTAACAGAATGAAGAATGAGACCTCAAGAATGACCCAAATGCAAATCTGGGAAACATCCAACTTTCTGAGCTATCTAGCGGTTGCAGTTTCAGAAAAAAAGAAAGGTTCAGTGAAATGGAAAAAAATCAGAAAAAAAAAAAAAAGATTAACAACTCTGCTTCAGGAAAAACACATGGAAATATCTGGAACAGTTAAGATGTTAATTTCATGTATAACAAATTGGCAGCCTGCAAGCAGCCCTCGGGTATATATTTTTATGAGTTGATTTACATAAGAGGAAGAGGCCTTGTGGGAGGTGGCTTATGTGTAGCAGCTCAAGGTTGGGGACTAGAG
Organism: Homo sapiens; assembly: GCF_000001405.40. Classification (NCBI taxonomy): domain Eukaryota; kingdom Metazoa; phylum Chordata; class Mammalia; order Primates; family Hominidae; genus Homo; species Homo sapiens. The sequence continues at coordinate 185,219,718 of NC_000004.12, read as the reverse complement.
AAAGTCCTGGCTTGATCCCAGCAGCCAGTCTGAGCCAGATGGAGAGAAGCCACAAGAAAAAAGAAGATGCTGCCTTCACAGGAGATGCAAGGAGGGGCATAAGTTCCTTAGCTTCCATAAGAAGAAAACATTTTTTCTTTTTTCTTTTTTTGTTTTTTTGAGATGGAGTCTTGCTCTGTCGTCCCAGCCTGGAGTGCAGTGGCACAATCTTGGCTCACTGCAACCTCCGCCTCCAGGGTTCAAGCGATTCTCCTGCCTCAGCCTCCTGAGTAGCTGGGACTACAGGCGCCCACCACCACACCTGGCTAATTTTTTGTATTTTTAGTAGAGACAGGGTTTCACCATGTTAGTCAGGATGGTCTTGATCTCCTGACCTTGTGATCCGCCTGCCTCAGCCTCCCAAAGTTCTGAGATTACAGGTGTGAGCCACTGCACCCAGCCCAAAAACATTTTTTAAAAACATGCCTAAGTGAGAGAAACAGGGCTAGCCTGCCAGCTTCTATAAAGCATACATGTGGCCTTGGCTTAGATAAACCCCGAAAGACGGACCAAGGCCCTCCAGACATTCAGCTCTGGAGGACTGAGACAGGAGTACCCCAACAGGGAACGTCTTTCTCACAGACTGGCAGTGGCGGCATAGCACAGGGACCTCTCTCCAGTGCTTTGCAAGCACCAGGAATGGAAGAATGTAAGTTGAGATTATCCCCAAATACATGGGACACTGTCTGTGGGCTCCCAGAAATGCTGATGGGGTGGCAGAGCAAGAAGGTAGGAGTACTGCAAGAGGATGAGGTTCTGTATGAGATCAGAACCTCATTAAAAAAAACTTTAAAATTAGTTTAATTTATGTAAACTCACCCGTATATACAGGTGGGTGAGAACTACAGAAATTCAGGTTACTGTAGCAATGAGTATTTGTAAAATATTTATCTAATTTTCCAAGAGGTATATTCTACACTAAAATAGGAAGTCTATTGAATAGATCCTAGTAGCCTAATAAACAAGTTATGTGTCTTATCCTAAGGATGCACAATTCCTTGCTCCCCTCTTTGCTTCAGAAGCATTTTACTTGGAGTTACCATATTCATTTTTCTTTACATCCAGCTTGTGGCTACTCATACCTAGAAACCCTGGGCTGACAAACATACCAGGACTGGCAAGTGCCTAGAGTGGCTGCTGAGTGCTGGCTAGCTGCAGGGGCAAAGCAGGCATACCTCACACACCTAGCTGCCTTCTCCCAAAGCAGCACCTGGGCTGAGAGGCCCACCAACATACATGCAAACCTGCTGGGATTTCTGGAAAGCTCCACCATACTTACAAAAACTACAGAAGCAGGCCAGGAGTGGTGGCTCATGCCTGTAATCCCAGAACTTTCTGGGGCCAAGGGGCACGGATCGCCTGAGGTCAGGAGTTCGAGACCAGCCTGGCCAACATGGCAAAACCCCGTCTCTACTAAAAATACAAAAATTAGCCAGGCTTGATGGCGGGCGCCTGTAATCCCAGCTACTTGGGAGGCTGAGGCAGGAGAATCACTTGAACCCGGGAGGCAGAGGTTGCAGTGAGCCAGGATTGTGCCACTGCACTCCAGCCTGGGTGACAGAGCCAGACTCCGCCTCAAAAAACTATAGAAGCACACACTCCTAGACTAAAGCAGGGTGTGACTTAGACCTAAATCCCGGCCCTTAGGGTATCCAGGAGTGCCCCTGCGAAGGGCTGCCTACCTACCTGTCATCCCCATTCAACCAAGCAACCTAGGTGGCATAGGTGACCTACAGCAGTGAAGGATAAAAATACAGGTTCTGAGTTTGCAATCTTTTTCCTTCAAAAGTACAGTTGCAATGTTAAAAATGCTGGCAAGGTGGTATGCAATTATTTCAGTCCTAACAGCCTTCCACAGACACTGTGCATTTTCTGTGTCCTGAACGCTCGGCACCAAACTTGCTGCGTCACCTTTTTAGCACAACCACGTGTACCATTCTGACTATAAAGAATCCTACATTTTAAGGAATCTAGGGCACTTCCTATCCCCAAAATGATATGGTTGGGAAACGAAGCCTAAGATATTTTTAGGAAGGCAACAGTCAATTACCATTACCAATGTGACATCGTATGCTTCAAAAACAAAAGCAGCTGAAGATTCAAGAGTGAGAAATAAATCCCCTGGGAATGACCAGAATTAAGAAGGTGCCAAGTAGAACATTCAACTTGGAAGACTTTCCTAGGATACATCTGCTGCTATATATTGTGGGATCCTTTGGTTTGGGGTTGAATTTATTGTTTAAAAGGAATGTTAGGACCCTCCTGAGAATATTCTTGAACCTATTGTAATGATAAATAATGAGAATTGTATCAAAGAAAAGTCTCACTCACTTTTGAATGTACTGTCTGTTGTCTCCATTCACACAGCTTCATTAACTCTCACTTTTTATCATTGCAGCTACACAGTATTTCTCTTTTTTTTTTCCCAAGACACAGTCTCACTCTATCACCCAGGCTGGAGTGCAGTGGTGCGACCTTGGCTCGGCCTCCCAAAGTGCTGGGATTACAGGCGTGAGCCACTGCACTCGGCCAGTATTTCTCCTTTTAAGTCCACCCCAATCACATATCCATTCAACGTTTCAAAGCCCAGCTCTGATGCTATCACTCCTGGGCTCAGAAAATGCCAACAGTGACCATGCCTGAAGACTAAAATTCAGTTCTACTCCACGGCATTTCCACAACCTGGCCAACACTACCTTTCTAATCCTAGCTCCTATGAGTCATCTCATATACTCACTGGTAAGTCAAATCTCAAACGGTACATGTACTCTGGACCCATTTTGTTGGTTTTTAAAACTTAGAAGAACACATATTGCTTCCTTTAGATGATTTTGCTAAATTCAAATACACACTTTTGTCGGCCGGGCGAGGTGGCTCACAGCTGTAATCCCAGCACTTTGGGAGGCCAAGGCGGGTGGATCATCTGAGGTCAGGAGTTCAAGATCAGCCTGGCTAACATGGCGAAACCCCATCTCTACTAAAAATTACAAAAAGTAGCCGGGCGTGGTGGCGGGCGCCTATCATCCCAGTGACTCGGGAGGCTGAGGCAGGAGAATCGCTTGAACCCAGGAAACAGAAGTTACAGTGAGCTGAGATTGTGCCACTGCACTCCAGCCTGGGCAACAAGAGCAACACTCCATCTCAAAAAAAAAAAAAAAAAAAAAAACCAAATACACACTTTTGTCATTTCCTGGGTACACTTGATTAGCATTGTTTTTTGTCCCAGGTTTAATCATGCATTGTACCTTCACACTTTGAAGTTATCACTATTCATATACAACTTCATCTTATGCTGACTGATCTTAATAGTTCCATCACGACAGATTATACAGAGAAAAACTTTCCTTTATGTGTAATCACTGTTCACATACCAATATTATATGTATCAAAAACTTCTCCTTTTGAATACATGTGTGTATGTGCCTATATGTATGTCAAATATATCTGGAATAAACAGAAACTGTTAATAGTGGCTGCCTAGAGGGAAGATGTTTTTTCACTGTATACCTTTCTGTACACTTTTTTTAAAATCATATGATTGTGCAACCTATGGAAAAAACTAAATTAAAAAATAATGAATTTAAGTCAGGCAAGATGACTCACACCTGTAATCCCAGCACTTTGGGAGGCCAAGACGGGTGGATCACTTGAGCTCAGAAATCTGAGACCAGCCTGGGCAACATAGCAAAACCCCGTCTCTACCAAAAATACAAAAATTAGCTGGGTGTAGTGGTGCACACCTGTAGTCCCAGCTACTCGGGAGGGTGAGGTGGGAGGTGGGAGGATGGCTTGAGCCCAGGAGGAGAAGGTTGCAGTGAGCCAAGATGGCACCACTGCCCTCCAATCTGGGCGAAAGAGCCAGATCCTGTATCAAAAAAAAAAAAAAAGAATTTAAAGTAAAACAACGCTTATACCACAGATAGGATTTAAGGTTTTCAAAATGCCACCTTCCTCAAAAGTATTTTTCTCAGTGGCCACCATGACTGAAATCCCCCAGTTAAAACGCAAAAGAATATTCTAAAGACAGTAAATATATTATATGCCATTATCCATTATCAAATGACTGAGGATTAGTTTATCACATTAGCATAATAAAGGAAAAAGCCACAAAGAGGCTGTAAATAGTCTCCCTAATTCCTGTTTCTTTTCCTTTTCCCCTTGAGTAACTAAATGAGTTTGTTTTACTCAAAGAACATTTGTATTAGTAAAAGAATTCATTTAGGAATCCTAGCCATCTGATCCAAGCGAACTGGAGCAGTAGATTGCTGTGTGAATGTGTTTACTGTCTGTCTCTAAAAACATCTCTGCCATCCAGTCCTCCCTGTGGGTCTAATCTACTGGGCCGGAGAGGGCAGGGAAGGGAGTACTCTTGTGCATCTTGGAATCCTACCCAACACCCAAAACAGTGCCATGTGCTTACAGAAAGCTTTATTCCAGATTTTTTTTTTTTTGAGACGGAGTCTCGCTCTGTCGCCCAGGCTGGAGTGCAGTGGCACGATCTCGGCTCACTGCAAGCTCCGCCTCCCGGGTTCACGCCATTCTCCTGCCTCAGCCTCCCGAGTAGCTGGGACTACAGGCGCCCGCACCACGCCCGGCTAATTTTTTGTATTTTCAGTAGAGACGGGGTTTCACTGTGTTAGCCAGGATGGTCTCGATCTCCTGACCTCGTGATCCACCCGCCTCAGCCTCCCAAAGTGCTGGGATTACAGGCGTGAGACACCGCGCCAGGCCCATTATTCTAGTTCTTAATGCCACCTATTGCAAAGCTCTGACCCTTCTCTAGGAAACTGTGCTTGAAATTTCAGACCTAAAAATATCAGTTGGATACTTAAAATTGTTCTTATAAAAATCCATCTGTTGAGCACATGCTTTGTGTCTGACACTAGCACTCAGCAACTAACTAGACAACAAAATTATCTCACAAGGTCAGAAATATGAGGTAGGTAGCAGACATTCAGTAAATGCTTATTAATCCAATTTGATGAACTTGTTAAACTACTTTCCGGCTAAACTTTGAAGTCTTTCATTAATGCTTTCTTCACATGGCAGTGGCCTTTAGTTTCCGATATTCTACTAAGCACCCAACTTTTTATTTTTATTTTTTTAAGGTACAGGGTCTCACTCTATAACCCAGGCTGGAATATGGCGGTGTGATCATGGCTCACTGCAGCCTCAGACTCCTGGGCTCAAGCGATCCTCCTGCCTCAGCCTCCCAAGTAGCTGGGACTGCAGATGTGCACCACCACTCCCAGCTAATATTTTTTTTCTTTTTTTTTTTTTTTTTTGGTAGAGATGGAGTTTCTCTATGTTGACCAGGCTGATCTGCAACTCCTGGCCTCAAATAATCCTCCCATTTTGGTCTCCCAAGGCACTGGGATTAAAGGTGTATGTCACCATGCCCAGGACACCCAACTTCTGTGGACTTCTTGTATCAGCCCTCCAATCCTCATTGGCAACTGCCTATTTATTTTTTAACTTAGGAGACATAAATAAGAAGTCTCTAAGGGCTGGGCATGTTAGCGGGTAGATGAACTTGCCCTACAGGGAGAGTCTGCTAAAGGGGAGATAACAGGCTATATTTGCATTTCTAAAGGGGAAGTGGGGAACTGGGGGAAAAAGAAGAGAGAGAGAAATAATTAAACCATCTCTTAGGAAAGTAGGGGTACTCGGTTACATCACGGTCAGGCCACTGCACTGCAGTCTGAGCAACAGAGCGAGACCTTGTCTAAAAAAAAAAAAAAGGATCTAGTAAACCACAGGGTAAAAAGAAAAGAGAAAAATCTGTATTAGACTACACAACAGAAAAACTGACAAAGTTATTCTCTTTTACCTTCTTACCATCAAAACGTAAGAAATGGTGTCCTCTTTTCCACTGTGAGAAGATGTACTTTGAATTGCTGATCTTATGATGATAGTAAGTTTTTCTAAACTATGGATTCATTCTTGCCCTATTTCTCTTGCTGTTGTTTTGATTGGATCAAGTGCTGGGGTCAAGTAACTGTGGCTAGTAAATCTGAGGCTCAGACCCAGGTGAGTTAACTGGCCTGGCAGAAGATAGAAAGACAACCTTGGACACGGGACACCACACTCTGACAACCCACACAACAAAGCTGGACTCACAACTGTCAACCCCAACAGCAGGCTGGCCCTAGAGCATCACAGTTCCGCTCCGCTCTGCTCACCTGTAACAAGAGTCCAAGTTTTTCTAAACTGGGATCCAGATATCATCTGTCAAGACTTCAGCAACAACCTTCCTGACCTTCACAAAACCTTCTGTGCTATCTGAAGATACCACGGAAGTCTGGGATGAAGTTTCTATCTGAGATGAAAATTATTTTTACAACTTTAATCAACAGTGATTCTCATCCAAGTAAATCAAAATCCATGTACATAGGAGATGCTCAACAGGTACAAGCTCAATTGGAAGGGAAAAGCACTAAGTTAGTGACCATAAATGGACATAACGTTCTTCACCATCATCAGCGAACACTTCTTGAGCTCCTGCTAGGTGTAAGTGATAACAAAAGGTGTCAATTATAGGTCCTAACCACAGGCAGTTTACACTTGATAACTATTACACTATGAAGTATTCAGAAGCATTTGAAAACCTCTAGACATAAAAACACCCTTTCCCTTTTCAGTGAGGTTTCTCTAGTTGCCTATGTTTAACAGTGTATGCATTTTTTTCCTCTACCAAAAGAAGTCAAGAAGAAAAAACAAGGGAAGGAAGGATATACAGCTAGAAGGACTGATCCCAGTGTCTGACATGTCTAGCTCACACTAGGAGAACTCAAAATATATAAGGATAAATGAGGATTCTCTTCTTCACGCTGAATCCAAATTTGTGTAGCAGTCACTGTTATTCTAAGGAGCTCCATTTGGTTCACTGCTAAACAGCCTCCCCCTCCACATATGTTAGCTGACCTGTGTGGTCCAGCTCCCACAGCACTGACTGTAGATATTTTATACTACACCACATGCTTCTGCTTCCCACTCTTCCATTCATAAAGAAGAGAACATTTAAAAAGCACACACAGCCAGGCACGGTGGCTCACGCCGATAATTCTAGCCCTTTGGGAGGCTGAGGCAGGAGGATCACTTGAGGACCCTGTCTCTACAAAAACTTAGCCAGGCGTGGTGGCTTGCACGACAGAGCAGACCCTGTCTCAAAGCAAAAAAAAAAAAAAACACACACACACACACACACACACACACATCACACAAATTATTGGAAATACAGCACTAGAGGCTTGAGTAAACAGTACCAGTACTACAAAGAAAATAGAATTTTATGTGAATGACATGTATTTCAGTTCTAAGCAATATATAACTTAGAATGTAATTTCCTAATGCACTTAAAAAATTTAAAAAAAAATTTTTTTTTTTTTAAGAGGCAGGGTTAGGCCAGGCACAGTGGCTCACGCCTGTAATCCTAACACTTTCCGAGGCTGAGGAGGGCGGATCATTTGAGCTCAGGAGTTCAAGACCAGCCTAGGCAACATGGTGAAACCTGTGCCCAGCCCCTAATGCACTTAATTTCTTATTTAAGGCTATTTTAGGAATTCAAGGACAAAAATAATTACCAATATTCATTTTCCTTAGATTATACTTCCCCTCTTCTATTACCTGAAATCTTCGGGTAGTATTCATGAGAGATTTATACATGCTGCTTCATTTTCTCTGTCACCTTTAAAATACTATTTTCTCCAACTCCTCTACTAAACAATCTTTCTAGATGATAATCCACGTTTTACCTACCCAGAGGTGCCAGTGAGCTGGGAGATTTGCGGGAATGCATTTTCCAGGAAACAGAGTGCTAACCCACAACAGGAGGCTTTCAATGCCCTGGGAGATGGTCTGCAATACCAGGACTTTGATCTTGACCTAACCCTCTAAACTTCCTTCCCTCACCTACTAGTCCCTCTTCATCTCTTACCTCTTAATCACTGTTTCAAAAGCATTTATCACTATCCCACAGTATTTATTTATTGCCTGCTCCCCCATAAGATCTCCAGAGAGCAGGATATTTATGTGTCCTGTTGATTCAAACTCAGCTTCCAAAACAGTACCTGGCTCACACAAGATGCTCAATAAATATTTACCGAATGAATTATAACATCTTACAGTACTCAAGAACTAAGACATATTTTATTGATCAACAAACAAACTAGTAAAATCTCAGGGTCCTTACTTGCCATGGTAGAAAAAAAGAGGAGAGACATATCTGCTCCGCAACTCCTGCTAAATGAGATATGAAAAACGGATGGCTAAGTGGAGATTTTGTAAGAGAAACCAACTTTACTAATTTTTGAGACCACTTCTAAAAACAGGAGTTGCCTGCTCCTTAATATACTGCCTTGTTTATCAGCCTACTGAGCGAAATGTCTGTTACCTACTAATGCCTTCCGCCATTATCTCAGCGCTGCATTCTGAACTAACACACTCAGAGTAGTTTGGTGAAGTGTGGTGCTTTCTTTTAAAATAAAGGAGTGAGCAGGTCATGTGATAAGCAAATACAAACCCTGGGGACAAATGATCATTAACAAATATTCTTATGAAGTTGAGCCACTGCCATTTATCTTACCCCAAAGCGCTTGGGCAATTTCATTAGAATGATGGTATCACTCAGTCAAGCAGTGAGTGTTAAGCTGGGATAGAATAAAGTTCCCTTTAAAGGATTATGAGAAGGAATGTGGAAGAAAGATGGGGCAGTGGGTTTGGCACTGAAGAAGAGAAGCGCTCATTTAAAACACTGTTCTTTCCTACATTCCCTAACCCCCGCCCTAGTGTCCCACAGCGCGCTGAGGATGGCTTTCCTTTTGTTGCAAACCAGTGATTTCTGGCATCCCCCTTCCAAATCACAGAAGCCAGCGGGGACTGCACAACTATAATACGTATCCGCATGGTGGAAGGCAGGATAGGGTGGTGGGAAGGGTACGCGGGCTTGGGGGTGAGGCGCTGGGCCAGGGACCGAAGCAAGTTTCCTCATCGGCAAACGGTCATAAAGTTGCCTCCCACCGAGAACGGCCAGAAGAACCAAGCGGATCGCCAGGACCGTGCGCAGAGCCTGCACGTAGCGAACGCTGTGATTCCCTTCTTCCCCTCCCACGGCAAGCGACACCGAAGGTCTGGGGACACCCTTAGGGTTGTGACTGAGGATGGTTGTCGAGTGACTACAGAGCCCAGTAAATAACGCGCATCTCCTCCAGCACCGCGGAGCGCGGAGCCCGGAGCCCGGAGCCCGCCGCGCGCGGGCGCCGGGGAACGCTCGCGTCCACGGCCGGGCCCGCAGCCCAGCCCCCTGGCTCCCGGCTTCCCGCTTCGACAAGGGCATGCCGCGGCCCCCCGGAGCTCGGGGCGCGGGAGCTGGCACCGGAAGCGGGGAGGGCCGGCGGAGCTGGGCGGCCAGGAGTCGGGTACTTACCCCCGGCGGGCGGCGGGCGGCTGAGGTCGCGGCCAGCCGGCTCCAGGCGGCGGCGAAGTCGGGCGGCTGGGCGCGCGGGCTCCGGCAGACGAGGGCAAACAGGATCCCCAGCAGGAAGGCGGCCGCCGCGCAGCTCAGGTACAGGCTGAGCCTGAACAGGACGGAGCTCAGCCCCGCGGCCCCCGCCGCCTCCCCGCTGCCGGGCCCCAGGAAGGAGAGGGCCACGGCGGCGAGTGCGGCCACCGCCACGGGCTTCCACCAGCTCCGGCCGCCCGGGGCCCCCGGCGCCGCCGCTGCTGCTGCCTCCGCGTCCCCCGGGGACTCCGGCCGCCGCTCGCCCCTGAAGCCCGAGACAGGACGGCCGCCGGCGCCTGCGGCCCGCGCGGGGCTGGGGCCGGCGCCGCCACTGTCGGTCGCATCGGGGTGCATGCTGCTTCCTGGGCCGCTAAGGACAGGCACATCTCCTGCCCCCCGGTCCCCCGCCGGCGCTCCGGAGGCAGGGGGAGCCCGCGCTCATGCCTCGCCCGCGGCCCACCGAGGGAGCGGCCCCCGCAGACGCCGCCGGGCCCCTCTCGGCGACCCCTCAGCGCCGCCACCAGGCGCTGGGCCCGTAGCTGCCGGGCCGGGCGCAGCCAGGGAGCCCCACCGTGTTGTGACTGAAGCCTGGCCAGCCTGACGCGGGCGGGGCGGGGCCGCCCTGAAGTGCGTGTCGGGCGGGGCCCGGAGCCACCGCGGCCGCTGAGTGACAGCCGGGAGGCGCCCACCCACAGCGCGGGGGCGGGGTCCGGGCCGGGGCCCCACGGGGAGAGGGCGCGACCCAGCGCGGTGCACACCTCTCTTTCCCACGCTCCCCTCCTCCTCTACAGGATGCCGTCTGTTCATGGAAAATTTTGCTGCAGGTGTCAGCGGCGCTGGTAATTCCTGAGCTCAGGTGATCCCGTAATTCTCCCTCTCCGCTCATCACTGACGAGTAACCTCTTCGCTTTGCTTACAGCCGGCAAACATTTCTGCCTGGTTTTCACTCGCTATTTAAATAGGCAACCGTTCCCGAGACTCCCTGTCACAGTTTCTAACGACCTTCCCTTTCCCACCCTGCCGCCTTAGGGAAGGAATCAGACACGTGCGGTGGAGTAAGTGAAGCCTGCAATTCCTAGCTATGGAAAGGTCCAAAGAAGTCGGCCTGGTGCAACAGGGTGCACGCAGCTGCCCATAATCACTTTGGCTCCACTTCTGGTTTTTGTTTTGTTTTGTTTTGTTTTTTGTTTTTTACCAACTATTCAGTTCAAATGCTATCAGCCACGCAAAGGAACGTGGTCCAAATAATTTTTAGAGTATATATTTGCCTTTTCTTCTGTCATAGTCCCAGCCAGTAATATACAGATAACGCTTGCTAAGTAGATGCCAATATGCTACTTAAACACTGGCAATTACTGCTAAGACTAATAAAGAAGCAGATGTAGCTTTTGCTTTTAGTATCAATTGGTATTCATGGGCATTTCATTCTTTCTTTCTTTCTTTTTTTCTTTTTTTTTGAGACGGAGTCTCTGTTGCCCAGGCTGGAGTGCAGTGGGGCGATCTCGGCTCACTGCAATCTCTGCTTCCTGGGTTCAAGCCATTCTCCTGGCTCAGCCTCCCGAGTAGCTGGGATTACAGGCACGCACCACCACACCTAGCAAATTTTTGTATTTTTAGTAGAGACGGGGTTTCACCATATTAGCCAGGATGGTCTCAATCTCCTGACCTCGTGATCCGCCTGCCTCAGCCTCCCAAAGTGCTGGGATTATAGGTGTAAGCCACCGCGCCCGGCCTCATTTCATTCTTTCTTAAACCTTCTAAGTCAGAAATGAAGAGTGCCTCATGCTAGATGTGACTTTGCCATGCCAAGGGGATGATCAAAATAAGTTACCAGTTTCCTTTCTCCTCCTTTTTTAAGAAAATAGGGGCGGGCACGGTGGCTCACGCCTGTAATCCCTACACTTTCGGAGGCTGAGGCGGGCAGATCATGAAGTTAGGAGTTCAAGACTAGCCTGGCCAACATAGTGAAACTTGAACCCCGGAGGTGGAGGTCGCAGTGAGCCGACATCGCGCCATTGCACTCCAGCTTGGGCAACAGAGTGAGACTTCGTCTCAAAAATAAAATAAAATAAATAAAGCAGTATGATTAATTTTGAAGAAGCCCTTTTGCCTCTAAAATAGTTGTTAATTTTCACCCAATTGGAGCCCCTCAAAGTGTACCCTACCAACCCAAATTATTCAAATAAAGCACAGTGGCTTGTTATCAACAACAACCAAATCTATGTTTTTTGATCATTTACATGCCGAGGACTGTATTCTGAATTCTTTATGATAAATTTAAATTAATTTTTCAATTTTAGCCCTAGCTCACCATAATAGTAACTAACAGCACTTACTGTGTGCCAGATACTATTCTAAGGACCAAACATACTTCATTTAATCTTCCCAGCAACCCCGATGGATACCATTATCTCCATCTACACAGCGGGGAACTGAAGCACAGGAGGTAAGATGACATGCTCAACATTGCAAAGCTAATCAATAACAGAACTAGGATTTAGTTGTTACTCCATGTGGTCCAGCTTCAGAGCTTGTGCATTGAATCGCTATGCCATGATGCTTCCTAAGAATTCTCTGATTTACTCATCTCATATTACAGAAGAGAAAAAAAAAGGTTAAATTCTTGATCCTGATCTGCATTCCATGCTTAAAAGTGGATAGTTGGCCAGGCGTGGTGGCTCAAGCTTGTAATCCCAGCACTTTGGGAAGCCGAGGTGGCTGGATTACCTGAGCTCAGGAGTTTGAGACCAGCCTGGTCAACATGGCAAAACCCCGTCTCTACTAAAAATACAAAAAATTAACCAGGTGTGGTGGTGTGCGCCTGTAGTCCCAGCTACTCGGGAGGCTGAGGCAGGAGAACGGTGTGAACCTGGGAGGCAGAGCTTGCAGTGAGCCGAGATCGCACCACTGCACTCCAGCCTGGGCGACAGCGAGACTCCGTCTCAAAAAAAAAAAAAAAAAAAAAAAAAAGTGTGACTGGTTAAATTTAGGTGTCAATTTGACTGGATTGGGATTACCTGGAAAACTGACAAAGGATTATTTCTGGGTGTTTCCCAAGAAGATTGCCCCTGGGTCAGTGGATTGAGTAGGGAAGATCCACCCTTGATGTGGGCAACCGTCCAATCAGCTGTGGCCCAGAAAGAACAAAAAGGTGGTTTCCTCTGTGCCCTGAAGCTGGGATACACTCTTCTCCCATCCTTGGACATCAGAACTCCAGGCTCTGGCGTTGAGACTCCAGGTTACACTAGCAGCCTCCTGGGTTCTCAGGCCTACTGCCTCAGAGTTATGCCATCCTATTCCCTGGTTCTGAGGCCTTCAGAGTTGGACTGAGCCACACCACCAGCTTTCCAGGCTCTCCAGCCGGCGAAGGGTGTATCATCAGAGTTCTCAGCCTCCATAATCATGTAAGCCAATTCCTCTAATAAATTCCTGCTCATATATCTATCTATATCCTTTTGGTTCTGTCTTTCTGAACCAAGATTAGTACATCTTCCATTCTTTTTTTTTTTTTTTTTTTTTTGAGACAAGAGTTTCGCTCTTGTTACCCAGGCTGGAGTGCAATGGCGCAATCTCGGCTCACTGCAACCTCCGCCTCCCCGGTTCAAGAGATTCTCCTACCTCAGCCTCCCGAGTAGCTGGGATTACAGGCATGCATCAGCATGCCTGGCTAATTTTTTGTATTTTTAGTGAGATGGGGTTCATCGGGCTGGTCTCAACCCCCCGACCTCAGGATCTGTCCACCTTGGCCTCCCAAAGTGCTGGGATTACAGGAGTGAGCCACCATGCCCGGCATACATCTTCCATTCTGTCTGTCCTGCAGACCATCTTAATGTTGTTATGTGGACCAGAGGCGCACAAGTCATGGGCTGAATAATATTCCATTTTATGTATCTACTACATTCTGCTTCATCTGTCTGTTGATAAACAAACACTTGAGTTTTTTCCGCCTTTTGGCTATTCTGCTATGAACATGGGTGCATAAGTATCTGTTTGAGACCCTGCTTTCACTTCCTTTTAGTGTATGTCCAGAAGGGAAATTGCTGGGTCATATAATTCTATGTTCAAGTTTTTCAGAACATGCCATACTATTTTCCACAGTGGCTGAGTATGCTACATTCTCACAAGCAATGCATAAGGGTTTCGATCTTTCCACATTCTTGCCAATCCTTATTTTCTATTTTTTTGACTAAAGCCATCGGTATCTCATTGTGTTTTTGACTTGCATTTCCCTAATTAGTGGTGTTGAGTATCTTTTCATGTGTTTATTGGCCATTGGTATATTTTCTTTGGAGAAATATCTACTCAAGTCCTTTGTAAGATAAACTTTTGACCACAGTTTGTTTATTTATTTAGAGACAGGGGCTTGCTCTGTCGCCCAGGCTGGAGTACAATGGCGTGATCTCAGCTTACTGCAACATTTCCCTCCTGGGTTCAAGCGATTCTTCTGCGTCAGCCTCCTGAGTAGCTGGGATTACAGATGTGCACCACCACACCTGGCTAATTTTTGTATTTTTAGTAGAGACGGAGTTTCACCATGTTGGCCAGGCTGGTCTGGAACTCCTGACCTCAGGTGATCCGCCCACCTCAGCCTCTCAAAGTGCGGAATTACAAACGTGAGCCACCGCGCCGGGCCAACCACAGTTTAACAACTATCCCTGGAAAGTGGTGCCAACACAGTTTTATTAAGCACTTTAAAAGAAAGTGAAATTCTTGCTTTTTTTTTTTTTGAGACACAGTCTTACTCTGTTGCCTAGGTTGGAGTGCAGTGGCACGATCTCGGCTCGCTGCAACCTCCACCTCCGGAGTTCAAGCGATTCTCCTGTCTCAGCCTTCCGAGTAGCTGGGACTACAGGCTCACGTCACCACGCCCAGCTAATTTTTGTATTTTTAGTAGAGACAGTGTTTCACCATATTAGTCAGGCTGGTCTTGAACTCCTCTCAGGGGGCCCCACCCGCCTCGGCCTCCCGAAGTGCTGGGATTACAGGGGTGAGCCACTGCGCCCAGCCAATGCTGTCTTTTAGGCAACAAAAAGAGAATTGATTATACTTTTGGTAATTAAGACCAACAAGTACAAAATGCATTGTGAAGGACGAAAATAGACAATCCTTACTGGAACTCCCCGGGACAGGCAGGGTAAGACCCATATTTCCTACCCTTCTTTGCACTTAGATGTGAACAATATTTATTAACTACTGGATTGTATACCATTGCTGCTATAACAAATTACTACAAATTCAGTAGTTAAAACAACACAGGTGTATTGTCTTACAGTGCTTAAGGTATTAAGTCTAAAATCAAAATTTGCAGGCTCTAGTTCCTTCCTGAGGTTTCAGGAGAGAATCCGTTTCCTCCTTTTGCAGCTTCTACCTGCACTCCTTGGCTCATTGCCTCTGACATCACTCCAACCTCTAGCTTCTGTGCTCACAGCTCCCACTACTGACTTTGAACTTCTTGTCTCCATCTTATAAGGACCTTTGTGATTCCATGGGGTTCACTGGATAATCCTGGTTAATCTTCCCATTTTGATCCTTAATCACATCAGCTAAATCCTGTCTGCCACATAAGGTGACATATTCACGTGTTGTGGGGACTAG
This sequence comes from Homo sapiens, assembly GCF_000001405.40. Lineage (NCBI taxonomy): Eukaryota > Metazoa > Chordata > Mammalia > Primates > Hominidae > Homo > Homo sapiens. The sequence goes on along the minus strand of NC_000004.12, from coordinate 185,204,585 downwards.
GAGGTGCACATTTTTGGGGTGCCATCATCCTACCATACCTGAGAGTTCAACGAGAAGTTATTGTATTCAATATATTCTGCAGAGATCATTTTTACCTTAGATTGTTTTAACTACCCACCTCGTTTACCACTCGGCAAAGGTCTTTCCATTCTGAAACCAGCCTCTGGTCCACAGAACTAACTAGTGGTATGAACTGAAATTTGCTGATAGAAAATATCACAAACACACAGCCGCCGTTCTTTTTTATTCTTGGTTTGGTAGAGAATTACAAGATAATCAAGGCAGCTTTCCCTATTAACGCACGAGAACAACGGGGCCTACCCGCGCCGCCCTAGGCAGCCGGGAGCAGCAGTAACGCCTCTAGGGCGCCATGGCAACCACGCGGGCTGGACCGCCTTCTTCCGCGGCTCTTCTAGTGTGCGCGTCCCTGGCCCGGCCTCCACTCCGCCCGCGTGGAGCCCCGGCCTGGCCGCCTGCCCGCCGCGCTCTGTGACGCCCGCCGCGAGGGCCGCACGAGGCCCGGCGTGCGCCCCCGCCTCTCCCGAAGCGCCGGGCCCCACGCCGCCCCTCCTTTCCCTTTCCGCTCTCTCCGCCTCCGGAAGCGCGGGCGCGCGGCGCCGGGAGCCCGTTCAGGGCCGCGGGAGTGCGCCAGCGCCGCGCGTGGGGCTGTGGTGGCCGCGGCTCTCAGGTGAGGGGCGCGCGAGCGGCTCCTGGCTCCCTGCTCGCGGGGCGCCCGCCACGCTCCTTTCCGTTCGCATCCGTCTCCCCGCTCCGGAGCCCAGGCGGCGGCGAGTACTCGGGGTGGGTTTAACGAAGCCTGCGCGGACGGTGGGAGACCGCGCCCCCACGACAGGGGCGCCCGCGGCGGCGGGTCGCGGCGCCGTTCCACCCCGGTCCCCTGTGAGAATGGCGGGTCCCGCCCTCTCGCGCGTTCCGGGTGGCTTTGAGGGTCAGGATCAGCCCTAAATTGAGATTGGGCCGCGACCACATGCCGGGCCCTGACGACTTCTTCCTACTTGTAGGGACTCGAACCTAACCCACGAGGCCCGAGGGGTTATCTGCCTTCCGGGGACGGTAGGGGATGTAGACAAGAGCCTAGCGTTCCTGGAAACAGGTGTTTAATTTGGGCCGGGATTTTCATGTACCCAATTGGGCATCTTGTTGGAGGCCTACTGTGCTGTTTAACTACAGAAATGTATTGTCACAGTAACAAGATGACAGTTTAAAAAGTGCCCGGTGCTTTTCTGTGTATTTTCCTGATGTTTGGTGAAAGCATTAGTCTTGTTATTGCTGGTCTGTAGGACCTGGCAAGTGGGGCGTGCCCAGTGACTCTCAGGCAGCTTTGATAAAAACTTACCTGTCTCTTTTTTTTATTTTTATTTTTTGAGACAGGGTCTCGCTCTGTGGCCCAGGGTGGAGTGCAGTGGCACGATCATGTCTCACTGCAGCCTCCCAACTCCTGGGCTCAAGCGATCCTCCTGTCTTGGCCTCCCAAAGTCCGGGGATTACAGGCGTGAGCCATGCCCCTCCTGGCAAAACTCTGTCTTGATTGAGCACCAAAGGGTTGTTATGGTCTGATGAACTATCCTTTAATTTTATCCTTTCCTAGTCTGTTGTAAAGAGAATCTTAACTACTTTATTAAGTCATTTTTCTTATTCTCTGGTAAATTGAATCACTTACCTCGTAGTAAATGTTATCAAAAGAATTGCTCAGTGGATGGGATTGTTGGGTAAATTTTCCTGTAAATTAAGTCACATGAGTGTCGAAATCTTTACAGTAACTCTGTTGGATATTATTAACTAAAATTTAAACCTGAAAAGTCTCACAGGCACCGGACTATGCACCAGGGCGCATGAACTGTGACCACTTAGGGAGGCAGCTGGCTTCCAGCTCTTGGGGACTGCATGACCTTATCATGGAAATGCAGATAAAGGCATAGTTGTGGTTTGTGCTTCCGGAGGGGTGGGGGAAGATGGCAGGAAACTATCAAGGAAACTGGGTTGAAACCCGGTGATTTTTTTTGTTTGTTTGTTTTTTGAGATAGGATCTCACTCTGTTGCCTAGGCTGGAGTGCAGTGGCCTGATCTCGGCTCACTGCAGCCTCAGCTCCCAGGTTCCAGCGATTCTCCCACCTCAGCCTCCGGAGTAGCTGGGACTACAGGCGAGAGCTACAACGCCCGGCTAATTTTTGTATTTTTTGTAGAGGTGGGGTTTGGCCATGTTGGCCAGGCTGGTCTCAAGCTCCTGGGCTCAAGTGGTCTGCCTGCCTGGGCCTCCCAAAGTTACAGGCATGAGACTGTAACATGAGCCACCGCACATGAGCCTCCATGCCCAGCCACACACATACAAGGCGATTTTTCTACCCTCGTGGGTAGCAAAGAGCATGGCTCAATCTTAAATCTCCTAACTCCAAACTCCTTTGTGGGATAAACATTCTTTGAATGACTAAATTCATCAGGTTCTCCTTTGGGTACTGGGGTTATAAAGATGAGGAAGTGACGAGGAGCTCCCAGTCTGGCAAGGAGACAAGTGTAGGGGATGGGGGGAAAAACAAAAATCCTTTTTCCTTTAGCTGGGTCTGCAGCTGGGGCTGTAAGGCAGATTAACAGGAGAAAAGGCATACGTATTTTATGTTAATTTTTACAATGACACAGGGCTTTCCTAGAAAAGAAGTGGATAGGCCAGAAAGTTTCTATACGGTGTTTAAAAGATGATAAACTGTGGAGATACGACATGAAGAGATCATAAAACCAGGTGGAGGGTTAGACCTCTAGGGATTGAAACTATGGGACGGTAAATACAGGCATACCTTGGAGATATTTTGGTTGCTTGCAGACCACCACAATAAATTAAATCTTGGAATAAAGCGAGTCACATGAATTTTTTGGTTTCCCAGTGCATATAAAAGTTATGTTTACACTATACCGTGGTCTGTTAAGGGTACAATGGTATTATGCTTAAGAAATGTACATACGTTATCTAAAAAATAATTTATGGCTAAAAAATGCTGTCAATCATCTGAGCCTTCAGGGAGTTGTAATTTTTTTTTGCTGGTGGAGGGTCTTGCCTCACTGTTGATGGCGGCTGACTGATCAGGGTGCTGAGTGCTGAAGGTTGGGATGGCTGTGGCAATTTCTTAAAATAAGACAATGATTAACTTTGCTTTATTGATTGACTTCTTTTCACAAAAGATTTCTGTAGCTTGTGATGCTGCTTGACAGCATTTTATCCAGAGTAGAACTTTTTTTTTTTTTTTTTTGAGGCGGAGTCTTGCTCTGTCGCCTGGGCTGGAGTGCAGTGGTGTGATCTGGGCTCACTGCAACCTCCGCTTCCTGGGTTCAAGAGATTCTCCTGCCTCAGCCTCCCAAGTAGCTGGGATTACAGACATGGGCCACCACGCCCAGCTAATTTTTTTTTATTTGTAGTAGAGATGAGGTTTCACCATGTTGGTCAGACTGGTCTTCAACTTCTGACCTGAAGTGATCCACCCACCTCGGCCTCCCAAAGTGTTGGGATTACAGGCGTGAGCCACAGCACCGAGCCTCACAGTAGAACTTCTTTAAAACATAGTCAGTCTTCTCAAACCCTGCCGCTGCTTTATTAGCTAAGTATACAGAATATTCTAAATCATTTGTTGTCATTTCAACTACATTTACAGCTTCTTCAGGAGTAAATTCCATCTCAAGAAACTACTTTCTTTGCTCATCCATAAGAAGCAAGTCCTCATCTGTTCAAGTTTTATTGTGAGATTGCAGCAATTCAGTTACATCTTGAGGCACCACTTATTTTTTCTTTTTTTTGACAGGGTCTTGTTCTGTCACCCAGGCTGCAGTGCTTTGGCATGATCCCAGGTCATTGCAGCCTCAACCTCCCCAGCCCAAGTGATCCTCCTGCCTCACAGCCTCTACAGGCACGTGCCACTGCAACCCAGCTTTTTTTTTTTTGAGACAGAATCTCACTCTGTCACCCGCTGGAGTGCCGTGACGCAAGCTCGGTTCACTGCTGCAACCTCTACCTCCCAGGTTCAAGTGATTCCCATGCCTCAGCCTCCCGAGTAGCTGGGATTACAGACATGTGCTACCACACCTAGCTAATTTTTGTATTTTTAGTAGAGACGGAGATTCACCCTGTTGGCCAGGCTGGTCTCGAACTACTGTCCTCAAGTCATTTGCCTGCCACAGCCTCCCAAAGTGCTGGGATTATAGGCGTGAGCCACCGTGCCCAGCTAATTTTGTAGTTTAGTTTTTTCTTTTAAGAGACGGGATCTCACTATGTTGTCCAGGCTGGTCTAAAACTTCTGGGCTCAACTGGTCCTCCTGCCTTGGCCTTCTAAAATACCAGGCTCCACTTCTAATTCTAGTTCCCGTGCCATTTCTACCACAGCTGCAGTTCCTTCCCCAGTTAAGTCTTAAATCCCTTAAAGTTATCCATAAGGGTTAGAATCAGCTTCTTCCAAACTCTTGTTGATGTTGATATTTTGACCTCCTCCTATGAATCATAAGTGTTCTTAATGGGGAAGGTTTTCAATTTATTTTGCTCAGATCCGTCAGAGGAATTATTATCTGTGACAAATATGGCCTTACAAAATGTATTTCTTGAAAAGTAAGACTTGAAATTTGACTTACTCCTTGAACCATGGGCTGCAGAGTGGATGTTGTTAGCAGGCGTGAAAACATTAATCTTGCACATCTTCATTAGAGCTATTGGGTGACCAGGTACATTGTCAATGAGCAGTAATATTTTGAATTTTTTGTCTGAGCAGTCGATCTCAACAGTGGGCTTAAAACATAAAGTGAATTATGGCTGTAAATAGGTGTGCTGTCATTTGGGCTTTTTGTTTTATATATAGACCACAGGCAGAGTAGATTTAGCATAATTCTTAAGGCCCTTAAGATTTTTTCTTTTTTGTTTTTTTTGGACAGAGTCTTGCTGCCTCACCCAGGCTGAAATGCACTGGCACAATCTTGGCTCACTGCAACCTCCACCTCCTGGGTTCAAGTGATTCTCATGCCTCAGCCTCCCGAGTAGCTGAGACTATTAATATAAAAATTAGCCCCTGGCTAACTTTTGTTATTTTTAGTGGAGACAGGGTTTCACCATGTTGGCCAGGCTGGTCTGGAACTCCTGACCTCAGGTGATCCACCTGCCTTGGCCTCCGAAAGTGCTTGGATTATAGGTGGGAGGCACCGCACCCAGATTTTTCTTTTCTTTTTTGAGACGGAGTCTTGCTCTGTCACCCAGGCTGTAGTGCAGTGGCCGGATCGCGGCTCACTGCAACCTGCCTCCTGGGTTCAACCTATTCTCCAGCCTCAGCTTCCCCAGTAGCTGGAATTAACAGGTACATGCCACTACTCCTGGCTAATTTTTCTCTTTTTGTAGAGATGGGGTTTCGCCCTGTTGCTCAGGCTGGTCTCCATCTCCTGGCCTCAAGTGATCCGCCCGTCTCAGCCTCCCAAAGTGCTGGAATTACAGGTGGGAGCCACTGTACCCAGCCTAAGGGCCCTAATATTTTTGAAATGGTAAATGAGCACGGGCTTCATTTTAAAGTCACCAGCTCCATTAGCTCTTAATAAGAGTCAGCCTGTTCTTTGAAGTGTTGAGACCAGGTATTGACTTCTCCCTCTAGCTATGAAAATCCTAGATGGTTAGCATCCTTTTCCAATGGAAGGCTGTTTCGTCTGCACTGGAAATCTGATGTTTATTGTAGTCACATTCAGCAATTCTCTTAGCTAGATCTTCTGCAGCTTCTCCATCAGCACTTGCTGTTTTACCTTGTACTGTTTTGTCTTTTTTTTGAGATGGAGTTTCGCTCTTGTTGCCCAGGCTGGAGTGCAATGACGCGATCTCGGCTTACTGCAACCTCCATCTCCTGGCTTCAAGTGATTCTCCTGCCTCAGCCTCCTCTGTAGCTGGGATTACAGGCATGCGCCACCACACCCGGCTAATTTTGTATTTTTAGTAGAGATGGGGTTTCACCATTTTGGTCAGGCTGGTCTTGAACTCCTGACCTGAGGTGATCTGCCCATCTCGGCCTCCCAAAGTTCTGGGATTACAGGCGTGAGCCACCATGCCTGGCTTACCTTGTACTTTTATGTGATAGAGTAGGCTTCTTTTTCTTCCTTTCTTTCTTTTTTTTTTTTTTAAGACAGAGTCTCACTCTGTCACCCAGGCTGGAGTGTAGTGATGCAATCTTGGCTCACTGCAGCTTCTGCCTTCCCAGTTCAAAGGATTCTTGTGCCTCAGCCTCCCAAGTAGCTGGGACTTCAGGCTCCTGCCACCACACCTGGCTGGTTTTTGTATTTTTAGTAGAGATAGGGTTTCACCGTGTTGGCCAGGCTGGTCTTGAACTCCTGACTTCAAGTGATCTGCCCACTTCAGCCTCCGGAAGTGTTGGGATTATAGGCGTGAGCCACCACACCCGGCTGAGCAGGCTTCTTTTCTTAAACCTTATGAGACAGCCTCAGGTAGCTTGAGATTTCTACATCGTCTTTACCTCTCTCGGCCTTCATAGAATTGAAAGTGAGTGAGGGCCTTGCTTTGGACTAGGCTTTGGCTTAGGGGAATGTGGTGGCTGGCTTGGTGTATCCAGACCATTCAGACTTTCTCCATATCAGCAGTAAGGCTCTTTCGCTTTCTTATTCCCATGTTCGCTGAAGTAGCAGTCTTAATTTCCTTCAAGAATTTTTCCTTTGCTTTCACAACTTGGCTAACTGGTGCAAGAGGCCTAGCTTTTGGCCTGTCTCCTGGACTTTCAGCATACCTTCCTCACTAAGCTTAATCATTTCTAGCTTTTGATTTAAAATTTTCTAAGGGATGGGAGTTGGAATAATTTGGATGTTAAGTGGACTAGGAAAATTTAAACTTTTCGCGGTGGCTCACACCTGTAATCCCAGCACTTTGGGAGGCCAAGGCGGGCGGATCCCGAGGTCAGGAGATCAAGACCATCCTGGCTAACACGGTGAAACCCCATCTCTACTAAAAATACAAAAATTAGCCGGGTGTGGTGGCACGTGCCTGTAATTCCAGCTACTCGGGAGGCTGAGGCAGGAGAATCCCTTGAAGCAGGGAGTCTGAGGTTGCGGTGAGCCGAGATCACGCGCCACTGCGCTCCAGCCTGGGAGACTCAGAGAGACTCTGTCTCAAAAAAAAAAAAAAAATTCAAAAACAACTTTTCTTTTAATATATTCGCCAGTAAAATCCAGCAGAGACATTCAGTGTAATAGTCACGTGGCTGTTAATAAGTTTATATACATATGTGTAATATTAATTCTGGGCCAAGAATTAATAGAAACTTATTACTTGATTGTGAGTTAGTAAAATTACTCTTTTGTTATGTTTAAGATCTCTTCATTTCTTCAGTGTAATCATCCATCTCTTATAGCTAAATAATTTTGTGATTTCAGTTTCTTCAAATTTCAAGAAAATGTTTATTTTTTATATTTGTAATTTAAGCTACATGTCTTTTTTTTTTTTTTTTTTTTTAATTAAGAGGGAGTCTCGCTCTATTGCCCAGGATGGAGTGCAGTGGCAAAATATCAGCTCACTGCAACCTCTGCCTCCTGGATTCAAGCAATTCTCCTGCCTCAGCTTCTTGAGTAGCTGGGATTACAGGCGCCTGCCACCACACCCAGCTAATCTTTGTATTTTTGTAAAGATAAGGTTTCACCACGTTGGCCAGGCTGGTTTTGAACTCCTGACCTCAAATAATCCATTCACCTCAGCTTCCCAAAATGCTGGGATTACAGGCGCAACCCACTGCGCTTGGCCTTAAACTACATTTCTTCAACTCTGGTTCCTGATTTATTGTAGTGAGGCCTTAATCTATTAGCAGAGTTTTCCTAGACTCTGTCATATTACCTATGACACTTGACACTGTCTAATACCACCCAAAGTTTAACCTTTCATTCCATCTTTATGTATCATAGTACATTACCTTTTGATGAAAGCTTTTTATCTCCATAGATCAGTGGCATTTCCAACCCTTGCCTGAGACTCTCAGGAATGTGAAGCTGGTTTTACATCAAGGCCTAGTACACTCAATGCATTTAAGTAATAGAAATGATGGTTTCATGAAACTTACTCTTATAATATGTAATGCACTCTTTTTTTTTTTTTTTTGAGACGGACTATCCTTCTGTCCCCCAGGCTGGAAGCATGATCTCAGCTCACTGCAACCTCCGCCTGCCAGGTTCAAGTGATTCTCCTGCCTCAGCCTCCCGAGTAGCTGGGATTATAGGCACGTGCCACCACACCCAGCTAATTTTTTATATTTTTGGTAGAGACAGGGTTTCATCATGTTGGCCAGGCTGGTCTTGAACTCCTACCTCAAGTGATCTGCCCACCTCGGCCTCCCAAAGTGCTGGGATTACAGGCGTGAGCCACTGCACCTGGCCTATAATGCACTCTTGATTATTACACTGTGTTCTACTTCGTCAGTTTAATGATGGACATGAGCTACTGAATTGATTTTAAACTGGATTGTGACCTGTAGTTTATAAAATATTGCTCTGGGCTATGCTATTAAACCGTTTACTTTTGAAATTTGAAGAAACAATTTAAAATTTTTAATTGCAAAGATATTCTTAACCACACAACAAAGTAAGAAAGGAAAAAACAACAACCACAGTTCTTTTTAGAGTCCAGAGTGCTCACCATTACACTGTGGGGTATCCACAGTTCTTTTTATTCCACTCCTTGACATTTTGTTTTCAAAGGTGAATTATCTCACAAAAAAAGGTGACATTTTTGGGAGTTTAATGACAGTGTTATAAGACCTATTCACCATTCAGTGGCTATTTTAGTTTGTTTTTCCTTTTACATTCAAGTGGGCAAAATTAGATTATGATCAGCCATAGTCTTTACGTTTGTGATGACTCAAGATCGCAGGCCTCTATCCGAGTTTTTATATTTCTCCTTCCCCTGAGCACACTACTCCTCTCCCCTCCCCTCATGAGTTATACTCATGTTTAATGTGTATCCTTCCAATCCATGTTCTATAACTTGGCTTGTATGTTTGTGCTCATGAAGAATATAGCATTGTTTTGTATATGTTTTAAGTTTTATGTAATTGTATCATTGCTTGCTTATTTATTTGTTTATTTTGAGACAAGGTCTTGCCCTGTAGCCCAGGCTGGAGTGCAGTGGTGTGATGATGACTCATTGCATTATCAACCTCCTGTGCACAGGTGATCCTTCTACCTCAGCCTCCTCAGTAGCTGGGACTCCAGGCACACCACTATGCCCAGCTAATTTTTATTTTTTAATTTCTTGTAGCAACGGGGTCTCATTATGTGGTCTGGAACTCCTGGGCTCAAGCAGTCCTCCCACCTTGGCCTCCCTAACTGCTGAGATTACAGTCATGAGCCATGGTGCCAGCCTCGTTGCTTTTTAAATTCTGCTTTTTTATTCAGTGTTATTTTTGTAGATCTCAGTGTATCCTTTTTGGCAGATATGTGCTTACACGACATTTTATTTATTCATTTTCCTCTTAATAGACAGTAAAGTTGTTCCTCATGCATTGCTACTGCAAACAGTAGTAGATGCTGTGCTGTCGTGAACATCCTGTGTACATGCCCAGGATCGCACAACTGGGAAGTAGCAGAATCATATTTTGAGTCTGGGTGTGTCTGACTCCATTGATTCGTTTCAACCACTGAGCAGACTCCCACTCATCACTTATGTGCCTAATTTATTACACAAACACTATTATGGTAACAGTAATGGAACTATAATGGGGTTGTATGTCATTTTTCTTTTAAAGGTCAATTCTTAACTTATGGCCTCCTCTCCCCTAGTTTTGCTTTAACTGTAAATTGTATTATTAATTCAGTATAGAAAAGTTTTGTATTCTGTATTTTTCATGTTCATACATCATCTAAATCAAGGGTCTACAAGCTGGGCACAGTGGTATGCACCTGTAGTCCCAGCTGCTCTGGAGGCTGAGGTGGGAGGATCACTTGAGCCCAGGAGTTGGAGGCTGCAGTGAGCTAGAATCCTGTCACTGTACTCCAGCCTGGGCGATGGAGTGAGGACCTGTTTCTTTAAAAAATTTAAATAAATCTATCAACCAAGGATCTACAAACTTTTCTTTTTTTTGAGATGGAGTCTCACTCTTGTCGCCCAGGCTGGAGTGCAATGGTGCAATCTCAGCTCACTGCAACTTCTGCCTCCTGCATTCAAGTGATCCTCCTGCCTCAGCCTCCCTAGTGGCTGGGATTACAGGCACGCACTGCCACACCCGGCTAATTTTTGTATTTTTAGTAGAGAAGGAGTTTCGCCATGTGGACCGGGCTGGTCTCGAACTCCTGACCTCAGGTGATCCACCCGCCTCGGCTTCCCAAAGTGTTGGGATTACAGGCGTGAGCCACTGCGCCTGGCCTACAAACTTTTCAGTAAGGGATCAGATGCTAAGTATTTTAGTCTCTGTGGGCCATAGGGTCTCAATCACAGCTACTTAGCTCTGCAGTCGTAGTGTGAAAGCTGGGGGAGACAATACATATACCCATCAGTGGGGCTGTGTTCCAATAAAACTTTATTTACAAAAACAGATGGCAGACAAGATTTCGTTTACGGACAGGTAGTTTGCTGACTCGTGATCTAAGTGATGATGTTAACAGAATCGTAATATTTATCTACAGAAGCTTTTCCATGTTCCAAGTAATGTTAGAATTCCCTTATTTATTTATTTATTTATTTATCAGATGGAGTCTCTCTCTGTCGCCCAGGCTGGAGTGCAGTGGTGCGATCTCAGCTCACTGCAGCCTCTGTCTCCTGGGTTTCAGCAATTCTCCTGCCTAAAGGCTGCAGAGTGTTGTGGCTGGTTTAGGATACAGATTACATAATCTTTTACTCCCTGATTTGATGTAAAATAGAATTAATTATAATATGAATATAGTGAGCACATAATTGCATTTTTTGCTATTTTTGTTTTGTTTTTAAGACACAGTCTCATATTGTCGTCTGGGCTGGAGTGGTACAATGGCGTGATCGCGGCGCACTGCAGCCTCCACCTCCTGGGTTCACGCCATTCTCCTGCCTCAGCCTCCTGAGTAGCTGGGATTACAGGCGCACACTACCACACCTGGCTAATTTTTTGTATTTCTAGTAGAGATGGGGTTTCACTATATTGGCCAGAGTAGTCTCGAACTCCTGACCTTGTGATCCACCCGCCTTTGCCTCCCGAAGTGCTGGGATTACAGCATGAGCCACCGTGCCTGGCCTTTTGCTGTTTTATTATTGGAAATTATTTTATTGTCACTTTTGACTATCAATGTGTACTCATGGCTTCTCATAGAAATTATTTTTTCATTTTTATGTATGTTTGTCTTTTTTCTTTTTCAATGCTGAATTGTCCAACTTGGACAGTGGAAGCCCCTTTAAACTGATCCTCTGTTTCATTCCTGCCACCCCAGGCATATTTGTGAATATTGTGCTTTCTGGCAACAATAAGCTGATCCAGGCTCTTTGCCTCCAGAAATGCAGTCCCCTGCCTGCGAAGGAGTCCTGGGGTTTTTTAGTGGAGAATAGTATTAGAAGGTCAATTCTGGGTGGGGCGCGGTGGCTCACGCCTGTAATTTGAGCACTTTGGGAGGCCGAGGTGGGCGGATCACAAGGTCAGGAGATCCAGGCCATCCTGGATAACACGGTGAAACCCCGTCTCTACTAAAACTACAAAAAATTAGCCGGGCGTGGTGGCGGGCGCCTGTAGTCCCAGCTACTCGGGAGGCTGAGGCAGGAGAATGGCGTGAACCCGGGAGGCGGAGCTTGCACTGAGCCGAGATTGCACCACTGCACTCCAGCCTGGGTGACAGAGCGAGACTCCGTCTCAAAAAAAAAAAAAAAAAAAAAAAAAGAAGGTCAATTCTGATCTTAAGAAGGTCAAAGGTCAAGTCTGATCTTAAGCTTATCAGTAATAGATAATGTAACACAGCTGCTTTGACCACTGTAATAAACAGATAAAAAAAACCATTTTTTAAAGACTATGACTTTATAGTGATGTTTCTAATTTAACTGTATGGAGTATTAAAATATTTTAAATCAATTTTTTATCATAGTAATACATAAATTTACAGGTCAACTAGTAATTTAAGGTCTATAACAAAAACGTGGTCTCTAGGGAAAAAAACAAAAATCAGTGGCCCCTGCCCCCTGATAAAGGCAACTACTTTGAACATTTTAATCCATTTTTTGTAATACTTAACTCCATGTGTCTGAATAATATACCTTGGTTTTTCCATTTTAGAGCCATTGGCTGTATGCTGTGAATTTCTCATATATCAGACCCCCTTTAACACAGTGAGACATATATACTCTTCCCCTTTCATTTTCTATATGTGGTTTTGGCACAGTTTGTGATTACATATTCAGAAGTTCGACATACCTGTGCAGCCTGTATGTGTGACTTAGAAGTTTTGTTCCTCTTAAAGAAGGGATGGGGAACCTTAACAGGAATCATCTCCTTGTCTCTGCTTCTTCCTTCCTAACTGCAGTAAAGGGGCAGAAAGGGGACAAAGACAGCAAGTCCTGAAATGTCAGTCAATCCTCACTGCATGACTTCCACTAGAATTGTGTGTTTGGATGGTTTAGCTGGTCCTATGAGATGTTTCTTGTTTTCCTTTCTTTTATTTTTTGACTATTATTCTCAAGGGAAGTGACTATGAGTTTTTTTTTAACTCTATCCTTTCTTACTCTAAACTCTAATTGTACTTAATTTGTATATCTTTGGGGTTTTTGTTTTTGTTTTTGTTTGTTGTTGTTGAGATGGAGTCTTGCTCTGTCGCCAGGCTGGAGTGCGGTGGTGTGATCTCGGCTCACTGTAACCTCCACCTCCTGGGTTCAAGCAATTCTCCTGCTTCAGCTTCCCAAGTAGCTGGGACTACAGGCACGTGCCATCACGCCCAGCTAATTTTTGTATTTTTAGTAGAGACGGGGTTTCACCATGTTGGCCAGGATGGTCTCGATCTCTTGACCTCGTGGTCCACTCGCCTCGGCCTCCCAAAGTGCTGGGATTACAGGCATGAGCCACCGCGCCCGGCCTTTTTCTTTGTTTTGTTGTACTTAATTTATAGAAGGCAGATTATCCTTAAGGTTCACTTAGGTATCCATGTTTGTGACATCCCTACCTTGATGATCTGTTATTTTCTTGTGAACTTAACTATGGGACTTTTTTATTTTTCAGATAATTGGTAGAACTTGTTACTCATAGAACCCCATCATCACTTCACTGAGTTACCTTTTTTGTTGTTGTTTTTATAATGTTTCTTTTTATATATTAAACACACTTGTCAGTTTGGGAAAATTATTTAATTATTGTATACAAATGGAAAGTATTTGGAAATCACTCTTTAGTCTGATGTTTACATTTTTTTTTCAGATATATTTTTGCCATCATGGATCAGTTTGGAGATATATTAGAAGGTGAAGTGGACCATTCTTTCTTTGACAGTGACTTTGAAGAAGGAAAGAAATGTGAAACTAACTCAGTTTTTGACAAGCAAAATGATGACCCAAAGGAAAGAATAGATAAAGATACAAAAAATGTAAATTCGAACACTGGAATGCAAACAACAGAAAATTATCTTACTGAGAAGGGAAATGAAAGAAACGTGAAATTTCCCCCAGAACACCCCGTAGAGAATGATGTTACACAAACTGTAAGTTCTTTCTCATTGCCAGCCTCTTCAAGATCAAAAAAATTGTGTGATGTTACAACAGGACTTAAAATACACGTGTCCATTCCAAATAGAATTCCCAAAATTGTAAAAGAAGGTGAAGATGATTACTACACAGATGGAGAGGAAAGCAGTGATGATGGGAAGAAATACCATGTGAAGTCCAAGTCCGCTAAACCATCTACTAACGTTAAAAAAAGCATAAGGAAAAAGTATTGCAAAGTTAGCTCCTCTTCCTCCTCCTCTTTATCTTCCTCATCTTCAGGTTCAGGTACAGATTGTTTAGATGCAGGGTCTGATAGCCATCTATCTGATTCGTCTCCGTCATCTAAGTCATCTAAGAAACATGTATCTGGTATAACCCTCCTGTCACCAAAACACAAGTATAAATCAGGAATAAAATCGACAGAAACACAGCCTTCAAGTACTACACCAAAATGTGGCCACTACCCTGAGGAGTCTGAAGATACTGTGACTGACGTAAGTCCCTTATCAACTCCAGACATTAGCCCTCTTCAGTCTTTTGAACTGGGCATAGCAAATGATCAAAAAGTGAAAATTAAAAAGCAAGAAAATGTGAGCCAAGAAATATATGAAGATGTTGAGGATTTGAAAAATAATTCAAAATATTTGAAAGCAGCCAAAAAAGGGAAAGAAAAACATGAGCCTGATGTCTCCTCAAAGTCGTCTTCAGTGTTAGACTCCAGTTTAGACCACAGACATAAACAGAAAGTCTTACATGACACAATGGATCTGAATCATCTCTTGAAAGGTAATTTTCTTTTCTTCTTAAAAATGTGTGTTTAAATATTATATATTGGGCATAAATATTAAATGCTATGAATTTGCATTGATCTAGTAGATATTTTTTATTGTTGGGAATGATTGATATTATTAGTAACTTTACCAAATACTCTATTTTACCATAAAAATATCTAGAATATCGTTTGTATTATTTTGTATAGTAATTTGTGTTTGTATAATACAAATTTTATTTTAGTGCCTTAAAAACTCAGAATGTCTAGAGGAAACAGATGGATAAGATAAATGAGAGAAGGGTAGCCAGATGTTTTTCCACTTTTGATAGAGACACGGACATATTTCACTTTCTTCTTTAAGAAAGGCAGCAGTGCTCAGGTTAACACCTGATGTGGCGTCCTCATATCAGGGACAGTGGCAAGAATGCTGGCAAATGAGAGAACTCAGAGTAAACTAAAGAGGACTCTTCAGACTTTTAAGTTAAAGGCTAAAGAGCATTACTTAAAAATAATTACCAAATTGATGAAAAACATTAAGTTGCTTTAAGATAATAAGGTATTTTTGAATTAGAGTAGTCTTTTTGCTTTGTTTCTTATCAGTTTATTATTATTTATATTTAGTTTGAAAGTAACAATTTTCCAGTTCAAATAAAAGCAACTTCAAAGTTTATCTTTGGATTAGTTAATAGAACTAATAATACTGGGTGGGTTTTAGGTCCGTTGATGATAAAGTTTTTAAATTGTAAATAGAATTCTCTGTCTTCCTGTTTGAAATGTTAGTCTTTAACTAGATAAATTGCATATGGTAGCAATGTAAGGGCATAAACACCTTGTTAGTAGAAAATGGTCAAATTGACAGTGTATTTAGGAGCAGTTCACACTTGATGTTGCCACTTTTGTAGGTTTTGTTTTTTGTTTTTGAGATAAGGTCTTTCTCTGTCATCCAGGCTGGAGTGAAGTGGCGTGACCACAGCTCACTGCAGCCTTGACCTCCTGGGCTTAAGTAATCCTCCTGCCTCAGCCTCCTGAGTACCTAGGACCACAGTCATGCCCCACCACACCTGGCTAATATTTTTTATTTTTGTAGAGATGAGGTTTCACTATGCTGCGCGGGCTGCGTCGAACTCCTGGCCTCAAGCAAACCTCCTACCTCAGCGTCCCGAAGGGCTGGGATTATGGGTGCACGCCACTGCATCTGGCCCTTTTGTAGGTATTTTTTCCCCCTTTCTCTGATTGTACCTATTGATTTTTCTCCCTTTCTCTGATTGTACCTATTGATTGTTTAGAGTCTCTGAAAAATCACACTCTTATTGGCTAAGTCTTCACCCCATAAATCTTTCCTAATAAATGCTCATTCAGACTCTCAGAACTTTCAGCATTAAAGAGTTTTCTATTCATGCCCTCAATTCCTCCCATAAGAACTAAAGTGATCTTTTGCAAAGTAAAAAAAAAGTAAATCAATCCTATTAGTTTCCACTCTTCAGTGACTTACTCTTATATTAAAATAATACCTGGCCAGGAGCAGTGGCTCACACCTGTAATCCTAGCACCTTTGGAGGCCAAGGTGGGCAGATCGCTTGAGGTCAGGAGTTTGAGAGCAGCCTGGCCAACATGGCAAAACCCCGTCTCCGCAAATAATACAAAAAATGAGCCGAGCGTAGTGGCACACGCCTGTATTCTCAGGTACTCGGGAGGCTGAGGCATGAGAATTGCTTGAGCCTGGGAGGCGGAGTTTGCAGTGAGCTGAGATTGTGCCACTGCACTCCAGCCTGGATGACAGAGCGAGACTCCCATCTCAAAAAAAAAAAATGTATATATGTGTATATATATATATGAAGCCAGGTGTGGTGGCACATACCTATAATCCCAGCTACTTTGAAGGCTGAGGCTAGAGGGTCCCTTGAGTCCCACCTAGGCAACATAGTGAAACCCTGGATGTTATTATTAAAATAATAATAATAGCGGCCGAGCACGGTGCTCACGCCTGTAGTCCCAGCACTTTGGGAGGCTGAGGCAGGCGGATCACGAGCTCAAGAGATCAAAACCATCCTGGCCAATGTGGTGAAACCCCATCTCTACTAAAAATACAAAAATTAGCTGGGCGTGGTGGCAGGCGCCTATAGTCCCAGCTACTCAGGAGGCTGAGGCAGGAGAATTGCTTGAACCCAGGAGGTGGAGGTTGCAGTTAGCCGAGATCACGCCACTGCACTCCAGCCTGGCGACAGAGCGAGACTCCGTCTCAAAAAAATGATAATAGTAATAATATCTGAATTCCTTGTTATTGCCTAACAGACTCCAGATCAGTAATTCTCATCCCAGGCAGTGCATTAATATCACCTAGAGAACTCTTAAAACAAATACTGATGCCTAGGCTCTGCACACAGGGATTCTGATGCATTTGGTCTAGTATGCTGTTGAGATTGGTGACAACCATTGCTGTACGTTGTATGGATATTGCTGGCCTTTTCGACCTGATGTTGAATTACTGAGTTCCAGTCACACTTTGTTGTTGTTGCCGCTCCTGTTGTAAGGACACTCCGGGTTTTTTCCCGTTGGTGAGGCACTTGCATTGCTGTGGCCCTTTTTCTTTGCAGAGGGCTCTGCTTCTCCCTGTTTCTCAAGTCTCTGCCAGGGAGAGCCTTTTTCTAGACATCTATCTTTGGGAGCTTTACACTCCCCATGCCTCTCTGTGTCGCAAAAGCTTGTTTCTCTCCATCGGGATACTTACTAGACTCTGAAATTAGTTAGTTTGCTTGTGTGTCCCATTGCAGTGAATGAAGGCAGGATCTTATTTCTTGTTGGAATTTCCAAATACAGGCACATAATAGACAGTATTTGTAGACTGAAGGGACTGTCAGGAAACTGCTTCTGTTGCACAGCTGTGCTGGTTAGGAAACATATTTCATATGTTCATGGAAATTTCATTTTATAACAGTTGCCCATTCCTGTTAAAACTTGCCATCTGAAATACATAGAATAAGTCTGTGCATCCTTCTGCATTATAATCTTTAAGACATTTGATTAATATTCTCCCCTGGGTAAAATCTCCAATTTTTAATCAAGCCATCTGGGGTAACAATTTTCTTGTAATTCTTTTTTCTTATAATTCTTATGGCCACTTTCCAGTCTGTGTGTTCATTAGTTAAGCTAGAGCATACGATTCGCTAGGTGGATGATTTATTGGGTTGACAGACAGCAGGCTGCAGCTCTCTCCTGCTCTTCTGGATTTCCAGCACCAACCTCAAGTGCTCTAACACAACGATTTTTAAACATTTTGGTCTTAGGACACTTTTACATTCATAAAAGTTATTGAGGATTCTGAAGAGCTTTTGTTTATATAGGTTATAGCTTATATCTGTAAATATTTACCATATTAGAAATTACACATTTTTAAAATATTGATTTGTTTAATAGTAGTAATAAACTCATTATGTAGTTGCCATATAATGTAAGTAATGTATGTCATGAAAAAGGTGTATATCCAAAAAAATTAGTGATTTTTGCTAATCACTAGCATCTGGTTTAATAGAATGTAGCTGGATTCTCAAATCAGCTTCTGCTTATAATCTATTATAATCTATATATCATTGGCTAAAGGATGTATAGAAAATATGCCATATGCAAAATGTTCAAAAATGAAGGAGTATTTTAATAACCTTTTCAGTTACTTGTGGATTTTTTTATACCACAAGTCGTATTTTCTTTTCTGTTGTTGTTGTTTTTTGAGACAGAGTCTCACTCTGTTGCCCAGGCTGCAGTGCAGTGGCGCGAGCTTGGCTCACTGCAACCTCTGCCTCCCGGGTTCAAGCAATTCTCCCACCTCAGCCTCCTGAGTAGCTGGGATTACAGGCGCCCTCCACCACGCCTGGCTAATTTTTGTATTTTTAGTAGAGACGGGGTTTCACCATGTTGGTCAGGCTGGTCTGGAACTCCTGACCTCAGGTGATCCACCTGCTTCGGCCTCTCAAAGTGCTGGGATTACAGGTGTGTACCACCTCGCCTGGCCCACAAGTAATAGTTTCTTAGATGTTAGTTGCAATGTGAAATCTGAAATTAATCTCAGTTAACTTTTAATCGTGAATTTCAAGTCTGTTATGTTAAAACATATTGATCTTTCTTGATTGATTTTTAATGTATATTTTACCTATGCCTGGTTTTGGAATGTGACATATTGGGTATTTGGAAAATATTGTTTCACTGAGCTTACAAATGTTGGCAGGCCAGGTACAGTGGCTACGCCTGTCATCCCAGCACTTTGGGAGGCAGACGTAGGCAGATCACTTGAGCCCAGGAGTTTGAGACCAGCCTGGGCAACATGGTGAAACCCTGTCTCTACAAAAAATACAAAAATTAGCTAGGCATGGTGGTGTGTGCTACTGTAGTCCCAGCTGCGGGGGGAGGTTGAGATAGGAGGATCTCTTGAGCCAGGGAGTTGGAGGTTGCAGTGAACTGAGATCACGCCACTCCATTCCAACCTAGGAGACAGAGTAAGACCCTGTCTCAAAAAAAAAAAAAAAAAAAAAGGTTGGCAAATTTCAGAATACATTATATAGAAATCATAGTTGTTAATATCACTACCAGCCTCATCAGAAAGCTCTTGAGAAGCTGTCAAACTCATGGTGGCAGATACAAGTTTACCTAAAATACTATTTTTTGCTAAAAAGCTCAAATTTTATTATTGGTAATAAATACTGTCAACTGTTTTCCTTGAAGTGACAGAATTGTTCTTTAAAATTATATTTGTAATGCAAAAATTGGATGGTGGTTGAAATTAAATCATAAAATATCATGAGATAATGCAGATTGCTCACTAATATTGTGTAATAACATATATCTTGATATATTTGCCTTTTTTCTTGTGCATCAAATTTCTATTGCTGCATTGCTCTTCGTTCATAATTCTTACTGTGATTTGTATGTGTTGAACCCATTTCCTGTTCAGAAAAAAAAAAGTACAGCTCACTGCCAGCACTCATTTCTTGGGGCAAATGGGAAACGTGTTAAAAAGTTGCAGCCTATTGTTTGGCATTAAAAAGTATTGTTCTTATAAAATTAGGTTAAAAATGGGTTGAAAAGAGAAATGTTCTAGAAGATAAATTAAAATGTTCAATATGTCTAGTGGGCTTTATTTTTTAAATATGGGCTTGTTTGACTAAATCATAATTTTTATTTTTAAGGGGACACTTCCGTTTTTTAAAATCTTGTAAGTACTATTTGTTCCCACAAATTATAAACCCCACTGTATCCTAGGAAAGAGGATTAAAAAACGAGCATACAAAAGGAAGGTATTGTTTCAGCCAATAAAAAGCTTCTTACAGGAAGAAAACACTCAACTCTTAGAATTGTCAAGTTTTTAAAAACCATCTAATAGAAAATAGTCTGATTTCTGGGCTTTTTGTTCAGAGTCATCAGTGATTATCCAGGATTTTGAATACAAGAAGGGAATTCCGAATGAAACAATATTTCTCATATAACAGGTCACCCAAAGACACGCTAGACTTCAGGGTTGATTGAGTGGCTCAAAACTTCATCAGGGACCTACTTTCTAGCACTGTGTTCCTCCAGCCCTGGTGTTGGCTTCGTTCTTAGGCTGCTAGGAGATGTCTGCAGCCGTTTTCAGTGTTCACCTTCAGACACAACAGTGTCCAGAGGAAGAGACAGTGTCTCTTCTCTGACTCTTGGAATGGAGGAAACTTCTTAAAGAAATTTGGCCCAGTCAACATCCACATAGGTCTCCTTGCCCAGAACTGGTTACGCTCCCATTCCCGAACCAGTCGTTGGTAGGGGAAATGGGATTATCCTGGGCCAAGCAGGCTCACCCTGGAAGTCAGGGATCTGTGAAGTAGGAGGAAAATAGATATACAGTAATTGGGCAGCCAACTTTGTCCAAGAGAGCTTCTCAAACTTCAGTATGCATACGGTTAACCCAGGGATACTGTTAAAATGCAGATTTGGGTTCAGTAAAACTAAGGTAAGAGCTAAATCGGCATTTCTAATCAGCCCCTACTGGTGATACCCGTGCTGCAGATCTAGGGACCATGGTCTGAATATCAAGACACTGAGTAAACTATTTGGTTCCATTGAAAATAAAGCATTCTTCACTCTTCCTGTCTAACCCATTTCTGAAACTTAATTAGATATAGAGAACCTAAATATTTTTAACTTTTAAATAAGAAAAATAATCCTACCCCAAACTCCTGAACAGTTCCCCAATTATAATTAAATTGAAATACTGTTAAAAAGCATTTAACACAGATGCTGAGCTAAAATGTAGAAGGGAAGCTTTATTCATAGTACTGCATAGTAAAGAACCCCTGATAGAAGAGATTTGCCAGTAGGTGGCGCTCAGGGCTTTTTAAGGCGCAGGAACAAACATGGCATTTTGCCAGTTGGTACATCTGTTATTGGAGTCCATAATATAACAATCCACCAAGGATTCTTCATAATAATAAAGCATTTTAAACACTAATTAGGACTGTCAGTCTATTATATAAGGTATTGCAATCATTTTTCAAAATTATCATTCATGCTCGATTTACACAGTGAAGCATTTCAGATCCAAAATTATTTTCCTATGTTTTCTTTATTTTCCACCATATAACTGCAACTGTGGTCATGGTAGGTGGATATGAATGCAGAGCCAGGCTTGTGCCTTTTCTGCATTCATCTCTCAATACACTTTATCACTTCTAACTTACACTAAATAAGCTTTTCTAGGCTGCTTTGGCTTACCTAATTTCTTCACTGCCTTTTCTACTTCCTGGAACATAAATCCACTTAGTATGGGGAGGATGATGGTGAAGACAACATGTGAGCCCATCAGAGCACAGCTGAGGCAGGAATGCAGCATACTCTCTGCATCCTTTCAGTTTAAACATTTTCACGGACTTCAGTACAGAGGTTCGGTAAACCAGTTTACTGCTTAAGGTAGTGAATACTAAGTAAAAAATTTTGCAAGTTAACAGCCATATTAGGTGAGAGTTCAGATAATGAGGGATACCTGTATAGCCAACCACATCAACATTTTATTGGTTTAAAAGAACCTTTTTTTTTTTTTGAGACGGAGTCTTGCTCTGTCACCCAGGCTAGAATGCAGTGGCGCAATCTCAGCTTACTGCAGCCTCCACCTCCCGGGTTCAAGTGACTCTCCTGCCTCAGCCTCCCGAGTAGCTGGGATTACAGGCGGGCACCACCACGCCCAGCTAATTTTTGTATTTTTAGTAGAGACGGGGTTTCACCATGTTGGCCAGGCTGGTCGTGAACTCCTGACCTCAGATGATCCGCCCGTGTCAGCCTCCCAAAGTGCTGGGATTACAGGCATGAGCCACCACGCCCAGCCCGTTTGTTGTTTATGAAATAGAAATTTGAACTATAAAATATTAAGCCTATGAAACAAAGATTGATAAAAGAATGTAAAATTGAATCTACCAGTATAGGGCATGGAATGACGAGACAGTGTTGAACCAAGGTAAAGACAGTTTTGAAAGTGGAATAAAACTTAGGCTTCTGGGTGTTACCGACATGATCACAAACAAGACAGCAACTGTTCTGAGCTTCAGGCACTCTATTTGTAGGAGGAGATTGTTGATATAGGTTGCTAGGGTCCATTCTAACTTCAGAGTTCTTCGGGTTCTGTGAGAAATAGTGGAAGAAGGGAAGACCATTGCATAGTGGCAGTATTAGATACAGGACTTTGAAGTGGATCTTGAAAGATTAGTCGAATTTCTGAATATTCAACCTCTTTTAGCTCAAGGGTGGCTGACTTGGGGAATTTTCCACCTCCATGCAAAGCTGCCTTTGCTATGTAAATGTCAAAAAATGGTTGGAATTAGATCCTTCATCTTGACCTGTAAATCCCTGAATAGGCAGAGAGGGCATTAAAAAAATGGAGTAGTAAACAGAAGTTTAGACATCAAGTTATGGTATGAATCTCACCGATTTGGAGAGCATTGAAGACGTTGACCACACTAGATTTAAAGGTATGTTTCATATTTTGTATAGGTAAAATTAGGTCACTTTAAAAAGAATCTGAAACAGCAAAAATTTAAAATATTTTAGAAATACATGGCCTCAAAATCTACTATATAAACTATGAAATAATCACTACAGGATGTATTTTGAGAAGAAAAATAAATACAAGAAATGGGATTGAAGAAGCATTGATGAGCAAAGAAACTGGTTAAATTTTTTGCTAAAGTGATACCAACGTGTGAGGGATTGAAGTGAAGTGCCTTGTTCAAGGGAAGATACAGACCCTGTTATGCTCCATAAGAAAGGAGATGCCCATACTGAGATTAGCTACCAGCACGTCCTGCCTGGCAGCACATTTTATCCTTTCTTCCTGGCAAACTGCAGGAAATCTCAATGCCCTCAACACACTACCAAGTATTGCCAAACATTTAAGAAAAGCAAAAACCAACAGAGAGGCACCAGACTCATAGCTGAAGAATGTAATACTTCAAACTCTTAAAAGAGCAAGCTTGATGATTTTAGGATCTTTGAGGACAAAACTGTTTTCACTAAGACTATGCCGGCTGGGTGTGGTGGCTCATGCCTATAATCCCAGCACTTTGGGAGGCCGAGGCGGGCGGATCACCTGAGGTCGGGTGTTCGAGACCAGCCTGACCAACATGGAGAAACCCTGTCTCTACTAAAAATACAAAATTAGCCGTGCGTGGTGGCACATGCCTGTAATCCCAGCTACTCGGGAGGCTGAGGCAGGAGAATGGCTTGAACCTGGGAAGCGGAGATTGCAGTGAGCCAAGATCGCGCCATTGCATTCCAGCCTGGGCAACAAGAGCAAAACTCCGTCTCAAAAAAAAAAAAAAAAAAAAAAGTATGATTATGCCTTGATTTGCTTTTTATTTAATTAATTTTTTTTTATTTTTATTTTTTTTGAGACGGAGTCTCGCTCTGTTGCCCATGCTGGAGTGCAGTAGTGCAACCTCCGCCTTCCTGGTTCAAGCAATTCTCGTGCCTCAGCCTCCCCAGTAGCTGGGATTACAGGTGTGTGCCACCATGCCTGGCTAATTTTTGTATTTTTAGAGTATTTTGTCTGCAGACAAAAGTCTGCAGAGACAAGGTTTTAAGCCAGGCATTAAACGACTTGCAAAACAAACTCTGCCACTCGCTGACTTTTTAAAATAAAAATGTTATGTTCACATATAATTGGTTTATTATTTTTAGAGGAATTAATATCTTTAAAACAATTTCTAGCATGGTAACTATTGGTAGATGTAACCCACATACACATTCTTTGGGGTCCTCAGTCTTTAGGGGGGGTGTTAAGGGGTCCTGAGGTTTAGGAGAATGGAACTAGAATAGGTGATTAGACTATTCATAATGCTACAAACTTTTGGAGAAAATCTTAGAGAAAAAAGTTTTTAACTTAGTCAATCTCCCAAAATAGAAAAGAATGAGAAAAAACAGTAACAAAACTTCAGTTAAAGATTACAGGAAAAAAGTACAAAGAATGCAAGTGGGTGGTTGGGTAGTTTTAACTTACCAGAAGATACTATCAGAGCATATTAAAAAAAATACAGAAGTATTACTTAGGCTTAAAAATGAAGGAAATTCTGACATAATGCTACATGGGTGAACCGTGAGGACATTATGCTAAGTGAAATAAGGCAATCTCAAAAAGACAAATAAGTGCTGTATGATTATATGAGATGCTTGGAGTGGTCGAAATTATAGAGACAAAGCTTCCAGAGGCGAAGGGAAGGGAGCAATGGGGAGTCAGAGTTTAATGGATACAGAATTTGTTTTACACAATGGAAGGAGTTTTGGAAACTGGTGGTGGTGATGGTTACACAATATGAATGTATTCGGTACCACTGAACTGTATACTTAAAAATGGTTAACGTGGTAAATTTTGTGTTCCGTGTATTTTGCCACAATAAAAAAATAAAACACTAGCCCTGTCTGATAGGGTTTCTGTTATGCTAAATATGAGTGCTCAGTATATGCCAACAGAATTGGGAAAAAAATAAACAACATTCAGCCTAAAAAGATATTTAAAATAGTATAGGAAGAATGAAAATAAGGGCTAGAAAAATACATGCCAATATCTCCTTTAACAAGGAGAAAGTAAAACTTATCAATCCTATTAATATACAACATAGAACTCAAGATGTGAACATCACTAAAAGAGATAGAGAAGGGTGTTTCACATTAGTAAATGGGTCAAATACACTAAAAAGATAAAATTCATTGATTTGAAATGTATGATAAAGGCAAAATAGAACTGGAAAATAACATTTGGGAAGCCACATCACCATGGAAGCATTGATAATCAATTTAAACCAAATAACAACAAAAACTAGCATCTGCTTGTGGGATGCTCTTGGCCACAGGTATTTTGTCACACAATGCTTTTTTAAAAGTGATGAACTAATCAGCTACTACTGCATGACAGATTACCCCAACACTTAGGGAATAGAGAGACCCAAAGGTAGAGGTGACTCAGTGGCCGGGACTACAGTCAACCCAGTGCTGTGTTTTCACATCAGGTGCCTGGGCTTGGTACAGCCTGAAGGCCAGAACCCAAGGGCCCATGTGGGGTTCTCCATGTGGCCTGGCTTCCTCACGTCTCAGCCATAGGGTAGTTGGACTTCTTACATGGTGGCTCAGGATTCTAAGCACGTGTGTTCCAGGAAACAAGGCAGAAACCTCATTGCCTTTTATGACCTAGCCTCAAAAGTCACATAGCATCATTTCTTTCATGCTCTATTGGTTGAAATGGTCATAAACCCTCCCAGATTTAACGCAAAAGGGCATAAACCTCTACTTCTTAATGGGAGGAGTGTCAAATAATGTAAATTATAATAATCTTTAATTTAAAGATTTTATATCTTAAAATCTCTTCAGTCCAACTTCCGGCCACAGATTTATTAACATTCTTCCCATATGCAAGAATGCATTCGCTCTTTCCACAGATGCCCCTAACTTGAGATCCAGGATGTCAGTCGGGTCCAGCTGCAGCTGAGATTCCTCAGGTGTTGGTTTCTCAGCCATGGCTCTTTGAGTACTTTGAGAATCTCCTGGGAAAGACTAGGGATGAGGAGCAGTTTTACTTTTAAACCCCGTTAAGTCTTGGCTCTTTTATATTCTTTCTAAATTTTGCTTGAAAACTGGCCAGTTCTTTTTATGATTTTTTTAGCGCCCCTCTCTTTGTCCGTTCTTACTGTGGGTAAAATAAACCACTGGTGCTCTGAGCGTTCTGCTTGGGGGTCTGCTGGGCCAGATCTACCAGTGTGGTCGTTAGTTTCTCTATTTCCCTTAACACCGCAAGCACAGGGTCGCTGGACATTTTGCCATTTCATCCCCTCAGACTTCATCAACAGCCTTCTCCAGGCCCTTGCAGCTCTGCCGGCCACCAGGTCCCAAAGCTGGTCCACCTGTGCTAAGTCTGTTCCAGGAGCACCTCATTTCCTGTGCCATGGTTAGGCACTTTGATCCTGCTCTTTGAGTCTTTGCAGGTTGCTGCTTCACACAACTAAGTCTTGTGGTGATGTGTTAGCAGAGCAGTAGTAACTAATATAAAATAGAGAACATTTCCATCATCCTAGAAAATTTGCTTCATGCTGCCCTTTGATCAAAACCCACCCTTCAGCCTGGTGCAGTGGCTCATGTCTGTAATCCCAGCACTTTGGGAGGCCGAGGCAGGTGGATCACCTGAGGTCAGGGGTTCAAGACCTGGCCAACATGATGAAGCCCCCATCTCGACGAAAAATACAAAAATTAGCCGGGCGTGGTAGTGGGCGCCTGTAATCCCAGCTACTCAGGAGGCTGAGGCAGGACAATCGCTTGAACTGGGGAGGCAGAGGTTGCAGTGAACCAAGATCACGCCACTGCACTCCAGTCTGGGCGACAGAGCAAGACCCTGTCTCAAAAAAAAAAAAAAAAAAAAAAAAAGACAAAAACCGTTAGGGGAAAATAGCTTACTATTAATTTCCTTTAGAATTGAATTTTAAAGGGCTTATAATCTAGAAGCCTTGTTCTACAAAATGCGTATTTCTTGGAGGCAAGATAATTTCACATGTTTTATGCATCTAAGTCTGTTTCTCTAAATGTTTCTCATTCAGGTTTTGTCACTAACTTGGCATACTTTTCAGCAAATTACCAATCATTAATTTCTTCATTTTCCTACCAGGAAGCCACTGTTAATTATTTTTTAAAATTTTCTGTAACCTTTAATAGTCTTTGGTTTAAATGTAGGGAAGTAGAGTTACAATTTTTGTGACCTTGCCCAAGTGATGTAACTTTTCTATACCATACTTACTTTATTTATTTTTTATTTATTTATTTTGTTTTATTTTTGAGATGGGAGTCTTGCTCTGTCGCCCAGGCTGGAGTGCACTGGCATGATCTCCGCTCACTGCAACCTCTGCCTGCTGGGTTCAAGCGATTCTCCTGCCTCAGCCTCCTGAGTAGCTGGAATTACAGGTGTGTGCCACCACGCCCAGCTAATTTTTGTATTTTTAGTAGAGACGGGGTTTTGCCATGTTGGCCAGGCTGGTCTTGAACTCCTGACCTCAGGTGATCTACCCATCCCTGCCTTCCAGAGTGCTGGGATTACAGCTGTGAGCCACTGTGCCTGGCCCATACTTATTTTTAAATAGGGGATTAAAAATGTCCCAGCATAAAATGCTAAACATGTTTAAAAAATTAACATAAGGATAGTCAAACAAAAACAAATAATGGTTACTTAATCTGATATCGTGTATTCCTTTTTTTTTTTTGGAGACAGAGTCTTACTCTGTTGCTCAGGCTGGAGTGCAATGGCGCAATCTCGGCTCACTGCAACCTCTGCCTCCTGGGTTCAAGCAATTCTCCTGCCTCAGCCTGCTGAGTAGCCGAGATTACAGGTGCACACCGCCAAGCCAGGCCAATTTTTTGTATTTTAGTAGGGATAGGGTTTCACCATGTTGTCCAGGCTGATCTCGAACTCCTGACCTCAGGCAATCCACCTGCCTCAGCCTCCCAAAGTGCTGGGATTACAGGCTGAGCCACCGCGCCTGGCCTCAGTGTGTCCCTTTTTAGTACATACTTAACCTGAAACATTCAGCAAGTTTAATACTTTTGGATGTTTTCTACAAATGTTTAGTAGTAATTGCACTTATTGATAATTATAATATGGAAATTTAAGAAATAAGCATGTTGATAAAAATTATAGTATGCAAAATATTGTTGCTAGCTAAAAACACCTTTCTGTTTAATCAGGAATAAAATGTTTGACTTTTACAGTAGAAGTATTTGCTTTAATGGCAATATTAAGATTTATAAATCCAGCATCTTTTCTGGTTAAGTTGAGAGTTTTGGAATATTCGGAGTTACTTTTTGCCATTGTTTCCCTCAGTCATTGCTGAGGACATTTTTTTGGAAGTATGCCCTCCAACTAAGAAAAGCTGTACCTAAATTAAGTATTGTATTAGTGCCCTCAACTCTGAGGTTTCTAACCTTTCCAGCTATTAAACTGCAGTCGGGAAGGATAAAATTGATATAACAAAGGCATTGTCTGTAAATTATACTAGCCTAAAGACCAGTACTATATACATTTTTAAAGATACTTTCATTGTTTCGTGTGTAGCTTTTATGCCCAAGGAACCCGGTGAGCATAAAATACTAAGCTACGTCCAATTTTTTTCTACAAAGTTGTAATCTAGATGTCATTAGTATTATTTCATACATACTTTTTCTTGAATTTAATACATATTTTTAAGGGTTAAAGCATGTACCACCGGGCCAGGCACAGTGGCTCACACCTGCAATCCCAGCACTTTGGGAGGCTGAGGTGGGTGGATCACCTGAGGTCAGGAGTTCGAGACCAGCCTGGGCAACATGGTGAAACCCTGTCCCTACTAAAAATACAAAAATTAGCCAGGCATGGTGGTGGATGCCTGTAATCCCAGCTAGTCTGGAGGCTGAGGCAGGAGAATCGCTTGAACCCAGGAGGCGGAGGTTGCAGTGAGCTAAGATTGTCCCATTGCACTCCAGTCTGGGTAACAAGAGTGAAACTCCGTCTAAAAAGAGAAAAAAAAAAAAAGCATGTACCACATACTTACTTTGGCCATTTTCTCTTTTTTTTTTGTTCTTTTCTGTAGCTTTTCTGCAATTAGATAAAAAAGGACCACAAAAACATCACTTTGATCAGCCTTCAGTAGCACCCGGGAAAAACTACTCTTTCACAAGAGAAGAGGTGAGACAGATCGATCGGGAAAATCAGAGGCTTTTGAAAGAACTGTCAAGACAGGCGGAAAAGCCGGGAAGCAAAAGTACAATTCCTAGATCGGCTGATCATCCCCCAAAGTTATATCACAGTGCTCTCAACAGACAGAAGGAACAACAAAGGATTGAGAGAGAAAACTTGGTAAGTAACTGAAATAATTAGTCATCAAAGAAAATGTGTTTGCACTGATTTGTATGTCCAGCTTACAGGAAACCTAAATACAGCCAAATATTCAAACTTCATTACATAAAAGCAGGTGCGGTATGTGTGGTATGAAACATATGATGTGCTGTAAGTCCGGAGGATACGATATGTATTTTTATCCAGGAAACTATATATTAAGAGACCACTGGCCAGATGCAGTGGGTCACGCATATAATTCTAGCACTCTGGGAGGCCGAGGTGGGCAGATCGCTTGAGGCAAGGAGTTTGAGACCAGATTGCACAATCTGGCAAAACCCCAGCTCTACCAAAAATGCAGAAATTAACTGGGCATGGTGGGCATGGTGGCACACACCCGTGGTCCCAGATACTTGGAAAGCTGAGGTGGGAGGAGCATCTGAACCCGGGAGGCGGAGGTTACAGGGAGCCGAGATTCTACCACTGGACTCCAGCCTGGGCAACAGAACCAGACTCCACCTCAAAAAAAGAAAAGAGAAGAAAAAAGAGAGAGAGAGAGAGAGAGAGAAGGAGACCATTAAAGGAAAATACTGAAAGCTCCATTATTTATTTGCCTAGATCAGTTAAATCACTACAGTAGAACAGGAAATGGTATCCAAGTGTTTCTTCTGTGAAGTATTCAGTCACTAGTGAAATCTCTTTTACTTTATTGTGTCCTGGAAAGCTAAAATAAATTGTACATCACTTATTTTAAAGGATCAGTATATCTCGAATAGGCCAAATTGCTAATCTGCTACTTAAATGTATGAAACATTGATTGTTACAAATCATATAGTTTGATATTATAAGAAAATAAATATGGGAACTGTTGAAAATCTTCACATTTAAAACTATTATAGCATATTTTCTTCATAAGATTTAGTTCATAATAATTGCTGATATTTACTGAGCTTTTACTAAACACTAGGCATTGTTCTGAGTATCTTCCAAATATTAACTTATTGAATCCTGACAACAATTCTCTGAAGTAGATAACTATTTTTATCCACATCTCACGATGAAAAAACTGAGGGTTAGACAGGTTAAATATTTAGCACAGAGCTACTGAGTATGCTGCTGAGCCAAGATTTTAAACCTGGGTAGTCTCTTAAACTAGAATTAGACCCTTAATGAACACGTAAACTCAGAGCTAAAATAATTTAGAAAGCTATTAAAATTATTAAGACCATTTTCAAAATTAACCCTCCTTATGTGTCATTACCAGTGTTTTCCTGTGTAACCATATACTTACCTAAACTTGTAACAACTCTTTTGTACATTTCTTTATTATCATACTAACCCCAAGAGTTGGGAAGCTAGGATTACTATTTATAAAAAATAGTAGTCTTGAACCCTTCAAGAGGATTACCCTGCATGTGGCAAGGAACAGATAACTAAGCTAGGTGAAATGAGGTCGGTGGGAGCTGAGATAGATGATAGCTTTCCACACATCACCTTCGCAGTATTCAAGATTTGTTCATGTTTCGTGGAAATTTGAAATTCCCGTATGTCAAAAACATATGGGATTACTTCCTTTGTTTTCACTCTCACACCTGGCTCTGGGCCGATCGCATTTAATAAGAAATTACATTGTGCATACTATTTTACAAGTGTTAGGCATTAAGTCCTGATAGCAATCTTATAGTTATTGTAGTTACAGAAGAGTAAAAGAGACACTGAGTGGGGCACAGGGACTTACTCAAGGTCACACGGCTAGCAGGTGTCAGAGCCCAGGTGCAAATCCAGGTTGCCTAGCTTTGGGGTTACCTTTTTTTTTAACCAGCTTTATTGAGATATAATTCACATACCATTACCCATTTAACGTGTACACATTCAATGGTTTTGGTATATTATTAAGTTGTAGTAATGTATATATAACTTAAAATTTGCCATTTTAACAGTTTTTAAGTGTCTAATTCAGTGGCATTAAGCATATCCACAGTGTTGTACAACTGTCACTACCATCTATTTCTAAAACGTTTTCATCACTTCATACAGATGCTGTGCTTATTAAACAACTCTCCTTTCCCCACCCCTATCCTCTAAGGGCATCTAGTCTGCTTTCTGTCTCTATGAATTCGGCTATTCTAAATATTTCATATGAGTAGAACTGTACAATATTTGTCCTTTTGTATCTGGTTTATTTCACTTAAAATGTTTTCATGTTTCATCTATGTTGTAGCATGTATCAGAACCTAATTCCTTTTTATGGCTGAATACTATTCCATTGTAGGTGTAGACCTAAGCTATAGTGAATAATACTGAAGTGAATATTGGCAACTATCTGTTCATGTCCCTGCTTTTAGTTCCTTAAGGCCACATAGAGTAGAATTCCTGGGTCATATGGTAATTTTGTGTTTAGCTTTTTAAGGAACCTGGGTTTACTTTTTTTTTTTTTTTTTTTTAAGAGACGGAGTCTGGCTCGTCACCAGGCTGGAGTGCAGTGACGTGATCTCGGCTCACTGTAACCTCTGCCTCCCAGGTTCAAGCGATTCTCCTGCCTCAGCCTCCTGAGTAGCTGGGACTGCAGGCGCCTGCTACCATGCCTGGCTAATTTTTTGTATTTTTAGTAGAGATGGGGTTTCACCGTGTTAGCCAGGATGGTCTCGATCTCCTGACCACATGATCCTCCCTCCTCTGCCTCCCAAAGTGCTGGGATTACAGGCGTGAGCCACTGTGCCCGTTGACTTTGATTATTTTTCTATTTAAAAAATCCTATTAGTCCAGGCCTGGTGACTCATGCCTGTAATATAAATCTAATTATTTATATTGGAGCCTGTTTGACAGTCTTAAATACTACCTTCCTGACCAGAAGTATGGTCTTAACCATACTGCAAGCCTTCTCATACTCAACCTTAAAAAGAGCCACATTTGCTCTTTGAGTGTGAGCCAATGCTTTTTTTTTTTTTTTTTTTTTGTAGAGATGGGATCTCACTTTGTTGCCCAGGCTGGTCTCAGACTCCTGACCTCAGGCAATCCTTCTGCCTTAGCCTCCTAAAGTGCTGGGATTACAGGTGTGAGCCACTGCACCCAGGCTGATAGACTTTTTAATCTGTTTGCTAGACTGTTAATATTCAAAGTACACATGCATATGTTCAGCACACAGAGACACACTTTTGTAGTTATTTCAGTGTCAGATATACTGCAAAACAGAATTCATTCCTTTATATTTTTGATGATTTATATCCTTTCATTTGCTCTCTCTCCAGTGACAGAGAACAATTCAGCTGGCTAACAGACATGATAACTAAAGCATTTCTGTTCCAGAACTCTTACATCAGTGTGTTAGCAATTCAGAGGCTATTTAGATGGAAATAATCCCA
Source organism: Homo sapiens (assembly GCF_000001405.40). Taxonomy (NCBI): domain Eukaryota; kingdom Metazoa; phylum Chordata; class Mammalia; order Primates; family Hominidae; genus Homo; species Homo sapiens. The sequence goes on along the minus strand of NC_000004.12, from coordinate 185,172,444 downwards.
GACAAAGAAGTAGTGTTGTGCAGAAAAGGTAGAGAAGGAAGGCAACGATTGTATAAAACTGACTTCTGTGCTCTAGAGTTAAAAGCATACTGTTCATCTGTCCTGATGAGGTTCAAGATCATCATTATTTGTTTCAATAGGTAGATATTATCCTTCCTCTCATTAAACATTGCATCCAAACAAAAATTAAGGGAATAAAAATTATTCTAGCTTATTAGCCTAGCTTATTAGCAAATTTTAAATTCAGAGAAATGAAAATTTTATCCAATAGAGTGTTTTTATCCAGTAGATAACTTTATCAGTAGACAGCCTCAATTATCATTATAATTTAAATAAAATTAGAATTTTATTACTTGTAAAAAGGGGAGTAATTTTTTAACTCATGAATTCTGAAATATTATTTTTAGCCAGGTACAGTGGCTTATGCCTGTAATCCCAGCATTTTGGGAGGCCAGGGCAGGAGGGTTGCCTGAGCCCAGAAGTTCAAGACAAGCATGGGCAAGCAACATGGTGAGATTCCATCTCTACAAAAAATAAAAAATTAGCCAGGTGTGGTGATGCATGGCTGTAATCCCAGCTGCTCAGGAAGCTGAGGCAGGAGGATTGCATGGGCCTGGGAGGTCAAGGCTGCAGAGAGCCGTGATCACTCCACCTCTGCCTCCTGGGTTCAAGTGATCAGTTCAGCCTGGGTGACAGAGCAAGACCCTATCTCAAAAAAAGAAAGAAATATTCTTGTTAAACCATATCTCTTTCTTTTCACTTGAACTTTTTTCCGAATGAGCATAAGAACAATCTTAGCAGAAGGAGAGGTGGTTAAAGATACTTGGTTGATGGTTTCACTTTACCCTCTAAGAAGAAGTGAGATTATTTCATTCTTTTAAATGTGTGTCAGTGTCCTCAGGTGTGAAAGAATGTTGGGGGAGAGAAGTAATTCAAGCAAAGTTATGGAGGAAGTAAGATTCCTAGAGGAATGTAGTATCAGGGTTGGAGCCTAAAGTTAACTAAATGGAGTTAACTTATTTTCCTTTTTTTACTTTCTAAGATTATGTGTGTAAATAAAATAGTCCTTAGTTATTTCGTTGTTCTTGTTTTGGGGGGATTTTTTTGTTGGCTTTTGGAGATGAGGTCTTGCTGTGTTACCCAGGCTGAACTCCTGGGCTGAAGTGATCCTCCCAGCTCAGCCTCCCGAGTAGCTGGGACTACAAGCGTGTGACACCCCGCCTAGCTCATTAGCAAATTTTAAATTCAGAGAAATGAAAATAAATAGACAATAGCCCATCTTTTCATGTAGAAAAATTGAAACAAACAAATAAATAATGTAATGATGATTTCTGTACCTGTTAGCATAATTTTTCCAGTTAGGAGTTCTCGTGTTAGAATTTTGTTTTAAAAATAAAAGGCATGTATGAATTTAGAAACTTAAGGCAGTTCTTTTTTTTTTTTTTTTTTTTTTTTTTTTTTGAGACAAAGTCTTGCTTTGTCGCCCAGGCTGGAGTAAGTGGCTCAGTCTTGGCTCACTGCAACCTCTGCCTCCTGAGTTCAAGCTATTCTCCTGCCTCAGCCCCCTGAGTAGCTGGGATCACAGGCCTGTGCCACCACACCTGGCTAATTTTTGTATTTTTAGTAGAGACAGGGTTTCACCATGTTGGCCAGGCTGGTCTCAAACTCCTGACCTCAGGTGATCCACCAGCCTCGGCGTCTCAAAGTACTAGGATTACAGGCGAGAGCCACCACACCTGGCCTAAGGCAGTTCATAAAAACATTCAATGAAAAATAGGCTGGCGTGGTGGATCACCTGAGGTCAGGAGTTGGAGACCACCCTGGCTAACATGGCGAAACCCATCTCTACTAAAAATACAAAAAATTAGCCAGGTGTGGTAGTGGGCACCTATAATCCCAGGGCTCCTGTAATCCCAGCTACTCAGGAGGCTGAGGCAGGAGACTCACTTGAACCCGGGAAGCAGAGGTTGCAGTGAGGCAAGATACTCGCCTGGGCAACAAGAGCAAAACTCCGTCTCAATAAATAAGTAAAAAATAAAATTATCCTCTTCTGTGCTTTGTCTGCTAGTATACAGGAGTAACTTTATTTTATTTATTTATTTAGACTATCTCGCTCTGTCACCCAGGCTGGAGTGCAGTGACGTGATCTTGGCTCCTTGCAGCCTCCATCTCCTGGGTTCAAGTGATTCTCCTGCCTCGGCCTCCCAAGTAACTGGAACTACAGGCTTACACCACCACACCCAGCTAATTTTTGTATTTTTAGTGGAGATGGTATTGCCATGTTAGCCAGGCTGGTCTCAAACTCCTGACCTCAAGTGATCCATCTGCCTCAGCTTCCCAAAGAGCAAGGATTACAGGTGTGAGCCACTGTGCCTGGCCTGTAGGAGTAACTTCAGAACTCTTATGTGGAATAATTAAAGGGAGATTGTGATAAATTGTCACAAAAATGATTTATAGCAAGTCTCATACCTACTATGAATATTAATCTGTTGATTAACAGTACTTTTGTTCTAAGATCTTGAAATAATGTATACTTTACTTCATTGGGGTTTCCTTCTTGTCTGGTTAAGGTCTGTTATCTCCTTCCGTTGAAGAAAGCAAGCTAATGATAACTCAGTGTGACTCCCACTGTTGAAATGTAGAGAGCAGTCGTCTTGATTCTGCCTGTGTGGGGGACAGTTGTTACTTTTTAGTGTCCTTACAAGGTCTTTGCTTCATCGCTCTAGAAACACTAAAGCAACTCTCCTCTGCTAACGGCTGCAGAAATCATTAAGACATTTATTTGTTTACATTTGTTTAAACATCAAAAGATGGGCTAGGTTAATTTTTTTTCCAAAGAGAATAATTCCTGGATATAAAATAAATGTTTGGACAAGTGTATTAGTCCATTTTCATACTGCTGTAAAGATACTACCTGAGACTGGGTAATTTATAAACAAAAGAGTTTTAATTGACTTACAGTTCTGCAAGGCTGGAGAAGCCTCAGGAAACTTAGAATCATGCTGGAAGGCGAAGCAGAAGCAAGGCATGTCTTACATGGTGGCAGGATAGAGAGAGAACACAGGGGAAACTGCCACTTTTAAGTAACTCAGATCTCATGAGAACTCCCTCACTATCACGAGAACAGCATGGGGGAACCACCCCCATGATCCAATCACCTTCCACCAAGTCCCTCCCTCCATACGTGGGGATTACAATTCGAGATGAGATTTGGGTGGGGACACAGAGTCAGACCGTATCAATAGGTATATAACACAGTATTGTTAACTATAGTCAACATGCTGTACATTAGATCTCCAGAACTTACTCATCTTGCATGACTGGAACTTTGTACCTTGGGTACTTGACATTTGCTAAGAGACTAGATCTTAGGTGTTCTCACCACACACATAAATAAAAATGGTAACTCTGTGAGATGATGGATGTGTAAGTAGCTCAAGTGTTATTTCAGCATGTATACCTATATTAAAACTTCAAGTTGTTTACGTTAATATACATAATTACCCAAAATTGCACCTTTTTTTTTTTTTTGAAACGGAGTCTTGCTCTTGTTGCCCAGGCTGGAGTGCAGTGGCACGATCTCGGCTTGCTCCAACAACCTCCAGCTCCTGGGTTCAAGCAACTCTCCTGCCTCAGCCTCCCAAGTAGCTGGGATTACAGTTGCCCACTAATTTTTGTATTTTTGTACAATGCCCAGCTAATTTTTGTATTTTTAGTAGAGATGGGGTTTCGCCATGTTGGCCAGGCTGGTCTCGAACTCCTGACCTCGTGATCTGCCCGCCTCAGCCTCCCAAAGTGCTGGGATTACAGGCGTGAGCCACCGTGCCTGGTCTTTTATTGTTATTTTTTGAGACAGAGTCTTTCTGTCTCCCAGGCTGGAGTGCAGTGATGCAGCACTCTGCCTCTGCCTCCCAGGTTCAAGTGATTCCCCTGCCTCAGCCTCCCAAGTAGCTGGGATTACTGGTGTGTGTCACCATGCCTAGCTAATTTTTGTATTTTTAGTAGAGATGGAGTTTTACCATGTTGGCCAGGCTGGTCTCAAACTCCTGACCTCAGGTGATCTGCCTGCCTCAGCCTCCCGAAGTGCTGGGATCGCAGGTGTGAGCCACCGCACCCAGCCAAAAAATGCAATTTCTGAAAAAAAAAAAGTGGGCAAACTCTTTTGGGATTCATTATTAGAATCTGATTTGAGTGGCAGTTCTAAGATTTTGTAAACCGTACATTACCATTCTTATTGTTTTTTAATCCATTAAATATTTGTTTAGTATTTGTTATGAGCAATGTAAGGAAGGAATATAAAATACATATGAAATACTCCCTTAACTGTCATGTACTTTAAAACTTAGCTGGGAAGATAATACTGTTGCATGTCAAACAACTAGAAAATACAGCAATATTAACAATACCACTAATTTTAATAAGTTCTTTTTTTTTTTTTTTTTTTTTGAGAAGGAGTCTTACACTGTCACCCAGGCTAGAGTGCAGTGGCACAGTCTCGGTTCACTGCAACCTCCGCCTTCCAGGTTCAAGTGATTCTCATGCCTCAGCCTCCGGAGTAGCTGGAACTGCAGACGTCTGCCACCACACTGGGCTAATTTTTTTTTGTATTTTTAGTAGAGATGGGGTTTCACCATGTTGGCCAGGCTGGTCTCGAACTCCTTACCTCAAGTAATCTGCCTGCCTCAGCCTCGCAAAGTGCTGGGATTATGGGGTGAGCCACCACGCCCAGCCTGAATAAGTTCTTGCTAGATACTAGGCACTATTTTAAGCACTTTAGATGCATTCTATCACTTAATTACTAAAAACTGACTCTGAGGTTATTTCGTTATTAATATCCTTATCGTGGAATTTGATCAAGGACACAATCAGTGGCAGAGCCAAGTGTTAAGCCCAAATCTTTCTGACCATATAGCTTATATTTATTATCACTGTATTACAATCGTTACAGCATTTTGAAATTTTTTGTTTGTTTGTTTGTTTGAGATAAGGTCTTCCTCTGTCACCCAGGCTGGAGTCTAGTGGTGTGATCATGACTCACTTGCAGCCTCGACCTCCTGGACTCAAGCCATTCTCCTCTGCCTCTTGGGTAGCTGGGACCACAGGCACATGCAACCACGCCCGGCTAATTTTTGTATTTTTTGTAAGAGACGGGGTCTCGCCATGTTGCCTAGGGTGGTCTTGAACTCCTGGGCTCACACGATCCTCCTGCCTTGGCCTCCCAAAGTGCTGGGACTACAGATGTAAGCCACTGCACCCAGCCTGAACTGTTGTTTTTTAACTTTTGCATAAGAGTTCTAAATTGATGACTAAATTAAAATGCATACACTTTTGATTTTGGGGCTTACACCAGGGGTGTCCATTCTTTTGGCTTCCCTCAGCCACACTGGAAGGAAAAAAATTGTCTGGGGCCATACATAAAATATGCTAACCATAGCTGATGAGCTAAAAAAAAAAATCACCAAAAAAAAATCTCATAATGTTTTAAGAAAGTTAATGAATTTGCGCTGGGCCGCATTCAAAGCCATCCTGAGCTGCATGCAGCCTGCAAGCCACAGGTTGGACAAGGTTGGTTTACACCTTAAAATTTAGGGTAATCAACACTTTGTATTTTGATATTATTTCTATAGGCAAGAGTTATTTCTCAAATCCTTTAGCTTTTGTTTAGCTTGTTATATTCATGTAACACTCAGATGGACACATGGTGTTGTTCCATGTGATTTGGGTACATGAGCCGAATCATTTCTCTCTTATTTCCCTAAGTTTCTGCATGTAAACTTGATAATTGATGTATCAGACTCCAGAATGGGTTTACTTTTTGCATTATTGTTGATTTTGATCACATCTGTATGTTTTATATGTGATGAATAAGTATTGTAATTTTCTTAAAATTTGTAAAAGAAAAATACTCATCCAACCAAATAAATAAACTTAGGACACTAGGAGTTTAATAGACATTGAGACGTCTACCAGCAAAAAAGCAAAAATGAAAGATAACTGAAAATGCCAGGTCTTCTGTCTTGTCCTTTCCACCCTGCACAGCTCAGTGTGTAGTTAATAGGATAATCAGACAAAACAGCAAATGCACTCTGCTGGTAGAATACACTGGAGATGTGGCCCCAGGAAGTTCCTGCACAGTTACAAACTGCAGGTAGAGAAGATATGATTTCAGGAGGTTTGGACACCTACATCACACTGCTTCTCTGTCCACAATGCAAGAAAGAGGATATGATGGGAAGACCGTGGACTTTACAGTCAGGTGGAATCATGTTGAAATAAAAACTCAGCTCAGCAAAGGGAACCACTAATACTAGTTGGGTAATTTGAGTAGGTGACTCTTTTCTAGCTTTTGAAGGCCAAAAATTAGGAAGGGGCACTTCACGCAGAAGGAATAGCATGCAGGGAGGCAGTAAAGATGTTCTCAGTGGTTCTGTCCGGTTCTTCATGTGTTTTGCACCTCTGCTGTTTGCCTCCAAGCCTCCTTTTGTTTCTATAACAACCTCCTCCTCTCCCTTTTCTAAGTGGCCCTTCCCCTGGATATCTTGGCTTATTCTTCCACCATCTGTTCCTTCTTTGGAATTGCTCAGGAACTCAGCATGGAAGGGCAGGGGGTGAAACTGATAAAACACCAAGTGGAAGAAAAGTTATGGGAGTCGGTGGTGATGTTTCACAACAGTGTGGGTGTACAAAATGCCACAGAACTGTATGCTTAGAAGTGGTTAAAATGTGGTTTCATTTTACCACAGTAAAAGGAAGAAAGAAGAAAAGATTGTACAGAGAAAACTTGTCCTATGACTGAATTCATGAGTCTGATTTTTTAGTGTGAAACTTAGTGCAGGTCAGTACTCCCTTTGCAAATAAGATCAGCTTCCTTCAGAGAAAGTTTGAATGAGTAAAGAAAAGAATAAAACACAATCATGGATCAATTCCCCAAGCTGTTTGGTCTACCTCGGTATTTCTTTCTCAACAATGCCTACGAAAAGCCAACAGGATAAACTCTTTCACCTTTTAAGAAATAGTTATAAACAAAATTTATAACATTCTGCATGAGTCTCTGTTACTGAATTGTAAAAAAAATTACCATGTTATTGGATACTGTGTTGCCTTGGCCAATTGGTATATATATCCTTTTTTAAAATTTATTAAAATATTATTAAAATGGAGATAGCGTTTCGCCATGTTGTCCAGGCTGGTCTGGAACTCCTGAACTCAAGCAGGTCATCCACCCGCCCCGGGCTCCCCAAAGTGCTGGGACTACAGGTGTGAGCCACTGTGCCCAGGCTACATATCTTTTTAAAAACTTTATATTCTATACTAATTGGTTTTCAGACTTCTTAACAGCAAAAGCTTTTTTCTCCAAATTAAATGTTATGCAGAATCTTTAGTATATAAAACAGACAATACAGAAAGCATAGCTGGGCTAGTAGAAACTAGCAGTGGAAGACCCGAGGGCCCTCCCTGCTGGCCTTTCCCCAGTGGCCTACAAGCCCTTGAGGCACTACTGCAAAGGAACAGGGTGAAAGGCACTGCTCTGCAATGTACATGTGGAGAATCTGTAGTAGCTTCCATATGTGTGTGCTCATTCCTAGGGTCTAACACTAGGTTCTTAGCATTATAACTCCTATTACATCATGTCTATGAGAAAATCAGGTTTAGTGTATTTTATTTCAACTTACAGCACCTTTCCTAAGACTAACCTGGCACAAAAGAATTAGGCCTCTAGCAAGCTTGTCTAACCTACCTTATTTTGTTGTTTGTTGTTGTTGTTCTGTTTTAGGCTTTTAGCAGCCTGAAGCCATGGTTTTTAGTTTCTGTCTCTAGTGATATGCAGAAAAGAGAGATGAGGAAGGGGCTTTACTGGCCCAACCAGAAACAGAAACTAAGAACCCATGACTGTATTCTCTCCATTGGACACCTCTGGATGAATTGTTATATCACAGTGGTTTGGTTAGCTGTGGGATAGGCAAAAACCCTTGGATTTTTATGAAATTATATTATTTGAAATGTTTTTCACATGGTATGTCGAGAATGATTTAAGATCTTTTGGCGGGATGTGGTGGGTGGCACCTGTAATACCAGCTACTTGAGAGGCTGAGATGGGAGGATCCTTTAAGCCCAGGAGTTCCAGGCCAGCCTGAGTGACAGAGTAAGATCTTGTCTCTTAAAAAAAAAAAGAAAGAAAGTGAATGTCAGGCTCTAGAATGTATTGCCTTGTTAAAAATGATTGCTGTTTAACCTTGCCTTTCAAATTAATTGTCTTTATTGAAGGCTTTATTGAAAAGGCTTGAGGCCGTGAAACCAACAGTTGGTATGAAACGTTCAGAACAACTGATGGACTATCATCGCAATATGGGCTATCTCAACTCATCACCATTGTCAAGACGGGCCAGATCCACTCTTGGCCAATATAGCCCATTAAGTAAGCATTTTGGAAATTATTTTATACTTATTTGTATCTTGTATCCTTTTTTTAAAAAAACGTAACATGTTATTATGATAGAGTTTTAAATGCCAACTCTGGAATGCGTTCTGTTATTTCCCACTGTCATGTTTTGTTTTATTTGTATTAGTTCACTTAATTTCAGGTTTCATTTACAGCATATAATGACAGGAAGGAAACCAGGAGATAAAACAATCAAAAATATCAGTAGGTTCTTAGGTAATTGAGGAAGGACTGTTAATTTCAAAGTTTATTGAAGGAAGAAATACATAGGTGTGCTGTTTAAAAGCTGCTAAAACATTCTCCTTAGGTAGTTAAGAATCATTGCTAATAGCCTCCAGCCCTTATATGTGCTTTTTCTTACTTACTGGATAACTAAAACAAAAATTAGCAAGCTGATCACACAACAAGCCTTACCGCTTTACAGTAAGCAGTAAGGCTTGTTGTGTGATCAGTTACAGACCTAGCCAGCTGTGTGCCCCAGAGAGTACAGGAATGGAGTGACCATTTAGTGCTGGAGTGTGCAACATCTAGAAAGGCCAGTGTCCTTTACAGAAGTCTCTGCTGTACTTCATGTATGCATTCTAAACCATATAATAAATAGAAGGGAATACCAAACCGCCCGATGCCACAACTTCCCAGCGCCCGCCCTCGTGAGTCTTCAACTCTCAAGACTAGTAGTTCCATTTATTCCTTCTCCAAACCTTGCTTCCGTGGTATAGTGACTAAGAAAGGGTCTTATTTTAGTAACTCATACTTAGCATTGTCCCTAAATGTAGTAAGTTATTTGTTGATTAGATATATAAATGGTTATACAAAGTCATTTTTTTCACGTGAATTATTTGAGAAGCTTTTAAAAATGTTTGTTTTCCACGCCAATCCAGTGAATCAAAATCCCCTGGTGTGGCATCTGGATATGTTTGTTATTATATTTTTTAACTTCCACAGGGAATTCTGAAGTGCATCCTAGTCGAGAATCATAGCATTAGACTATTAGACACACATAGAATGTGGAAGAAAAACTAGTCTGGACTTCAAGTGAGGAGAAGTTTCTCAGATATTTCTTCTTTTTATATTTTCAGGAGCTTCCAGGACATCCAGTGCTACGAGTGGTCTCAGTTGTAGGAGTGAGCGATCAGCGGTTGACCCCTCCAGTGGCCACCCTCGAAGAAGACCTAAACCCCCTAATGTCCGTACAGCTTGGTTATAAAACACTTTTTTACTTTAAACATTGTTCACACAACTTTTCTTGAAGTGCTCGTGCATATTCCTATAATTCTCTGTGTAAACATCTAGAATACCGTTTTAGCAATTGAAGGTGTACAACAGTGAGTTGTAATGTATTGTTATTCAGTGCAAAATTATTGTCAAAAAACGATTTAATGTAAAAAGTGTTTCCTGAGGATGTATTTATATGAGATGTATGTGTTCTTAATAGAGAAATAGTGGTATGCATGTGTATCTTCTAATTATTCAGTTGTCATGCTGTCAAAATAGTAGTGATAGTATCATTGCATGTCGTACCCAAGATGGTCACTATAGTTTTCAATTTGTGTTATTTTCATTTCTTTATAAGTGTTATACCATGAGCTCAGCTCCTAAATTTGGCTGGCTTTGTTTTTCATTTGCTTTAGAACTTATGTGGCATGACATAGCTCGATTGTATGAGATTTAACACTTATTATGAAACAAATCTTGAAATTTGTTTTCACTGGTAGAGCTGATCTAGATTTGATGAGCAGATTGAGAGACGCTTCTATTGGAGCAATTCTTGTAATTCACCAGAGGTATCTAGTTGTTGTATAAGTGCACTGAGTTAGATCTTAAAAGTTTGATCAATCATTCCAAACCATTTCAAATATGAATATTAGAAAGTTCAACTTAGAAGCTTCCCTTTTGTGTTTTCATGCATTCAGGTAAAGTCCTATTTATGACTCTTAGAAATGAGGTAGGTTTTAGAGCTAGTCTTCTAACTCGTGAATAGTTTAAGGACCACATCAGTTGCAAACCAAGTATTTGTTGAATCAGTAAAATGGCACTATCAGCATGAAGAGCCGAGAAGCAGATCCTGAGGTGTGTCGGACAGTGTTTTAGGTAATTCAGTATTTATTATGTTATTAGAGAAGACTTAGCGTAAGAAAGAAATGCTTTAGAAATTCCAGCAAGTATTTATAAGGCCTGAAAAAACTAAAATTTGAACAAAAAGGGAAATAAATCACACATTTGTTGAGGCTGCTGCTTTAAGTATTAGCTAATTTTCTTGTTTTGGTTTACTTTGATTTATTTGATTGAACCCTGGAAGTATTATTTTTACCAGTCCCACATTTAAAGACCTAGTAATCTTGATGGAATTGGTAATGGCAGATAGGGTTTAATGTTGTTGACTTTTCAAATTAGAATTTTTTTTCTATGAAACTTAGGCTTTTATATAACAAAGTATGTTATCTCATTGTTACCGCCGTTTTTCACTACTAGCCTTTTCAGTATGCCCTTAAAATGTATTGGAAAGGTTCCATGTTAAATGACAAATATCTTTTTCAGTATGAATTTTTGATCTGTAGCCACAATAAGATTTTCATTTTTCAGTGCTCAGGCTCTGTAGCATGTATGCTGAATGCTTTTTTCCTTAGCACCTTTAACAGTAAGGTGTTACTGCATTTTACAAAACATCAATTCAACATGTCTTGGATTTAGTTTGTATTCATAGATTTTGTTAAGGATCAGGCCTGTGAACATGGGCACAGTGAGGTTAAATAATTCACCTGGCCACAACCTGGCTTTGAGGTTCTGCTTTTGGGGGCCATAATTTTCATTCAATGTTATTCGATGCTCTGTTCTGGTGAACAAGTTACTATACCTGCTGTGTATATAAGCTTGAGCTATACTAAACCAAGGCTTTATTTTCTTTTGTTTTTTAACTTACTGTACTTTTACTGTTTATATAACCTATATTTCAAGAGAGAGAAGATAATGCTGAATTTTAAATTTAGCATTTGAACATCTGTCCAATAGTGAATTAATCAGTTTTTTTAAAATTGATTTTTAAGTTGTTCCAGAAAAAAATATATATATATGTTTTATATATATAATCTTTTTATATATATAAAAAATCTTTTTTATAAATTTTATTTTAAAAATCTTTTAAAAAAGATTTTTATATATATATAAAGATTATATATTTATATATAGTCTTTTCTGTTCATAATGGCATTAGTCTCTGAGTACATTTTATATTATCTTTGTTGCCACATGTCAGGATACAACACAATAGTTTTATAAATAACAACTGTACTTTGATTTTAGGTACTAATTTAATGCTTTAGTTTTTACTACTTTGAAAGGGGAGGTTCATCTAAGTATTACTGATAACAGGGATCCAACTTAAAGTAAAAGTTGGAAAGGGCAAGAGTCTTTTAAGCGGAACTTCAATTCTGTTGTCATGGTTACTTATATATAATGAATATAAATAGACAAATAGGACTTGGAAAATGTGGTATATTCTAAGTCAAGATGCTATGAAGTTGTTATAGTTTAAGGGACATTCTTAAGAAGGAATTACTTAAGTACATTACTCTTCTCATTTCAAGGACATGAAAAAGTAAAGGATGGTCTGGCACTATTTTATTTTATTTTTTTTTTGACTTGTACTGAATATATGTACTTTGAAGATTTACATCTATAACTAGAAAGTATGCTAATCCGAGGTCTGGTTATTAGGCCAGATTCTTGTTCAGTTATTTTTTAAACTAATGTTGCCTCCTTTTTAGTAAGATTCTACGAAAGTTTTTTAACTATTAAAGTTATTTCTTAAGGGGTAGCTCTTATACTTCCTCTGCTCTCTTTTTCAGTTTCCATAAAAAGCTGTTTTCTTAGCTATTACTCCAAATAAAGTTCTTTGGTTTGCTTAAAAATGTAGTGTAATGCAGTTGTTTTCTCTCCGCTAACCTGAGTGTCCACAGTAGATATCGAGACAGCTTTAGGAAGGTGACGGTCATGGGTAAGTGACGGCTGTGCCTGTCATCTTCAGATTCTTCAAATACTGCAAACTATGAAACATGTTAAGACCAATATAAACCCAAAGATGTGAGTTGATTATACTTTAATAATTACATTCATAAAAAGTTTACTATCTTCAATGCCAAAAAAGTCTTAACCTATAAATGATTATATACAATCTTAGAAAATGTGCTTAACAGTTATGGCTTCTTTATTTCTATGAGGAAAGATTAGTAAGAAACTTAAAATTAACATCCTTTTAAGATTTTCTGTTCCATTTTAATGTATTTTAGGCATTTAGAACTAGCCTGGCATAATGAAGAAAGAAATAAAAGAATTAAAGATAACTGAGTTTTGATCCTATGTTTATCTCTAAAATGGGCTGTCTTGTTCCAATTTTCAAAATTAGAATAATTTTTACGTGCCTTACAAGACCAAGAATTAGTAGGAATAAAGTTGGAAGGATGATGTCAGTTATTTCTGTCTTTGAAAGTATTTACATGGAAAAGAGTTTGCTTAAAATTATATTCTTAATCAGAATTTCTTTAAACTACATCATCTAATTGCTTCTGTAAAATTATTATGGTACTACAATACAGTGGACACTCTTACAGCTTAAAGAAATGGGCTTGTTGTTGTTGTTGTTGTTTGTATTTTTGAGATGGAGTCTGGCTCTGTCCCCCAGGCTGGAGTGCAGTGGCACGATCTTGGCTCACTGCAACCTCCGCTTCCCAGGTTCAAGCGATTCTCCTGCCTCAGCCTCCTGAGTAGCTGGGACTACAGGCACACACCATCATGCCCGGCTAATTTTTTGTATTTCTAGTAGCGATGGGGTTTCGCCATGTTGGCCAGGCTGGTCTCGAACTCCTGACCTCAAGTGATCCGCCCGCCTCAGCCTCCCAAAGTGTTGGGATTACAGGTGTGAGCCACCGCGCCCGGCCAGGAAATATTTTTTAAAAGGAGTCATGTATGTCATGTACATTGATGTACATGAAATGTACGTCAACATTTCATATGTATTCTATATAATAAACACACTAAAGCTTGCTGCAAAACATCAGTTTAGGAATTTTTTATGAGGGTTTAATAAAACTAGCGCCATTGGAATAAATTCCCGAGTAGCCCCTGCAGTAGCGTATCTGAGCTCTCAACAGCAAAGAGCAAGAATGCTAGAGCAAATAGGATTGTGTTATGGCAGAAAATTTTATTTGATTTTTCAGTTCTGGTGATGGATTTTTAATTCATTTACAGATATCTCTGGAGCCACCATAATAGACTCTTAAGATTCTGTGCTTCCATTTCAAAATTTAGTTGGTAAATCCAGGTAAGTTGCACTATTTGCCCTAGATGACATTTGTGAGGTTTAACTGTTTTACAAAATAAAACTTAGGAGGTAACATCATTATTTTACTATAATGAGACAGGGTTTTTTCACATGGCTCTAATCCACAATTATAAGATAGTAAAAGAATTTGAGGCCGGGTACGGTGGCTCACTCCTGTAATCCTAGCACTTTGGGAGGCCGAGGCGGGCAGATCACGAGGTCAGCAGTTCGAGACCAGCCTGGCCAATATGGTAAAACCCTGTCTCTACTAAAAATATAGAAATTAGCCACACATGGTGGTGCGTGCCTGTAGTCCCAGCTACTTGGGAGGCTGAGGCAGCAGAATTGCTTGAACCCAGGAGGCAGAGGTTGTAGTGAGCTGAGATCACACCACTGCACTCCAGCTTGGGTGACAGAGCGAGACTCTGTCTCAAAAAAAAAGAATTTGAAGAGTCACCAAAAAATGATTAAAAACTATGGTGCTAAATTCTTACAGGATATATATTACAATGAGAGTCTTCACCAAAAAACCACACATCACATTTATTTCATACATTTTGGAATTATAGCTAGTCTCCAAAGTTTGGAGGGTGCTTTGTTCTTGATTTGATTCTGAGAATCTGTTTTATGAAGAACATATGCAGCATTAAGCAAATATATCTGCTTCCCACATAGTTACCTATACAAACTAGAAAAATCTAATTCTACCATTAACTACGGTCTTCTCTTTTAACATTTGAGTGTAGTTTTGCCTGTTTTTGAGTTTCATATAAATGGGAGTATGTTCTCGTGTATGACTTTTTAGCTCAACATCTTTATGTTTGTGAGATTCTTTGATATTGTTGCATGTAGCTAGAATTGGTTCGTGTTGATTTTTATGTAGTATTCTGGTACTTGACTATACCATGATTTATTTTATCTATTATGTGGTTGATGGATATTGTGGGTGGTTTCCAGGTTTTGACTATTACAAATAATGCTAATGTGAGGATTTTTGTAAATGTGCCTTGGTTGATCTGTGTGTACTTTTTAGCTGGGCATGCACCTAGCAGTGGAGTTGCTGGCTCAGAGGTGTGCTTGTGTTTAACAGATAATGCCAGAGTTGTCCACAGTGAGTGTAACAGCTCATTCTTCCACGAAAGTGTGTAAGTTTCTGTTGCTCTAGAGACTCATTAATATTTATTATTGTCAGTCTTTTTTTCTTTTTCTTTTTCTTTTTTTTTTTTTTTTTTGAGCCTGGGTCTTGCTCTGTCACCCAGGCTGAAGTGCAGTGGCACGATCATGGCTCACTGCAGCCTTGACCTCCCTGGCTCAAGCGATCCTCCCATGTCAGCCTCCCAAGTAGCTGGGACAACAGGCATGCGCCACCATGTCCAGCTAATTATTGTATTTTTTTGTAGAGATGGGGTTTCACCGTGTTGCCCAGGCTGGTCTCGAACGCCGGGGCTCAACCAATCCTCCCGCCGAGGCCTCCCAAAGTACTTGGGATCCCAAAGGGATTCCATATGTGAGCCACTGCAACTGGACTTTCAGTCATTTTTTTCAAAGTTTTAACTATTCAAGTGGATATTTAATATATCTCATTGTGATTTTAATTTTATTATTTTGAGTAATAATTAGAACACTTTTTAAAAAATTTTCAACTTTTATTTTAGATATAGAGGGTACATATGCAGGTTTGTTACATGGGTATATTGTACCCAGGCAATGAGCATAGTACCAACAGGTAGTTTTTCAGCCACGTCCCATTCCTTCTCTTCCCTATCTAGTAGTCCACAGTGTCTGTTCCCATGTTCGTGTCCATGCATGCTCAGTGTTTAGCTTCTACTTATAAATGAGAATATGCAGTATTTTATTTTCCGTCTCTGTGTTAATTTGCTTAGGATTATGGCCTCCAACTCCATCCATGTTGCTGCAAAGGACATGATTTCATTCTTTTTATGGCTGTGTCATATTTCTTGGTGCACATGTACCACATTTTCTTTATCCAGTCCACCACTGAAGGGCACCTAGGTTGATTCCATGTCTTTGCTATTGTGAATAGCATGGAGATGAACATACAATTGCATGTGTCTTTTTGGAATAAGGCTCTATTTTCCGTTGGGTATATACCCAGTAATGGGATTGCTGGGTCAAATGGTAGCTCTGTCCTAAGTTTTTTGAGGAATCTCCAAACTGCTTTCCGCAGTGGCTGAACTAATTTACATTCCCGTCAACAGGTATAAGCATTCCCTTTTCTCCACAGCCTCTTCAGCATCTGTTGTTTCTTGACTTTTTATAATAGCCATTCTGACTGCTGTGAGATAGTATCTCATTGTGGTTTTGATTTGCATTTCTCTAATAGTGACAATGAACATTTTTTCATGTTTCTTGGCCACTTATGTGTCTTTTGAGAAGTGTCTGTTCATCTCCTTTGCCCATTTTTTTTTTTAAGACAGAGTCTTGCTCTGTGGCCCAGTGCTCTGCACTGGAGTGCCGTGGTGCGATCTCAGCTCACTGCAAGCTCCGCCTCTCGGGTTCAAGCGATTCACCTGCCTCAGCCTCCCAAGTAGCTGGGAATACAGGTCTGCACCACCATGCCCAGCTAATTTTTGTATTTTTATTAGAGATGAGGTTTCACCATGTTGGCCAGGCTGGTCTCAAACTCCTGACCTCAAGTGATCTGCCTGCCTTGGCCTCCCAAAGTGATGGGATTACAGGTATGAGCCACTGTGTCTGACCATTTTGCCTTTTTTTTTTTTTTGAGACAGAGTTTTGCTCTGTTGCCCAGTCTGGAGTGCAATGGTGTGATCTCGGCTCACTGCAGCCTCCGCTTCCGGGTTCAAGCGATTCTCCTGCCTCAGCCTCCTGAGTAGCTGGGACTACAGGCGTGTGCCACCACTCCCAGCTAATTTTTATATTTTTAGTAGAGGTGGGGTTTCACCATGTTGGCCAGGATGGTCTCGATCTCCTGGCCTCATGATCTGCCCGCCTCGGCCTCCCAAAGTGCTGGTATTACAGGCTTGAGCCACCACTCCCGGCTGATTTTGCCTATTTTTTAATGGGATTATTTTTTGCTTGTTGATTTAAGCTTCTTATAGATTCTGGATATTAGTCCTTTGTCAGAAGCATAGTTTGTGAATATTTTCTCCCATTCTGTAAGTTTACTCTGTTGATAGTTGCTTGTGCTGTGCAGAAGCTGTTTAGTATAGTAAGGTCACACATGTCAATTTTTGTTTTGTTGCGGTTGCTGTTGAGGACTTAGCCAAAAATTCATTGCCAAAGCTGATGTTTAGAGGGGTATTTGCTAGATTTTTCTCTAGGATTTTTTTTTCCCCCTTGAGACAGGGTCTGGCTCTGTCACCTAGGCTAGAGTGCAGTGGCTCACTGCAACCTCCGCCTCCCTGGTTCAAGCGATTCTCCTGCCTCAGCCTCCTGAGTAGGGAGCCACCACACCCAGCTGATTTTTATATTTTCAGTAGAGTTTCTCCATGTTGGCCAGGCTGGTCTTGAATTCCTGACCTCAAGTGATCCACCCGCCTCAGCCTTCCAAAGTGCTGGGATTACAGGTGTGAGCCACTGCGCCTGGCCTCTTCTGGGATTTTTATAGTTTGAGGTCATACATTTAAATATCGAATCCATCTTGAGTTAATTTTTGTACATGGTGAAAGGTATGGGTCTGGTTTCAATCTTCTGCATATGGCCAGCCAGTCATCCCAGCACCATTTACTTAATAGGGAATCCTTTTCCCACTGCTTGTTGGTGATGGCCTTGTCGAAGATGAGATGGTTGTAGGTGTGAAGCTTTATTTCTGAGTTTTCTCTTCTGTTCCATTCTATTCTACTCTGTTTTTGTACCAGTACCATACTATTTTGGCTACTATAGCCAGTGTGATGCCTCCAGCTTTGTTCTTTTTACTTAGAATTGCTTTGGCTATTAATATTCGCTCTTTTTTGGTTCCATATGAATTTTAGAACGGTTTCCTTTTCTAATTCCATGAAGAATGATGTTGGTAGTTTGATAGAAATAGTGTTGGGTCTGTAAGTTCCTTTGGGCAGCATGGCCATTTTAACATCTTTCAATCCATGAGCATGGAACATTTTTCATTTAATTTTGTCATGTCTGATTTCCTTCAGCAGTGTTTCATAGTTCTCCTTCTAGAGATCTTTCACCTCTTTGGTTAGCTGTATTCCTAAGTATTTCATTTTCTTTGTGGCTATAATAAATGGGATTGTGTTCTTGATTTGCCTGTCAGCCTGGATGTTACTGGTGTATAGAAATGTTACTGATTTTTATATTTGTACGTTGATTTTGTATCTTGAAATCTTATTAAAATTGTTCATCAGTTCTAGTAGCCTTTTGGCAAAGTCATTAGGGTTTTCTAGGTATAGAATCATATTGTCAGTAAAGAGAGATAGTTTGGCCAGGCATGGTGGCTCATGCCTGTAATCCAAGCACTTTGGGAGGCTGAGGCAGGCAGATCCCGAGTTCAGGAGATCAAGACCATCCTGGCTAACACAGTGAAACCCTGTCTCTACTAAAAATACAAAAAATTAGCCGGGCATGGTGGCACGCGCCTGTAGTCCCAGCTACTTGGGAGGCTGAGGCAGGAGAATCAGTTGAACCTGGGAGGCAGAGGTTTCAATGAACCAAGATAGCACTACTGCACTCCAGCAGCCTGGGCAACAGAGCAAGACTACGTCTAAAAAATAAAATAAAAATAAAATAGAGAGAGAGAGATAGTTTGATTTTCCTGTTGGATGCCTTTTATTGCTCTGGCCAGGACTTCTAATATTCTGTTGAATAGGAGTGGTGAGGGCACTCCTTGTCTTCTTTCAGTTCTCAAGGGGAATGCTTCCAGCTTTTGCTTGTTCAGTATGATGTCAGCTGTGGGTTCATCATTGAGGGCTCTTATTATTTTGATGTATGTTCCTTCCATGCCTAGTCTATTGAGGGTTTTTTCAATCACGAAGGGATGTTGGATTTTACCAAAAGCTTCTCCTGTGTCTATTGAGATGATCATGTGGTTTTTCCTTTTAATTCTGTTTATGTGGTAAATCACATTTATTGATTTACATATGGTGAACCAGCCTTGCATCCTAGGAATAAAGCCTGCTTGATCCTGGTGAATTAACTTTTTGACGTGCTATTGGATTCAGTTTGCTAGTATTTTGTTGAGAATGTTTGCATCTGTGCTTATCAGGGATATTGGCCTGAAGATTCCTTTTTCGGTTGTATCTCTGCCAGATTTTGGTATCAGGCTGATGCTGGCTTCATAGAATGAGTTGGGGAGGATCCCTTCCTCCTTGATTTTTTTTTTTTTTGGAATAGTTTCAGCAGGATTAGTACTAGTTCTTTTTTGTATGTCTGGTAGAATTTGGCTGTGAATCCATCTTTTGCAGGGCTTTTTTTGAATTTTTATTTTTGGTAACGGATTCTATTTCAGAGCTTGATATTGGTCTATTCAAGGTTTTAGCCTCTTCCTGATTCAATCTTGGGAGATTGTATGTTTCCAAGAATTTATCCATTTCCTCTAGATTTTAAATTTTGTGTGCATAGTTACTCATAGTATTCTCTGAGGATCTTTTGTATTTCCGTGGGATGAGTTGTAACAACATCTTTGTCATTTCTGATTATACTTATTTGGATCTTTCTTCTTTGTTAATCTAGCTAGCAGTCTATTAATCTTGTTTATTTTTTTCAAAGAACTCTTGGTTTCACTGATCTTTTGTATGGGTTTTGTTTTGTTTTTTGAGACAGGGTCTCACTCTGTTCCCCAGGCTGGAGTGCAATGGCGCGATCTCGTCTCACTGCAACTTCTGCCTCCCAGGCTCAAGCAATCCTCCCTCCTCAGCCTCCCAAGTAGCTGGGACTACAGGTGCACGCCACCATGCCAGGATGGTTTTTGTATTTTAGTAGAGATGGGGTTTTGCCATGTTGGCCAGGCTAGTCTCAAACTTCTGGCCTCAAGTGATCTGCAGTGTTGGCCTCCCAAAGTGCTGGTATTACAGGTGGGAGCCACTGTACCCGGCTTTTGTATGGATTTTTGTCTCAATTTCATTCTCTAATTTTAGTTATTATTTAGTGCTTCTCTAATTTTAGTTATTATTTTCTTCTGCTAGCTTTGGGATTGTTTTCTTTTTTTCCCCCTAGATCCTTTAGATGCAAAGTTAGATTGTTAATTTGAGATCTAACTTCTCGATGAAGGCATTTAGCACTATAAACTTTCCTCTTTTTTTTTTTTTTGAGACAGAAGTGTTGTGGATTTTCAATATTTTCAGATTTTGGAATATGTGCATATACATAATGAGATGCCTTGGGGATGGGACCCAAGTCTAAACATGGAATTAATTTATGTTTCATATACTCAGTATACACATAGCCTGAAGGTAATTAATACAGTATTTTTAATAATTGCGTGCATGAAATAAAGTTTTGACTGTGACCCATCACAAGGTCAAATGTGGAATTTTCTACCTGTGGCACTATGTCAATGCTCAAAAAGTTTTGGATTTTAGACCATTTTGGTTTTCAGATTTTTGGATTAGGGATCAAGAATGAAAATTGTTTTTCCCAAGTGCTGCCTCTTGACTTCAGTTGCAGTGAACGTATTGTTATTTTTCCCTCAAACACGAAGGCATAAAACCTTGGCATTCTCACTGATTAACACTTTTTTTTTGCTTTAGATGGAGTCTTGTTCTGTCTCCAGGCCGGAGTGCAGTGGTGCGATCTCAGCTCACTGCAACCTCCGCCTCCCAGGTTCAAGCGATTCTCCTGCCTCAGCCTCCTGAGTTGCTGCGACTGCAGGCGCCCGCCACCATGCCCAGCTAATTTTTGTATTTTTAGTAGAGATGGGGTTTCACCATGTTGGCCAGGATGGTCTCGATCTCCTGACCTTGTGATCCACCCGCCTCGGCCTCCCAAAGTGCTGGGATTACAGGTGTGAGCCATCGCACCCGGCCTGATTAACATTTTTCTTCCATGTCTGTATCATGTCCTGTCTGTTCTTCAAAACACATTACTTATTTTCACTGCCATCATTCTAATCCATGCCTTCATCACATCACATTTGCATTACTAAAATAAGCTTTTAGCTAGAAAAAGCTGATGAAACACTGACTTAAGATTATATGTTATGTGGTTTGTTACTTAAGTCACGTCTCACATATTTTTAGTCTGTTTTACTTCCCTAATAAAAGAATGCCCCTGAGAGCAAGGACCATATGAAGCTTTTGCATTGGTTATGGCATTCAGGCTGATGGGAAGCCATACATGGGTGTCATTCAATATGTGTGATTCATCAGTGACTGCAAAAATGGCAAAACTAAACTCATCTAATCTTCAAAGGGCTATGAAAATTAACATGACTATGTAGAACACACAAAAATTACACACAAGATGTTTTATGTGAGACACGTTATAGGTATTTTGTTGTTGTTGTTTAGGGATAGATCTCACCCTGTAACCCAGGCTGGAAATCAGTGGTACGATCATAGCTCACTGCAGCCTCCCTCCTCAGCCTCCTGAGTAGCTAAGACCACAGGCGTGTATCACCACACCCACCTAATTTCTTATTTTTTGTAGAGACAAGGTCTCCTTATGTTGCCCAGGCTGGTCTTTCTATAATGTTTATGACTTCAAAAATGGTAAGACAGCTGATTCCCATTATTCATGGAGGTTATATACTACAAAGTTGAGGCAAACACTGAAACATTTTGCCAAGGGGAAATACAAGGTTAGGTTCCCATGAGCTGCTGGTCACAAAAATCATACATAACCTTGTTTTATGTGTTTATACTTAAAGACACCTTATTTAATATATATTGCTGATCATTAACACTGAGCTCATGGCCCAGGCCTGAAGACAGCTGATCTGACACATGTGTTTTCCACAAGGCATGTCTTAGCCCTCCTGTGCTGAGGAACAGCATTCTGCTTGGGGGCCATGTTAATTGGCAATGATTGTGCCTTGGATAAACTGCATTTTGGCCACTGCACAAAGCTTGAGGGCCTTTTTAAACAGCAGAATTTCTGTAGCACGAAGTAAACATGTGAACAGGATGCTTGTTTACAGGATGAGGCTGAAATGAAAAGGCGGGGTAAGTGTCACCTTGTTCCACTGCAGCTAGGGATGTGTGTCAGGCAACTTGAGTTTGTCATCATTCTGTGTGTCCAAGGACCTTAAAGTGGTTACAAATGAAGTTTGGCAGTGAAGCCAGTTTACAGATATGTAATCTGTGAATGAGATCAACTGTACTTTATTGTGGATTGATAAAATCTCTGATATTGAGGAGGAGCAGAAAAGCAAAGAATTTGTGACACGGTAGACTTTGTTAAATTTTATTTAAGGGCTTGACATTTGCATTTAAGGCAGCCGTAAGTTTTTATTCATTGCATTATACGACTCCAACAAGCCTGTCCAGCCACCCCCATGGTGCTTTGCACGTTCAAGATTTCACCCGAACTGATGAAACCCTTTCCCAAATATTTTGTAGGTTCCCTGTGCTTTTTAGATGCACTTTCCCTTCTCGCTCACTCTTCCATTCAGCAGAAACTTGCTAAACACCTTCTCTGTCCTGGGCACTGTACCAGGTGTGGAAGATAAGCTCGCCTTGCGGCGCTCGATTCTCTTGCAGCCTTGCACCTTGGGGGTGTTTAGTAAATGCCGCCTCAACACAAAGGATGCCACATATTTTACAGAATAAAATGGAACGGGAGCAGTCGCCCAGTTAATTGAGATTTCAACACAAATACTTGAGACAAGTTTTCATTGTTTTTAGTGTCCAATTATTACCATTATGGACTCACTCATCTTGCATCATCCTCCATAATTTTTCTCATACATTTAAAATACAAAATAAGGTCTTAAAAAGATGTAAAATGCCAACAGGTGAGGCTTTAGGGGAGAAAATACCTAAAGGTGATTGGGGTGGGGGTGGTGGTGGTGAAGGAGGGCTGCGCCTAGGAGAGAGCTGTGTGGGAAATGGGGCTGATGAGAAATGCCTGGGGCAGGTACCCGAGAGTCGGACGCTCAATTCCAACTTGTCACTTTTACGTAAACCAGACCTTCCAGCATGAGGCAGCTTTGCACAATGATGGTATGGCGTGCGGGTAGGTTAGTGAGGGAAGTACTGCCTGTTCTCCCGCCAGATCCCAGCACTCTCAGAGGCTGAGGGTTCTAGGAATTCATGGTGAGTTAAGTAGCTGCGGTGAGGAACTAGCTCAGCAGGGCCTGGGGCAACGTGCATTAGAGGTAACCTTCGCAGGAAGCGGAAGGGCTGACATCTGGGTCACATGCAGAGAATGTAGATAATGTGCACTATGTAATAAATGTCCATGCCTCTTCCCTCCCCATTCCATGCCAGGGTTAAAGACGGAACACAATTACACTTCTTGGTTGGGTTGGGAGGACGCACTGTTCATTCATTGTATCAGGTCTTCCTCCTCCTAAACTTGGGCCCTGCTTGGAGATACGCTCCATCAAAGCACTTGCCCACTACTAGCCTGCCCTGCTTTTATTCCCTATCAGCAATAGAGTTTGGATCACTTAGAACGAAAAGCAACAGGAGGACAATGGATCCAGGAGGCCTCTTAACTGCACATGTGCTGCCTGGCCTCGAGGAGACAGGATGGAGAGGTACCTTCTTTTTAGCCCTTTAGACTTTATTGGCCTAGATATCTACCAGGTGAGGTCAGATGTGATCCTGGATTTTATAAAACTCAGACCTTGGTAACTGTGGTAAAAGCAACACAGCCAATTTTTAGCTGGGGAGGCAGGAGTGAGTCGGTGGAAGGGCTTGGTAAGCAAGGTAAAGAACAGGAGGTACAGAGACCAACCCCCACCACCCAACCACCTGTCAGAAAACACAGAGAAGACATTTGCCTGCCTTTCAAGCTTTGCCAAGGATACAGGGACTTGCTTCCTCCAGATTAGTCACAATCCAGGAGACTATAGCAACTGCTTGGTCTTTTCCTGGTCCAAGTGTGAACTTTCCAACCTGATAGTCTAAGTATTTTCCTCTGGCTCGCAAATCTCGGAGGAGCAAATCCAAAACTGACTTCCTGTAGGTCTTGATAAATTGTTACAGAAGTACTGGAGGATGCTTTCTATACCCATGTTTCTAAATCTGGTTATTTTCTTTCAAAGCCTCCATCTCCTACCACTCCCTCCCCCCATTTCATTTCCCTTCTATTCCTTCTCAAGCAAGATGTATTGTCTTAAACAAATTGTCTAACAATGGAATTTCACCTTTTCTCCCCAACTGAAGCATCTTTCAGGGCAGGTTCCTATCTATTTTCCCTTCCACGGGGCCTAAGAGGTATTAAATACTAGCTTGATAAGTGATGCTATGGACTGAATGTTTGTGTCCCTTCAAAATTCATCTGTTGAAATCTTAACCCCCAAAGTGGTGGTGTTTGGAGGAGGGGCATTTGGGAGGTAATTGGGTCATGAGGGTAGGGCCCTCATGAATGGGATTAGTGAGCTTATAAAAGGGACTACAGAGAGCTCTGTCGCTCTTTCTGCCATGTAAGGATACAAGAAGTCCGTAGTTTATAACCCAGAAGAGGGCCCTCATCAGAACCTGACCACAGTGTCACCTTGATCTTGGACCTCCAGACTACAGAACTGAGAAATAAGTTTCTGTTGCTTATAAGCCATCAGTCTACAGTACCTTGTTATAGTAGCTTAAACTAAGACAACTGATTTTCTTTCTTTTTTTTTTTTTTGAGACAGAGTCTTGCCCTGTCGCTTAGGATGGATGTGGTGGCATGCCATCTCAGCTCACTGCAACCTCTGCCTCTCGGGTTCAAGTGATTCTGATGCCTCAGCCTCCTGAGTAGTTGGGATTACAGGTGTGCGCCACCACACCCAGCTAATTTTTTGTATTTTTATTAGAGATGGGGTTTCGCTCGGTTGGCCAGGCTGGTCTCAAACTCCTGGCCTGAAGTGATACGCCCACCTCTGCCTCCCAAAGTGCTGGGGTGACAGGTGTGAGCCACTGCACCTGGCCTTGATTTTCAATGAATACTCTCTACTTAACATAAAATTCTAGGTGTCACAGTTATCTAAAGGGATGAAAACAGAGCACTTCCTAATCATAGAAAATTCTCCAGATTGTGATTTAAAACTTTTAGCAGAATCTTAGAATTTCTAAAGACTGCAGGAAAGTGCCTAAGACAAGGCAGGATTATGAAAGCCATTATCACTTTCTAGCCTACAGTAATGCTGGATAAGATAGATAGAATATGACCTGCCTAAGTTTGAAAACCGGAACTTTAAGCATTGTACGTTCTCATATAATACATTCTCAATATAATATCTGGCATTTAGAAGCTTGGCTGCTGACTGATACATGAATCATGCTAGAAAATATGCATTTTTGATCTTTTAAAAATGCATTTTACAGTTAATAAGAGTTCAATAAAATAGAAAGCGTGCATTAAGTGGTCTTTATTGATGTTTCACATTCAGTTATTATCAATTCTTCAGTTAATTGTACAAGTATGATAAATTATTTTCTATTTGCTGTGGGAATTTAAATGTAAAATAAATACAAAATACATGTGTGGTTTAATGAACACTCAATGAAGCATCTCTTCTGAGGTATTCCTTTCAGTCTGGTTTTATCCCAGATCTTTTTACTTCCCCTAGGAATAGTCTATTAAACCACACAATGGATCTGTGAACTTGTAGATCAAGTTCACTGTAAATCTGTGAACTTGTGTTTTAATTACATTAGACATATTTTTTGATCTCATCATACAACACCAATACAAAAGCACCGCCCATGCCTCTCAGCACATTGGACCAGGCACCTTTGAAGAAGGCCTTGGCTCCTTCGTCTTTTGCAATCTTCCTCCAGCAGTCAACTGTCCCCGTGTACATAATATCGGCTGTGGAAACAAATGCTGGTGAGGGCTCCGTAACGCTGGAGGAAAGAGACTTTTCCCCTGAAACATATCTGTACACACTGTTACCAGTTTTATAAAATCAGGGTCATCTGGGCATGGAGTCCCAGCTCCATGCAACATCCCACTGGACATCTCCTTCCTTGCTTCACTGGCAGGCTGGGTCTCCTGTCATTCCTACTCCATTAGTTCAAGGTCAGTGAAGAACTGGGGCAATTAACCAAGTAATTCATGGACTGCCCAACTGCGAAACAAGAAGGGCGCAGTGGAGCAGGAGTATTATGCTACGCGGTTACCTTTTTTTATGGAGGACCGAACTGAGGCCGAGCCTCAGATGATCCTGCACGAGGTTATGCAGTCTAAATAAAAGGCTGTAACTATTCGTTGAAACATACGAAACTGCTAACATTGGACTGTTTTTGACTTTTAAAGTGGCAATTTCGTATGGTTCAACCTATAGAAGCCAAAACTTTCTCTGGCACAACAGATTGCTTCAGGCCATCTCTACCCAGCTAAACACCCCATCCCACTAACACCTGTAACTAGGAGGGAAGCAAGAGTTCTTTGTAAGAAGTAGCTAACTACTTCTTTTCCCTAGCTTTTGCACCCAGGCTCTAAGGGAAGAGGGCCTAGGGTCTCTATAATGCTGGATACCTAGTTAAATTCACATCTAAATGTCTTACTATTCATGTTCTTATCATCTCTAATAAAATGGAAAATACTTTTCCCTAATAGGATAGTTGAGAACGTTAGGGGGAATTAATACCATCTTTCTTCCCTAAGTCCTTATCAAATAATTTTGAAAATTAATTTCCAGTAAGGAAGACTGAAAGGAGCCCTGTAAAATGTTCTCCTCGGGCAAAACCAAACAAGTTTAGATGAGTAGAGCACAAGCTTACCCCCTTTCCGGCCGGACTGCATCATCATTCTACGACGAACAGTGTCAAAGGGGTAGGACACCAGCCCTGCGACTGCCGTCACACTCTGGGCAATCATCCAGCTCACAAAAATGTGCACGTTCTTGGGGTCAGGCAGCATCCCTGTGGACAGAGCCCAGAAGCCGAACGGCTATGAAGTGCCTGTTCTCAGCAGAAAGCAGGTGGAGGGAGAGAGGCCACTGCACCTCCAGCTCCATGCTCTGACCTTGCGGGGAACCTGCCCCTGTGCAGGTGCTTCACATATGACCAGGCAGACAGCAAAGGTGGCTGCTGCCCTCTCCGGACCCCGGAGGGGCAGTGCTCAGCTTGTATACAGGGCATTGGAAGTGGCTTCAAGTTAAACTCAGTAACTGCTATGGCTGTGTCTAGAGGGAGACAGGCTCCCCCCTCCTCCTCTCTGAATAACTAAAGGCCAGAGTTTATTTCAGTAGAGGACACAAGGAACGCTTCAGCTATTAACTTATGCACATCACCTCCTCATTCAGAAGCCTCAATTATCCCAGAGACTAGAAAAAACAAGATCAATATATATCAGGTCCTTTGTGAGTTATAGATCCCATAGGATCCTCTTTCCACACCACCCTCCTTCTCCCCGATGCCCCTCTCTCACCCTTGGCAGTATCATAGACTCCGAAGTAGGCAGCTCTATAGATAATGATGCCTTGGACAGAGACGTTGAAACCCTGGTAGAGCCCCCTCAGGCCATCAGACTTGAAGATCTTGATGATACAGTCGCCCAGACCATGGAACTCACGCTGGGCGGCGCCCTTGCCCACATCAGCAGCCAACCTGGTCCTAGCAAAGTCCAGCGGGTAGACAAAGCAAAGGGAGGTGGCCCCAGCGGCCCCACCGGACGCCAGGTTACCAGCAAAGTAGCGCCAGAACTGCTTATGCCGATCCACACCCCCTAAGAAGAGCTGCTTGTACTTGTCCTTGAAGGCGAAGTTGAGAGCTTGGGTGGGGAAGTAACGGATCACGTTGGCCAGGTTACCCCTCCAGAAGGAGAGGAAGCCCTGCTCCTTAGGGATTCTCACCACACAATCAATGATCCCTTTGTACTGCTTCTCAGCACTGATCTGTTTGCTGGCATGCTGGACCTGGTGGAGGGGAGGGTGGGTGACAGAGGACAGGCAGGGTAGAGAGAAGGGAAGAGGACAGGAGAAAAAAAAAGGTTTGCACTTCCTAGATTTTTTTTTTGAAGAAAAAAAGGATGAGGAAATCAAATGGATACTGAGGACGTGTAAATGGATACTGTTATCCATGTTAGTTACTGGATAACAAGCCAAAATAATCCAATGTTGCTTCAATTATTAGGGTATTTGAGGGAAAAGGTATTGCCCCAAATAAACTGAAAAGGTGATTGAATTATATAAAGCTATAGCCATTTATTTATTTCACTTTCCCTAGGTTTGAGAACTGTATGAGGGGCTTACTGGGGGACAGAAATGAGTAACACTCCCTGCTTCAAAGGGCTTTGGATTTAATAGACATGATGGCCAAAAAATGACAATTTCTCAGTGTCACTCTGATCACCCTGGAGATGAGGATCTCTACTAGATGCTCTAATAGAGGAAGGAGAATAAATCCACTAAACATTAGGCCTCCAAAGTTTTCAAGCAGATAATCCAAGTAATCAATTATTAAGGGTTTGCTGCCGTTGTGAGCAATTTGTGGGGGTTTTGTTGTTAGTAATTCTGACTCCCAAATTGGGCTCTTCCTCATTGAGGGGCCCTGACCTTTTGGGCAGGTGGAGGAAAACACGAGAGGATGATAAACCATTCAGCGACCAGGTAGGGGAGGAAAAGATTTGGAGACAGGATGATCTGAGTTTATTCCGAAAATTGTTTCTTAATATTTCAAAACCTCAGCTTCATCTGTAAAATGGAGAAGAATAACTCTCTCACAGAGGTTACATAAAGATGAAGGCGTCAGCCTACATACAGCATTGTGCATGAGATACGATAAGGGAATTCTTGGGTGATGATTATTTTGAT
This sequence comes from Homo sapiens, assembly GCF_000001405.40. Taxonomy (NCBI): domain Eukaryota; kingdom Metazoa; phylum Chordata; class Mammalia; order Primates; family Hominidae; genus Homo; species Homo sapiens. The sequence continues at coordinate 185,143,866 of NC_000004.12, read as the reverse complement.
GTTTTTATTGTAAAGGTGCGTGCGCATAAGACGGTGCCAAAAATACTGGCAATCACTAGGTGCCTCCGGGCCTGAGTGCACGCCCGTGCTGTCACGGGCGCAGGATCTGGCACACGTAAACCGGCTCCGGGTGGGTTTCCATATATAGACACCCGAACGCCGGGCGCCACCCGACACCAGGAATCTGCGACTGACGCTGGACCTGTCTCTACGCAGAGGGCACCTTCTTCCCCCGCGGGCGGGCGGGCGGGCGGGCGGGCGCCCGGGCCTGTGGCCTGGCGCAGATTTTCCGCGGCGCCCCGCGCCCTGCAGCTCGCGCCGCATCGCGCGCCCCGCCCGGCCCGCCGCGCCCGCGCCCGCCTCTTGCACCGCGCGGTCCTCACCTGCAGCAGCAGTTTGACCCTCTCGATGGGGGCGACCGCGGTCTTGGAGACGGCAGCGGCGACGCCCCCGGCCAGGAAGTCCTTTAGGAAGCTCCAAGCGTGATCACCCATGGTGACAGCTCGACGCTCTCAGCCCGCAGGCAGCCCGTTCGTGCTCTCGCCCACGCCCGGCCTGGCACCGCCGCGCAGTCCCCGACCCTGCGCGACGCTAGGGGGCCGCCGCCTGGCCCGCAGCTCCCCCTTATATCCCCGCCGGGCTCTCGCGAGAGGAGGCGGGTCGCGGCCGGCGCTCGCGCCGCGCATTGGCTGGGCAGGTGCGGGGCGCCCCCTCCTCCCAGCTGCAGAGGGCATCGGGGGCGAAGGCGCTTCCGGGAGCGAGGCTGGGCCGGGGGCTGTCCCTGCAACTTGGGACGTTTAAAGGGCACATTCATGTTATCTGTCCCGCCGAGCCCAGGGAACACCGTGTCACCGCGGCATGTGGGCCGCGTATTTATAGCACAGGCAGCCTTAGGCCGGGGCGAAGCCGGGGCAGACACCGGGCCGCTGCCGCCGGTGGAGAGTTCTTGACCCTCCGGCCTGCACGGGCCGCGCTCAGGCCCAGGGATTTCGAGCTGTTTCCTCCTTCTTGCATCTAAAGGCGCCCCCCACCAGAGCTCACTGCCTGGATATGGGCCTCTTTAGAGCCGTGCGCTCCCGAGAATAAATGGCAGTCCTCTCAAATAGATACTAAGGTCACCTGATGCTGTGATTGCCTCATAGAATCTGACAACCTGCTGCCTCTCATTTCTTTTCATTCAATCGTTCGTTCAGTCATTCATTCTGCTATTACATATTGATGTGTCTGGCACTCAGTGCCCACAGGAAAGACCTGGTGCAGGGGGCCACTAGGTGAATTCATACTTGTTTCTGCAAAACTCTGTGACTCTAAAACACAGGACACTTCTTTTGTAAGCCCCTAAAGGGTTCAATGTACCACTCTGCTCTCAGCGGAATTTCAGCACATATTAGGGCAGAATGTTCTGTCTGTCAGCCGGTGCCTTCTTGAGGGTCAGTGCTGTCAGCCTTCCGGAGATCCAGTCCTTGGCTGTATTTGCCTCTTTTTAATGACAGCTGGGGTTGAGGAAATGCTATTTAATCCCAGGAAATTAATTGCAATTAATTTCTTAAAATATATAAATCTGAGCTTTAATTTTCCTTAGCTTGTTTTTTAGGCAGTTCATGTAACCATACAGGTTTTCAAATACAACTGTTCCTTCCCCTAGAATGACTGCAATTCGTTTTTAACTTTAAACTCTTCACTCAATTATCTTCCCATGTTTGCTAATTTTCATTTGTACCTTTAACAAAGTTTATTCATTGTTTTATAAACTTTTTTTTTTTAATATTTGCTGACATCATGTTAGAGGTTTACGGAGCTGCAGCTGCGTGTCACCCTGGGCGTGGAGACTTTGGTATAGCAGAAGTCACTAAGGTTCCAGGGCCACAGAGGGCATGCGTTTATCTAAGAGTGGGGCAGGCTAGAGTTCCGAAATCCAGGTAAGCAGAATGAAAGCTAGAAACTAGTGGAAAGCTGCCAGAGGTCAGAGCAGACAGAAGTCAAGAACTCGGAAGAGACAAACAGATAAACCATGTATGTGTTCATTCAACAGACTCTTGCTGAGCATGTACTGTGTACCAAGAACTAGGTGTAGCCCTGTGGATTGAATATAAGTAGACGTGGCCCATCTCCAAAGACCTTACAGTTCAGTGTATTCGTCACTTGCTCCACTTTATCAAAACTTCACTTACTGATTTCCATGGATCAGCATAATCCACACAGTAAACCTTTTTAATTATAATAGTGTACTGTATCCCATCCTGTAATATAGAGCACTTGCTTTTATACCTCCATTTTCCTTTTAATTGTGCATTAGAATTGTGTCTTATTTTTATGATGAAAAATAGGCCGGGTGTGGTGGCTCATACCTTTGGGAGGCTGAGGCTGGCAGATTACCTAGGTCAGGAGTTCGAGACCAGCCTGGCCAACATGGCAAAACCCCATCTCTACTAAAAATACAAAAATTAGCCTGGCGTGATGGCTCATGCCTGGAATCCCAGCAGCTCAGGAGGCTCAGGCACGAGACCCCCGAGAGGCAGAGGTCATGGTGATCTGAGATCACTCCACTGCACTTCAGCCTGGGCAACAGAGAAAGACTCTGACTCAAAAAAAAAAAAAGAAAGAAAGAAAGAAAGAAAGGAAGGAAGGAAGGAAGGAAGGAAGGAAGGAAGGAAAACTAATACTGCTACATTGAAACTTACACAAACTTCATTTTCTCCTCTAAGTTTTTTCTTCTCATATATTTCCCAAATGGAATGGATAGATTTAAGATTTTTAAAGTTTTGTAGCTTTTGCTACATATTGACAAATTGCTCTTCAGAAATACCAACCCACCAGTTATATAGATGGGCTTTCTCTCACACTCTTCTCCAACACTGGCTTTAAAAAAATAGAGAGTTGGTTATTTGTGAGTTATTTATGAGTTTTAGTTTGTATTTACTTAATTACTATGAAGCTGTATATATTCCATATGATTCAATTTAATTTGACAGTTTGACAAGGTTTCCCTTTTGTATAAACTTTTAATCTTCCTTGACTACTGCTGGAGTGAAAGCAGAGTATTTATATTAACAACAATTCTTTATATATTTGGGACAATAAATATGTGTTGAATGTTTTTCATTTTGTTGTTTTCCTTTTGATATTTATTATATCATTCTATTAGTGTTATGAACAGATCTATGGTATGATGATGATCTATTTCATGTTCTGATGTAAATGTATCTCTTTTATAGATATAGCAGTCTATTTACTCTAGTACATATATCAGTTTTTTTCTTCTACTTTGAGTAGCTATTTTTAAAATGTCTAACACTACGTTTTATATTGTATGGAGGTATGGGTCTAATTTCACTTTTCTCCATATCATGCTTGGGTATCCCAATACTAATTCTTAAGTAGATATTTTCTTCTCTCCATTATTTGTCTTATATTACTAAGTCTAGTTTGTCATATATTAAGTTCTCATAATAGCTTTAATTTATGAAATATCCACACTATGACATATTTATTTGATCTTCATTTTTTAAAAATAGGCTGATATATGATTCTACAATCACTTAAAAAATAAAGTTTTATCTGCTTATGTGTCTGGATTTATTTTTACTATCAAGTTGTTCAATTGTTTAAACATCACCAGAAGATTTTAAATAGACATTTAAACTAAATTAAATATTAATTAATATATGAATTCAGGAAGTAGTATCATCTTTGTTACACTTAATTTTACCAATCAGAGTTTTGGATATTTTCTAAATGGGAGATATATTTCTCCTTGGCTACTCTCCAGTTATCCTGTTCTATAGAAGGAGTCATAGCTGGAATCCTTGACAAGAGGTTTTCCATGGAAACTCATACACTGTCCTCTGCTTCCACGGACTTTCTCAGAAAAGAGAGGCCTTACATGCCCTCGGGAGCATGAGCTGCCTGTGGTCACAAGATCCTGGTATCACTTACACAGGCAGGGGAGAGAATGGCGCTCGGCAGAACATGTGTCCACCCGCCCAACCCAGTACTTAGTGGCTTTCTTCCAGCAGGAGAATGGACAAGGCATCTAGGAGATGAGAAGAAACTCTACTTTCAATCGTGGATGGGATCTTAGATGCTGGTGGGAACAGGGCCATGTAGAAATGAGAGCAGGGTGGAAAGTTAGCCTTTTGGAATTTTAGTGGAAGCTCTTATAGACTTAGTCTCTTACCAAACTGGGAATAGAGAATGGAAGTTGCTAAAGAGTAAGAGTGACAAGGAATAAAGAAAAACAATAAAGGATGTGCTAATGGTGGTGATAACATAATGCCTGTGTGCAAGTGTACATTTAAAGTATTAGGAATTAGAACACACTACTAGTGTTTGTTCACATGGTAAGTTTCAGCATTAAGCGAAGAGGATCAAGATATTTATATGTGCATTTATTTATTTATTTATTTTAGAGACAGCATCTTGCTTTGTCACCCTGGCTGGAGCACGGTGGCACAATCACAGATCACTGAAACCATGCACTCCTAGGCACAAGGGATCCTCCTGCTTCAGCCTCCTGAGTAGCTGAGGCTACAGGCACATACCATCATGCCCGGATATATATATTTTTTAATTTGCAGGTTTTGCTGTGGTCTCCTGGTTTTGCTATGTTGCCCAGGCTATGTGGAGAAGCTTACATGCCAGGAACAGACATAGCTGTGGTGCCTACAGGCAATTCCAACGCAGCCTGGCAAGGACAAGGACCCAAGAGGGGGTTCTGGTTGTACTTCCAGCAGAGTGACTTTCAGTGTGTTGCCTCCACCGGAACTTGTACTTTTTACGTTTTATGAATGTTCGTGAAACAAAAAGTTTTGTTAGAAGGATTTGGCGCCTTATTATTTAAAGGAGGTGATTTGAGGGGGCAGAGGAGCCCTTGAATCATAGAAAAGACAGAGGGACTTCTCCTAGAAGGCACTCTGCTTCCGGGGGAAACTGATTCAGGTTGGCCTCTTGGTTGCTGGAGGCAGGGAGGCCTGGGGGACCCCCGTAGCACACCCCTGATAGACACAGGCGGACCCCGTGCACTTCCCAGACAGATTCAGAACCTTTCTTTTCCCACTTCCAATCTTAGCACCTCTCTTTACTTTGTTGAAGAGTCCAACAAGCACATTGAGTATCATACAACACAACGAAGCTAATGTTTATGCTTGCATAATAATGCCTTCCGACCATAACCACACACCTTCCAGGCTGGCATCTTCCAGTTTTGCCCACGGGCAACCTCTGTGAATAAAACCGTTACTCACCTGGAGCTGACTGGGTCCATTTTCTAAACACATTTTGAACTAGTGTTTTGTGTTTCACATATCCTATCAATCATTTTTAAAAACATGCTTTATTTCTATTATTAAAATCAGTAGGCAACAAATGTTATCAGAGACTATTTTTTATCATCTGTACTACTGAAGAACAATATTTTGCTATTTTAATGAATAAGGGTTTTCTTCCATATGCGTTCTTTTACCTCATGACCCTTTCCTCATAGTCAGCTAGACGTTCTGTGTCACTGCCACAGGAAAAAGAAAACATTCAGGAAGCAGAGGAAGTAAGAGTCTATTCTCGGCATTAGAATTTCCAAAGGAAGAGAAAAAACTCAAGCCCAGTGGACTTCGTAGAATACTTGAGGGAAAACAAAAAGCTTTCTGCACACAGCCGGGCACGGTGGCTCACGCCTGTAATCCCAGCATTTTGGGAGGCCGAGGCGGGCGGATCACCTGAGGTCAGGAGTTCGAGACCAGCCTGACCAACATGGAGCAACCCCGTCTCTACTAAAAATACAAAATTAGCCGGGCGTGGTGGCGCATGCCTGTAATCCCAGCTACTCGGGAGGCTGAGGCAGGAGAATCACTTGAACCCGGGAGGCGGAGGCTGTGGTGAGCGGAGATCACGCCACTGCACTCCAGCCTGGGCAACAAGAGCGAAAACTCCATCTCCATAAAAACAAAAAACTTCCTGCTCAGCTACTCTTACAAAGATTATATGAAGTTTTCCCAAACCTGGAGAGAAAGGAAGAAAGTTAGAGAGAAAGCAAAGAATGTGAGGCTCGTGTGGATCCCTGGGAAGGAGGGGCCTGTATTCTGCGCAGCCCAGGGAGGCACAGATGCAGGGGAAGAAACGGCCGGGCGGTGTTTCAGCACACAGGGCAGAGGCAGCCTTGCAGGGTTGATCCAAGTGCAATGAGGGAGACGGAGAACAGATCCCTGGTACCTGAGGGATTTGCTTGTGTCCATAGTCCGCAAAATGAAGGCAGCCTGCTGGAGTGAAGGTCCCTAGAGAGCCCCGTTCAGCTTTTCCTGCTCTTAATGTCTCCAATGTGGCGCAGGAGCAGCAGAATAACGTTTCCTTTTCAAGGCCACCACAGTCCGCTGACAGCAAGCCAGGCCTGAAGAGCCTCAGGGTTGGAAGAAAGGAAAGTGTGACCTTGAAAGAACACCCTTGATGGAGCACAGACTGAAGACCGGAAGCGAATGCGGGCCAGGCCGCGGGTGCCAGCACGGCCAGATGAAGACCCGGACCACGCGCCCCTCTCCTCGCCTTCTTAGTCATCCATGGGACAGCAGTGGAGAGAAACGGGGACCCGGATTATTTCCACCGCTTGACAGAATGGAGTCTGAATAGAAATTAAGTTGCCTTGCCCAGCTGAGTTTGTGGACCAATATTTGTACTTACTGTATTTTTTTCTTATTTTTGAAAAACAATATAACCGAAGACATCAGAATTTTGGAAACTCATTACTGTTCCTTGTTCTAGCAAGCACATTTCTTTAAGAAAGAGACTGAGATTTAACTGTGTGTGTGTGTGTGTGTGCGCCAGGCGCATTTGGGGGGGGCACTTCAGGGTGGTTTTCTCTATAAATCTTTGTGAAATTGGCTTATGAAGCCGGGCGCGGTGGCTCACACCTGTAATCTCAGCACTTTGGAAGGCTGAGGGGGGCGGATTGCCTGAGCTCAGTAGTTGGAGACCGGCTTGGGCAGTGTGGAAAACCCCATCTCTAAAAACAAAAATACAAAAATGATCCGGGTATGATGGTGCGCCTGTAGTCCCAGCTACTTGGGCTACTTGTGGGGGCTGAGGCGGGAGAATCGCTTGAGCCCAGGAGATGGAGGCTGCAGTGAGCCGTGTTCACGCCACTGTACTCCTGCGTGACAGACGGAGACCCCATCTCTCAACAAAAAAAAGCTTATGAACTACGAATTTATATTAAATAGCTAAACTAAGTACAGCAACTGACTCCTTTAATGTGTAAACTTTACGCCTTCAACACAACACAATAGTCTTTCAGTAACCGCTTGTGGAATGAATAGGAAAATAATGCACTTTAATATCTAGGTCAATGGTTCTCAGATTTCTCCAATGAGGGAGCACCTGGAACCCGCCATCATTTTTGTGCAGCACTGTGAAATGTAGGTATATGGAATTTCATCATATAAATGAAGAGCAGTTATACTAGCAGAAATGTGATCTTCTGTTATGTGTCTGCCTGCCATATAAAACAATAGTCATTTTAATGGTAGATTTATCAATTTCTCCCTGAGGTCTGTTGAATTTTCCTTTATATATTTCAAGCCTTTTGTTTTTAAAGGCATGCAAGGGCCAGGCGCGGTGAGCCTGTAATCCCAGCACTTTGGGAGGCCGTGGCAGGTGGATCCCTTGAGGTCAGCAGTTTGAGACCAGCCTGGCCAACATGGTGAAACTCCATCTCTACCAAAAATACAAAAATTAGCCAGGCATGGTGGCAGGCACCTTTAAATCCCAGCTACTCGGGAGGCTGAGGCAGGAGAATCGCTTGAACCCAGGAGGCGGAGGTTGCAGTGAGCCAAGATCGCATCACTGCACTCCAGCCTGGGTGACAAAGTGAGACCTTGTCTCAAAATAAATAAATAAATAGGCCAGGCACATTGGCTCATTCCTGTAATCCCAGCACTTTGGGAGGCCAAGGCGGGCAGATCACTTGAGGTCAGGGGTTCGAGACCAGCCTGGCCAACATGGTAAAACCTCGTCTCTACTAAAAATACAAAAATCAGCTGGGTGTGGTGGTACATGCCTGTAGTCCCAACTACCAGGGAGGCTGAGGCAGGAGAATTGCTTGCATCTGGGAGGTGGAGGTTGCAGTGAGCCAACATAGCGCCACTGCACTCCCACCTGGGCTACAGAGTGAGATTCCATCTCAAATTAATTAATTAATTCATTAAAAATAAAAGCATACAATATTTGAATTGTTATATCTTTTTGGTGAATTTAACTTTTTATCATTAAGTTGTGGCCCTCTTTATCTGTAGTAATACCTTTTGCCTTAAAGTCTTCCACCCCACACACAAATTAATAGAGCTATTTGTTTTCCTTCGGTTTGTATTTGCCTAGTTTATATTTTTCTAACTCTTTACTTTCAACCATTCTGTATAAGTATATCCCCTGTAAACCTCTACGTTTTCTTTTTCCTTTTTTTTAGATGGAGTCTCGCTCTGTCGCCCAGGCTGTAGTACAGTGCTGTGATCTCGGCTCACTTCAACCTCTGCCTCCTAGATTCAAGCAATTCTCCTGCCTCAGCCTCAGCCTCCTGAGTAGCTGGGATTACAGGCACCCGCGACCACACCTGGCTAATTTTTGTAGTTTTAGTAGAGATGGGGTTTCACCATGTTGGCCAGGCTGGTCTTGAACCCCTGACCTCAGGTGATCTGCCCGCCTCAGCCTCTCAAAGTGCTGGGATTACAGGAATGTGTCACGTGCTCAGAAAAATTCTCATTATTTTACTATAGAGTTTGGATCCATTTTTCATTTATTATTACCACTGATATTCTTTAATTTTTATTTTGAAATAGATTCAAAAGAAGTTGCAAAGGAATGACTGCCCATATTTTAAAATTTTATTTCTGCCATTTTATTTTATACTTTTTATTTGTCCTCCTTCTACATGTCCTTGAAATTAATCGTTTCCATTGCTTATTTACCATAACTATCATATGCCAACTACTACATGTGTTTCTGAATTACATGTTAAAGGGCTAATGACACCGTAATTGTTATTAATTATTTTAGGTGGCTACTATTTTTCCAGGTTCCAAGGAGGCCAAGTTTCCCCCTCTTGGCTTATTTAGGCACTGAGTGTCTCTCAGGACTGTGATACCAGTTTATACACAGTTGCAGACAACAATGAAGTCAAATTAATAGTTCAATGTGCATAGCTTGCCGTGGAGAAGCTCAGCTCTGAAGAAATGCTTGCATTTCATAACATTATTCAATGTGGCCACTAGAGGGAGGTCACACATAGCTATTCTCAGAATAGTATTCTAAGTTTCTAATTTTTATCAAAGATCTGTCAATAGTACACAAAATTAAGGGAAAAAAACCCAAACCCTTTCTACTCTTAAGAAGACATACAGTGCAGTCTTAAAACAATAGGGGAAATAATTAAGTCAAAGCAGAGATTTTCAAATGGGGAAAATGAAGCAAGACCCAAGTATATGCTGCTGCAAGAAAGGCACTTGAACTATGAAGACACACATAGGTCAAAAGTAAAAAGATAGGCCGGGTGGGGTGGCTCATGCCTGTAATCCCAGCCCTTTAAGAGGCCAAGACAGGAGGATTGCTTGGGGCCAGGGGTTGGAGAGCAGCCTGGGCAACACAGTGAGGCCCCCTGTCTCTACACACACACACAAAAAGGAATGAACTCTTTTTGGGGAGGGGGGGGTGTTTCTTTTAAAAATTGTGGTAAAATACACATAATATTAAACTGACCTTTTTTTTTTTTTTTTTCAATTTTTTTTGAGACAGGGCCTTGCTGTTGTACTCCTGCCCAGGCTGGAGTACAGTGGTGTGATCACAGCTCACTGCAGCCTCAACCTACTGGGCTCAAGCAATACTCCAGCCTCAGCCTCTCCGGTAGCTGGGACCACAGGCATGCTCCACTATACCTGGCTAATTTTTATTTATTTATATTTTTTGTAGAGATGGGGTCTTGCTATGTTGCCTAGACTGGTTTTGAATCTTGGGCTCAACAATCTTCCCGCCTTGGCCTCTCAAAGTGCTGGGATTACAGGGATGAGCAACCATGTCTGGCTGAAATTGACCATTTTAACTTTTTTTTTTTTTGAGAAGGAGTCTCACTCTGTTGCCCAGGTTGGAGTGCAGTGGCATGATCTCGGCTCACTGCAACCTCCGCCTCCCAGGTTCAAGCAATTCTCCAGCCTCAGCCTCCCAAGTAGCTGGGATTGTAGGTGTGTGCCATCATGCCTGTCTAATTTTTGTATTTTCAATAGAGACAGGGCTTTACTATGTTGACCAGGCTGATCTCGAATTCCTGACCTCAAGTGATCTGCCCACCTCAGCCTTCCAAAGTGCTGGGATTATAGGCATGAGCCACCGCACCTGGCCCCATTTTAACAATTTTTAAGTGTACATTACAGCAGTGTTAAGTACATTCAGATTGTTGTACAATCCTCAGAACTCTTTTTATCTTGCAAAATTGAAACTCTGTACCCATTAAATAATTCCTTATTCCCCTATCCCTCCACCCCTGACAACCACCATTCCATTTTCTGTCTCCATGAATTTGACTTCTCTAGGTATCTCATATAAGAGGAATTATGCAGTATGTAATTTTGGGGCCTGGCATATTTCACTTAGCCTAATGTCCTTAAGGTTCATTCTATATGTTGCAGCATATGTTGGAATTTCCTTCCCTTTTAAGGTTGAATGTAGTATCGTATGTATGTATTGCATTCTGTTTATTCATACATCCATCCACTGACAGTGTTGCTTCTACCTTTTGGCTGTTGTGAATAATCCTGCCTATGCACGTGGGTGAAGAACATCTCTTTGAGATTTTTTTTTTTTTTTTTTTTTTTTTTGAGACAAAGAGTCTCGCTCTTTCGCCCAAGCCGGACTGCAGTGGCGCTATCTCTGCTCACTGCAAGCTCCGCCTCCCGGGCTCACGCCATTCTCCTGCCTCAGCCTCCCGAGTAGCTGGGACTACGGGCGCCTGCCACCACACCTGGCTAATTTTTAAAATATTTTTAGTAGAGACGGGATTTCACCGTGTTAGCCAGGATGGTCTCGATCTCCTGATATTGTAATCTGCCTGCCTCGGCCTCCCAAAGTGCTGGGATTACAGGCGTGAGCCACCGCGCCCGGCCGAGATCTTGCTTTCAATTCTTTTGGTTATATACCCAGAAGTGGAATTACTGGATCACATAATTCTATGTTCAATTTTGGAGAAACCCCCATACTGTGTTCCATAGTGGCTGTACCATTACACATTCACCAACAGCACATAAGGATTCCAATTTCTCCCCATCTTTACCAACCCGTTATTTTCTATTTTTTGATAGTAGCCATCCTAATGGGTGTCAAATGGTGGTTATATCAGTACTACCATGTCTAATGTAAAAATTATTTCTAATTGGGATTGCATTCAATTACAAGACTAATTTAAGGAGCATTTGTATTTTTATAATATTCAATATTTCTTTCCAAAGAAAACGGATATCCTTGTTGCTTTTATTCAGAGATGTTTTCTTTTATGGTGCTATTTTAAATAGTATACCCTCTTCTATTTATTTCTCCAAAGGAGTTGTTTGTATACAGAAAGACTTTTTTTTTAATACTTGAACTGAGTCATCTTAAAGAAGTCTGACATTATTGTTGCAACAGTTTTTCAATTGATTCCTTTGAGTTTTCCAGTTCAGAAATCAAATCACCTGTAAATAATGACCATTTTTACTTCTTTATAATTTGTGTTCCTTGGTTTTTTCTTTTGTGTAATTGCATCAGCCAATATCCTCAGAATAATTTTAAATAGTAGTGGAGATACTGATAGCCTGTATTTGTCCTCACTTTAGTTGTAATATTTTTAATGTTTCCTCATTAAATGTGATATTAGTTTTTAGCTATACATTGTTTCTTTGTGTGGCCATACCTTTAAAAACTATTGATTTTTATTCTCTTTTCTTAACCTTTTTTTAAATTGAGAATGGATTTTACACAATTTTTTTAAACAATTATAAAATTAACCATGAAAAAATTGATGAATTCGACTTCATTGAATTTTTATTTATCAAGTACACTCCGCATCAGTTGGCTGGGACCATTATAACAGAATACCATAGAGTGGGAGACTTAAACACCATATTTATTTTCTCACAGTTCTGGAAGCTAGAAGTCCAAGATCAAAATGTTGGCAGATTTGGTTTCCCCTGAGGCCTCTCTGCTTAACTTGCAGATGGCTGCCTTCCCTCTATTTTCATGGTCTGCCTTCCATGCGTGTCTGGGTTCTAATCTCTTCTTATAAGGGCCCCAATCATATTGGATTAGGGCCCACTCCAACAACCCATTTTAACTTAATTGCCTCCAAAGATAGTCATTTTCTGAGATACTGGGGATTTGGGCTTCAATAGATGGATTTTAGGGGGACACAATTCAGTTCATAATACACCATTCAGAGTGAAAAGGCAAACTACTGTAAACCAAAAATAAAATTTAACTACCCCTCCTCCTCCAACCTCGGGGCCTTCCTCTTTGGCCAGGGCACTTTTAACCTGAAAGAGTGGTTCAGGCCATGACAAGAAGTGGGGCTTCGACCCCTCCACCATTAACATCAACCTAAAGTCTGATAAGAAACATTTAGTCTGTTTCCTCTAAAGCCTGCTACCTGGAGGCTTTATCTGCATGATAAAACCTAGGTCTCCACAACCCCTTATCATAACCATTCCTTTCTATAGATAATAACTCTTTCAACCAATTGCCAATCAAAATAGGTTTATTTATTTATTGTTATTATTATTTGAGACAGGGCCTGTACTGCAGCCCAGGCTGGAGTGCAGTGGCACTATCTCTGCTCATTGCAGCCCCTGGCTCTCAGTTTAAGCAATTCTCATGCTTCAGCCTCCCGAGTAGCTGGGACCACAGGCGTGTGCCACCACACCCAGCTAATTTTTGTATTTTTAGTAGAGGCAGGGTTTCGCCATGTTGGCTAGCCTGGTCTGGCACTCTTGGCCTCGAGTGATCCACCCGCCTCAGCCTCCCAATGTGCTGGCATTACACGCATGAGCCGCCACCATGAACAGTCACCAATCAGAATATGTTTAAATCTACCTATGACCTGGAAGCCGCTCTCCTCCTTCCAGTTGTCCTGCTCTTCCAGATAGAACTAATATAAACCTTACACGTATTGGTTGATGTATTATGTCTCCCTAAAATGTATAAAAGCGAGCTGTACCTCGACCACCTTTGTACATGTCGCCAGGACCTCCTGTGGCTGTGTCTTGGGTGTGGCCTTAACCATGACAAAATAAACTTTCTAAATTGAGACTTGTCTCAGATACTCTTTGGTTTACACTACAGATGATCAGAAAAGAAAAACACAAGTAACCTAACCTAAAAATAGATCGGGCTTGAACAGAAACATAGGCTTCACAAAAGAGATCACACCCATAGTTAATAAGCATTTGGAAAGGTGTTCACCATCATTACTCACCAGGCAAATGCAGATTATTAGGTTGAAACATACGAAATTGCCGGCCGGCGCGGTGGCTCATGCCTGTAATCCCAGCACCTTGGGAGGCCGAGGTGGGTGGATCACCTGAGGTCAGGAGTTTGAGACCAGCCTGGCCAACATGGTGAAACTCCGTCTCTACTAAAAATACAAATACAAAATTAGCTGGGCATGGTGGCGTGGGCCTGTAGTCTCAGCTACTCGGGAGGCTGAGGCAGAAGAATGGCTTGAGCCCGGGAGGTGGAGGTTGCAGTGAGCCGAGATCGAGTCATTGCACTCCAGCCTGGGCAAAAAGAGCGAAACTGCATCGCAAAAATAAATAAAAGAAATAAATAAATAGCCAATAAAGGACAGGCGCAGTGGCTCACGCCTGTAATCCCAGCACTTTGGGAGGCCCAGGCAGGCGGATCACCTGAGGTCAGGTGTTCGCGACCAACCTGGCCAGCATGATGAAACTCTTGTTCCTACTAAAAATACAAAAATCAGTTGGGTGTGGTGGTGGACGCCTGTAGTCGCAGCTACTCGGGAGGCGGAGGCAGGAGAATCACTTGAACCCAGGAGGCGGAGATTGCAGTGAGCCGAGATCGCGCCACTGCACTCCATCCTCGGCGACACAGCGAGACTCTGTGAAAAAAGAAAGAAAAGGGGCGGGGCGCAGTGGCTCACGCCTGTAATCCCAGCACTTTGGAAGGCCGAGGCGGGTGGATCACGAGGTCGGGAGATCGAGACCATCCTGGCTAACACGGTGAAACCCCGTCTCTACTAAAAATACAAAAAATTAGCCGGGCATGGTGGTGGGCGCCTGTAGTCCCAGCTACTCGGGAGGCTGAGGCAGGAGAATGGCGCGAACCCAAGAGGCGGAGCTTGCAGTGAGCCGAGATCGCGCCACTGCACTCCAGCTTGGGCGAAAGAGCAAGACACCGTCTCAAAAAAATAAATAAATAAAAAAGAAAGAAAGAAAGAAAAAAAGAGAGAAAGAGAGAGAGAGAGAGAAGGAATTGCCAATAAGCCCCAAAGTGGCCCATTAACAGCAATATCACATGAATCAACCTAAACAAGAACAGTGAGATACCACTACACACTCCAGAATGCTAAAATTAAAACAGACAGAACGCCAAGTGCTGGTAAGAACGCGGAACAACTGGAATTCTCCCACATTGCTGGCAGAAAAATAAAATGGTACTTTGGAAAGCCATTTGGTAGTGTCCACTAAGGCTAAACATGCGCCTACCATCCGCCAAGTCCACTAAGATACAAACGGGACATTCAACCTGAGTAGCAGACAAAGGCGTCATAGGGACATACTAACTAGAACGGCCTCGTGCAGGGACCTGTTTAACTGTTCTCCGCGAGCCGCATAAAGAGGTATGCAGTCAGCGCTCAGTATTTATTTCCAGGGAGCGGAGACACTAGGACCGCGGTAGAAAGCGTTGCTCAGGCAGCGCCCGCGGCGTAACTCGGTCACCCCTAGCTCTGACCTGCCGAGCGGGGAGTGAAGCGATTTGTCATAGAAAGAATTGAGCATCCTGCAGATTAACTCCTTTCTTGCAGCTTCCTTCCCCTGCCAGGCCCATTTCTGGGGTTCAGAGAACCCCGATATCTCTGCGCGAAGAAGGCCTCGCAGGCGCAGTCCCCCACCAGGCCACCAGTCGCTATGCGCGGGGTGCGTCGGGGTCCCGGCGCCGAGGGCCAGGCGGGGCTGGCGACACCCAGGTGCGGTGGAAGTCGGTCCCCTCCGCTCGCGCCTCCTCCCCGCCTCTGCTGCGCTCTTCCCCGGGATTCCGAGGGAGCGTCGCGGGGAGGGGACGCTGAGTGCTCGTCCCGGGGCCGGGGAAAGCCCCCACCGCGCGGCCAGTTCCACCTCGCAGCTCCTCCGGGAACAGTAAAGGGGATTCCGCGGCTGTGGGTAACGCCACCAGCGCTCTGAACTAGGAGCGGGGGTGGGAGTGCGGGGAGGCGGGAAGGAAACCGGTGCCGGCCAGAGCCGCGGAGCTTTCCAGGCCGAATCTCCGCAAGGGGAGGGCGCGGGGCTCACGCCTGGAATCCTGGCACTTTGGGTGGCCGAGGCGGGAGGATCTCTTGAGCCCAGGAGTTCGAGACTAGCCTGGCCAACATGGCGAGACCCCATCTTTACAAAAAATACAAAAAAATTAGCCGGGCGTGGTGGTGGGCGCCTGTAGTCCCAGCTACTCAGGAGGCTGAGGCAGGAGAATGGCGTGAACCCGGGAGGCGGAGCTTGCAGTGAGCGGAGATCGCGCCACTGCACTCCAGCCTGGGCGACAAGAGAGAGACTCTGTCTCAATAAATAAATAAGTAATAAAATAAAATAAAATAAAATAAAGTAAATCTTAGTGCCCCCTTCTCAACCTAACCCCCAGTCCGACCCGCAGCACACATCCCGGACACAGAACGCCCGTACTTTCCCGAGGGTCTTCCAAGCCCTGGTTCAGCCCGGACCGTGAGTTCCGGAGCGTCCGCGCCCCCTTCCGCCCTCCCGCACCCTCAGTCCCGCCTCAGGGCCCCGAAGCCGCCCTGGGCGCGCAGCGCATCCCCAGGCGACTGGAGCCCCAGCCCCGACGCTTCGTCGCCGCAGTCCAGGAGACCGCAGGAGAAGGGGCTCGTGGGGCGGAGACAGCCTGCCGGGGCCTCTGCAGCCCGGGAGCCTCCTTTGGACTCGCCGAACCCGACTCCCAACCCGCCCTTACCACTGCCCAGAGGCTCGCGCGCTGGGTTTCTGAGCCTCCCACCCTGAAGGACACCGATCTCGCCCGGACATAACTCAGCAACTGCCTGGTCTGGGCTCCGGACTGCACCGAGCCCGTTACCTGCAGGAGCTCGCGGAGTCCTTTCGGCGCGCGTGGCGCGGGCGCGGTCCTCACCGCGGTGCCGGGAACTGAGTGCTGCGGCCGGTCAGAGGCCTCGTCCTCCGGGGCTTCTCCCTGCCTAGGCGCTACACCCAGGCGCCTCCAACTGGGTCCTGGTCGCAGCCTCCGCAAGAGTGCTGCTTCCAGAAGCCCCACCGTGCAGGCCTCAGTGTGAATTGGTTCAGTTCAGCAAACTTTTCTTTTAAAAAATCACCAGGTACTCAGCCATAAAAAGGAACAAAATCTTGACCTTAGCCGCAACATGGATGCAGCTAGAGGCCATGTCCTAAGCCAATTAGCACCAGGAACAGAAAACCAGATCCTGCATGTTCTCACTTGTAAGTCTGAGCTGAAGATTGGGAACCTGTGGACACACAGATGGGAACAATGAGCACTTGGGCGCCAAAAGTGGCAAGCGGGGGAGGGGGCCAACAGCTGAAAAACGACCTATCGGGTACCATGTTCACTATTTGGTTAATGGGTTCAATAAAAGCCCAAACCTCAGCATCATGCGATATACCCAGGTAACAAACCTGCACATGTATCTCGGAATCTAAAATTAGAAAAAAAAAATCGGCTGGGCGCGGTGGTTCACCCCTGTAATTCCAGCACTTTGGGAGACTGCAAATTGCGAGGTCAGGAGTTCGAGACCAGCCTGGTCAACATGGTGAAACCCTGTCTCTACTGAAAATACAAAAAAAATTAGCCGGGTGTGGTGGCGGGGGCCTGTGGACCCAGCTACTTGGGAGGCTGAGGCAGGAGAATAGCTTGAATCCTGGAGGTAAAGGTTGCACTGAGCCGAGATCGTGCCCCTGCACTCCAGCCGGGCGACAGAGTGAGACTCTGTAAAAAAAAAAAAAAAAAAAAAAAAAAAAAAAAAAAATCAGGCATTGGACTTGGCACCAGTGCTGGTGGGAGGAAATAGACCTTCATCTCGGTCTGCATTCCTTTGAAGTGTTACTTTCCTGCTTGAAGGCCTGTAGGGTGTCTCCCTATTTTCTACAGAATGTGTCCTATTTCCTCCGTCCTGCTGCTCACATTCTATTTTTTATTTTATTATTATTTTTTTTTTTTTTTGAGAGGGAGTCTTGCTCTGTCGCCCAGGCTGGAGTGCAGCGGCACGATCTCGGCTCACTGCAACCTCCGCCTCCAGAGTTCAAGCGATTCTCCTGCCTTAGCTTCCAGAGTAGCTGGGATTACAGGGACCCGCCACCACGCCCAGCTAATTTTTGTATTTTTAGTAGAGACGAGGCTTTGCCATGGTGGTCAGGCTGGTCTCGAACTCCTGACCTCAGGTGATCTGCCCACCTCGGCCTCCCAAAGTGTTGGGATTACAGGCGTGAGCCACCGTGCCTGGCCCCACCTCATTTTAATGGTAAAACACCACCACAAAGTGAACATGCGATATATGTTATATGTATGTATGTTGCCAAGACCAGCTCGGTCGGGGAGACCCTAACCCAGCGGCGCTAGAGGAATTAAAGACACACATACAGAAATATAGAGGTGTGAAGTGGGAAATCAGGGGTCTCACAGCCTTCAGAGCTGAGAGCCCCGAACAGAGATTTACCCACGTATTTATTAACAGCAAGCCAGTCATTAGCATTGTTTCTATAGATATTAAATTAACTAAAAGTATCCCTTATGGGAAAAGAAGGGATGGGCCCAATTAAAGGAATAGGTTGGGCTAATTAACTGTAGCAGGAGCATGTCCTTAAGGCAGAGATCGCTCATGCTATTGTTTGTGGCTTAAGAATGCCTTTAAGCGGTTTTCTGCCCTGGGCGGGCCAGGTGTTCCTTGCCCTCATTCCCCTAAACCCACAACCTTCCAGCCTGGGCTTTATGGCCATCATGAACATGCCACAGTGCTGCAGAGATTTTGTTTATGGCCAGTTTTGGGGCCAGTTTATGGCCAGATTTTGGGGGGACTGCTCCCAACATATGTGCACTGTGTATGTGCTCAGCACCCCTTATAAACATGTATAGCTTTTACCCCAAGTTTGCTGAATATCTCTGACTCTATTGTGTGATACAGACCCTGTAAGGCATAAAACCCAGCCTGCCCTTTCCCTCTTCAAAGAGAGAGCGCCTTCTGTCCATGCTGGAGACCATCTCTTCCCATTTTGCAAACTGATATCCCAATAAAGCTCTCCTTTCTACTCTTTAGCCACCTTGATGGTCTTTTGGACACCACCACTCAGACCCAGGTGTTAGACCTTGGAGGGCAGCAACTACATCTTAGTCACTGCAGTGTACACAAGCAGATCATCTGAGTGTTTGCTGTTTACCAAAGTGACTTTGCTTTAATGTGCTGAAGATACAAAGAGACAAAACCCATACAAACTAGCTGGGCTTAAACTCCCTCTGTAGGCTGGGTGCAGTGGCTGACGCTTGTAATTCCAGCCCTTTGGGAGGCCAAGGAGGGAGGACTGCTGGAGGCCAGGAATTTGATACTGCAATGAACTGTGTTCGTGCCACGGCACTCCAGCTTGGGCGACAGAGCAAAACCCTGTCTCCAAAACAATAACAACAAAATTATCTCTCTACACAACCAGAATAATGAAATGGGCATTTATAATTACCCAATCAATTTGATCCCTGTATGAAGCCTATTGGAATGATTTAAACCCGTGAAATAATCTTCCAGGGCCGCAGTGCTGAGATGGGTCTGTCTGCACTGACCACATTAACCGATTTCACACGCGGGCATGTTGTCCTTTGTGTTGCGTTGTCACCACACAGAAGCCTGTCTGTGGATGGCTCTCCTACCCTTGCAAGAAGTGGAAGCCAACTATTTCAGCTCCTTTCAAACCACAGATATGATTCTTCAGTGAACTGCAGTCTTGCCCTTTATTAAAATGTGGTAATCCACATTTTTAACACTTTATAATTGTAAGGGTCTCTCACTTACTTTATTACGTGTCATGTCATACTCACAAGTTACTCCATGAGGCAAGTTATCTTTGTTTTACACAGATGTGAACTGAAGTCCAGAGAAGGTCATACAGCTAGTAGGCACAGGGCTCCTGGTCCCTTATTTAATGTCCCCTCCCATACCTGGGGTAATATAGATAGTCCTATAAAGGATTATCCATTTAGCCATCAAAATATACACAAATGCTATTCTACATGTTATACGTGGCATATTTTTAGGTGCAGAATTTAAAGGACTGCAGGACTTGGAAGACAGGAGATTCTGTTGGAATTATTTTTCTTTTGCACAGTTTTAAATATACATCACAGTATGTCATAGTTCCATTTTAAAAGTGATGAAGATAATTTAGAGGTGATAGCTTACCCAAAGCCTGCCAAGCCTCACTTTTGGAATCAGTTCCCAGAAACAACTTTTGGATGTATGTCTTAATTACACACACACACACACACACACACACAAACACACACACGTTAAACTATATGGAAATGATGATACTTGACTGAATTTGGCCTATAAAACTACACTTTCATCTCGTTAAACATAATAGAAATATTAGTTATTTGAGTTTACAGTCTCAGCCAGTTTTTTTGCCTGCACCTTTGTGGAGCTATCACTGTGGTCCTAAGAATCCTTTTGTGACAGGAGCAATACCCCGGGTGATATAAGAATCCTTCTCCTTCTGTGTGTCTCCTTCCCAAGAGCTGACATGACTCTCGCTTAGTAGGAGGCCCATGGCAGCTACACAAGGTTACAGGCACCTACTGCCTGCAGAGATGACACCTCATGCTTACTGTAGCGATGAAGCTATCTTCCCAATGGAATTTGTTTATATATTTTGTAACCTGAAACCAAATAAGGCTTTAGGATGATGAGATCTCTCCCACTCTCCCTATCCCCTCTCCACACACGCATCATAGTTTGCCCCAGTTGCTGATGATATATGGTAGTGATCAACGCAGGGTCCTTTCAAGTGATCCTTCGAGTGGAACTAATAGCGTACATCTCCGACGCATTTACCTTGTATTTTTCTCTCTAAGCAGCAAAGTGAAAGTTCATAAAACATTTCATTGTTCAGTCCCACAATTGTGTTACTAATGATGAAGTTGATAAAACATAAATATCCTTTCTGTCCCTCAGGGTACTGTTTAGCATTAGCCAATTATGCCTCTACCGCTTGGTAGCTTAAGTCGCTTAAGACCTTGAGGAAGCTACTTCCCTTTGCTGAATTTCAGTTTCCTAGTCTATGTAAAATCTGAGCAACTATGAAGTACCTCTCAGGATCTTGTGTGTAATTAATGTCTGTAAAATGCAGGCTCTGGGTAAAGATTCATTCCGTCTTTCCTTTTTTCTTTCATATGTATCTGACATGCGGCCAGTGGTACCTATAACCTGCTCAGCGTGCATGTATTTAGTCTCCGAGCAAAACCTCAGTAGTTAGTGAAGTACTTTCATATTCAGCTATAAAAAGAAGGTAGGACTGGTAGTAACCTTATTTTTGTCATGAGGAAACTGAGAACAGAGATGGTAAATAACTTGCACAAGGATAAAATGGACAAAATAGATAAAACATTACCCCTGTTCAGAAGCACAGTAAACAGATGCACCAAATCATGTATTTTCAATGTGATTACACAGTATCTAGTAGGGTTCTATAAACCAATTATAGAGAAGAGATTCTGTCTATATTTGTACAGTAACCACTTGAGACGCCTTGTGGTTAAGATGTTTTGATCATTATCTAGATGAGTGGCTACTAGGAAACCTGAAGCTGAACAGAGCTTCATTTTTACTTAACAGTGGATGAAGGAAAGGGAAGGGGAGAAGGACACTTATATTTCGGTTGAGCACTGACTGTCTACCAGAACATGTGCCACATTCCACAGGCTACATCTTTAAAGGGTCATAGTTGGATGAGGTCAGCATCTTCATTTTACAGATGAGGAAGCTGAAGCTCAGGAAAGTTAAGTAACTTGCCTCAAATCATTCCATCCATAAGAAACTCATATCTTGGCACTCTTAATGCAATTTTTTTTGGAGAGAGTAACAATTTGCAGATGACTTGGAAGATAATTTTATCAAGACCCTCATTCATTCTGTTTGTCCCGGTTATTCCACTAATGTAAGGTTATCGTTTTTTTGTTTGTTTGTTTGTTTTGTTTTGAGATGGAGTCTTGCTCTGTTGCCCAGGCTGGAGTGCAGTGGCGCGATCTCGGCTCACTGCAGCCTCCACTTCCTGGGTTCAAGCAATTCTCCTGCCTCAGCCTCTGGAGTAGCTGGGACTACAGGCGCGCGCTGTCACACCTGGCTAAGTTTTGTATTTTTAGTAGAGATGGGGTTTCACCATGTTGACCAGGATGGTCTCGACCACTTGACTTCATGATCCACCCACCTCGGCCTCCTAAAGTTCTGGGATTACAGGCGTGAGCCACTGCACCCAGCCTAGGTTATCTTAAGAAAATAGTTCAAAATACAGGGAAAATTTTATTGCATAAAATTCTTCCTGAGAGAGTTGATCATCATTGAGAGAAATTGGAAAGAACCTAATAGCCAACATGAGGGCAATGGCTAAGTAAACAATAAATTGTAAAACTTTCAGATGAGCAAATATTACACAGCCAGTGAAAATATTGTTTCCAAAAAAGCTTGTAATAACATGAGAAAATGTTACTGTAAAAAGGCTAAGTGAGAATAAAAAGATATTAGGACAGATATGATGATACATGTATAATCTATATTATACATATAGATTATATATATAGGCTTCCAGGGAGGCCTCAGGAAACTTCCAATCATGGCAGAAGGCAAAGGGGGAGCAGGCGCATCACATGGTGAGAACGAGACCAAGAGACAGCGAGCGTGCCGGGAGATGCCTCACACTTTTCAATGGCCAGATCTCATGAGAACTCACTCATCTCGAGCACAGCGCCAACGGGAATCTGCTAAACCACTCAAGAGAAATCCGCCCCCATGACCCAATCATCTCCCACCGGGCCCCACCTCCAACACTGGGGATTACAATTCAACATGATATTTGGAGGGGGCCATATTCAAACTGTATCAACACCCTGCGTCAAAGCACTGATCATCCTGTACTTAGCTGTTCCAGCTAGGCCAAACGCCTTGCTCACACAGACCATATCTTAATCGACTGTGAATCCCCAGTGTTTGGGGAGTGTTCTATTCTCAATAAATGTTTAGCAAACTTACCAAGTAATTAAACTGGAGGCAGGAGGAGAGGATGAAGGGAAGATGGAAAAGGGGTGAAGGCAATATTGTGTTTTTTATTTTTATTTTTGTTTTGAGACAGAGTCTTGCTCTGTTGCCCAGTCTGAAGTACAGTGGCGCAATCTCGGCTCACTGCAACCTCCGCTTCCTGGGTTCAAGTGATTCTCCTGTCTCGGTCTCCCGAGTAGCTGGGATTATAGGTATGCACCACCACACCAGGCTAATTTTTTTTTTTTTTTTTTGTATTTTTAGTAGAGATGGAGTTTCACCATGTTGGTCAGGCTGGTCTTGAAATCCTGACCTCAGGTGATCCACTGGCCTCGGCCTCCCAAAGTGCTGGCATTACGGTGTGAGCCACTGCACCTGGCTGGTAATATTGTTTATATGAGGGAAACAACACACAATCACATCAAAGTGGACAGTGCTGGCCTTTCCTTTTTTTTTTAAATCATCATATCTCATTTTCGGACTCTTTAATTCTTGCAGAGATGTGCTTTTCACGGTGTTGTCTAAATTCCTGAGAAGATAGATCAGTCCCAAGCAGCATCCCCAACTCCTGCTCAGGCCAATCATCTCCATGGGGCCCCGTGGCTGCTACAAGCCATTTACGCCCCGCTGAGTCAGGGCTGTGAAGCTGGGAGATCTCTGAAGAAGGGTTCAGCTGGCAGGACAGGTACCTGAGGAATTAGGAATGCTTTCCTGCTGTCGTTCTTTCTTTTCATTGCTACAATCTGATTTCTACCATGAAACAACACAAAATCCAGCCCTGCCATACAGGCAAGCAAGATTATGATCTGTTTCTGTCTCTCTCTCCCTTCCTTTTTCCCTTTTCCCCGCCCCTACATACACCCACATACACACTGTGGAAGTGAGAATAAAAAATTAGAGATAACTCTAAATTTCACGCTTTATTTGGGAAGAAAGAATTGCAACTCAGGGCATACAGGCAGACTAAGTGGTTTTTGGTATGTCTAAAGAATGTAAAGGAGGTTGGGGATTTTATGGAAAAAAAAAAAGGGCATGTTCTGTGTGGTCCTGGAGAAAGTTCTTTGGTTTTAGCAAAGCTCTGGGGGCTGGCCAGCTCCATTTGGTGGGTGACTGTGGTGGCCAAAATTAGTCCTAGAGTTGTAGCTGCTGAGGCGACAGATAAAACTGGTCTCAGGCTACAATAGGCAGTTTCAGCCACTAGACTTGCAGAGAATTTTATTTCAAGAGCAATGTCACATGTCCTGAGTGCTCTTTCCCCCCAGCCCTCCACTCTATTTTGGTTGGGTGGATAAGAATGACTCAGCTTGTATGACCAATTTCCACAACACAGAGTATGTTTATGAAGAAGTTACTTTTAGACTGATAGCCCTAGTTTCAAAGTCACTGTCTTCATTATTATTTTTTAACTTATTCCTTATTTTCTTCCACATCAACTTGAAGAAAACTGTAAAATTCGAAACCACATTTTTAAACTTTAAAACTTAATATCTGGCTGGGTGCGGTGGCTCATGCCTATAATCCCAGCACTTTCGGAGGCTGAGGCTGGTGGATCACTTGAGGTCAGGAGTTTGAGACCAGCCTGGCCAACATGGTGAAACCCTGTCTCCACCAAAAAAAAAAAAAAAACAAACAAAAAAAAAAATACAAAAATTAGCCAGGTGTGTTGGTGTGGGCCGTAGTTCCAGCTACTCCAGAGGCTGAAGTAGGAGAATCGCTTGAACCCAGGAGGTGAAGGTTGCTGTGAGCCGAGATCATGCCACTGTACTCCAGCCTGGGTGACAGAGTGGGACCCTGTTTCAAAAAACAACAAAAAAAAAGCAAAAACAAAACAACAACAACAAACTTAATATCTGAGCTAAAAAGGGTAAACGTTTTGGGAAGGGATCTGGTTACTGTGTTTCCTGGAATACAACTCTGTTCTATTTGCAAATCTGTTCTGTTTGCAAATCCCTTTTCCTTTTCCCTATATTCTTAATTTCTTATAGGCTGAAACTCCAAGCCAAGAGCACAATAAAGTTTGAAGAGTTCTATGCAGCAGTTTGGGGACAGGAACCCGTTCCCTCGGAATTCTTGCTGGGTTTGACCCTTTTAACAGAAGGCGGGGACACTGATGGCAGCCTCGCAGATCCATATAAACCTCAACGGAGAAGCCCAAACAAGGGAGACACCTTTCTGCTTTTGACCTAACGAGTAAATCACTGCATGTCTTTTTCAAAAAAAGGAATTGCAGGCTGATTCTGAATGTCCAGCAGCTTCTGTTGGAACTCATAGGGCTAAATGTCTTTCACAGACGGCTTTTATCTCAGACACGGCTATAGGCGTGACTTATTGGTTATTTCCCCTCTGCCTTCACACTGATAAATAATAAAATTCTAACAATCAAAATGAACATGTTTTATTAGCAAAAGAAAAAGCCAATGGGAGTCTATATACAGTACAGATATATCTGTAGTGAAACATATTTCACATTTTAGCCAATCCATTGTTCTTTTTATTGAAAACAGGTTCCTGGATCTCATACCATGGAATAGCTCAGTAGATGAAAGAACGATATTGAGGCTAGAATTTTAAAAAAGACCTCTCCAAGCCTTGATTAAGAAAGAGGGAGATTCAGTGGAAGGGGAAAGTAGCTAAGAACATTAGTTATTAATTACAAGGATAACAGGCCGGGCGTGGTGGCTCACGCCTGTAATCCCAGCACTTTGGGAGGCTGAGGCAGGCAGGTCACCTGAGGTCAAGAGTGTGAGACCAGCTCGGTCAACATGGTGAAACCCTGTCTCTACCAAAAATACAAAAATTAGCCAGGCGTGGTGGCACATGTCTATAATTCCAGCTACTCGGGAGGCTGAGGCATGAGAATTGCTTAAACCCAGGAAGCGGAGGTTGCAGTGAGCTGAGATCGTGCCACTGCACTCCAGCCTTGGTGACACAGTGAGACTCTGTTTCAAAAAACAAAACAAACAAACAAAAAAAACAAAAATTACAAAGGTGACAAAGTCAGGCCCAAACATATTCTGTCTGGGCCTGACTCAGAGAATCAGCCTGTGAAATCACACAGCCCAGAGGGCCAGGACCTGTCCCTGTAATTTCCTACTAAGAGCAAAGCATGAGCAGTTGATGTATTTCACCATAATTACGCATGCAAGAGTATATGTGGTGTGCATACAATGAGAATATTTTTTTCAAATCCAAACTCAGGACACATGGTCTGACAAAGGAGTTCTAAAGAATTTTTCATTTTTAACATAATAAAACAGACAAATCTATTATGTGTGTGTATATATATCTGTATACATATATATAAATAAATATATTTCATACGGCATACCATTGCCAAGTGTTTGGTAGAACTTGGGAAAACTTCTGAGGCTGAATCTGGGCTCAACAAGAAGAATGCTGTGTTGAATAGTGTTGTCTGATAGGCACCCAGGAGGAGAAATCGGCAGCCCACATAGCTCACATTTGCCATCGCTAGACAAGGAACTTGTCAGTGTCATAAAACACATATTAAACCACATTACATATGAAACCACATGTATCATTTCCATTAATGGTATGGTGAGAACGGAATAGGTGTTCTCAATAGAGATGCAACTCTTAAAAAATTGGGAGTAGAAGATCACAATGAATCATCAAAAAATGCAGAGGTTTCAGGTAAAAACTAAACAGATGAGGCAAGCCACACATGTTTATTCTTTGACATTATAAAGTATGTGTACATCATAAAAAAATCACCTTTCTTAATAAAACAAAGTCAGAATTTTCAAGGTGAACGCTAAAAAGAGAATCTCCCAGGTGAGGCAGAGAAGCCAGGCTGAGAAGTTCTCCCTCTGTTCCCCTGAGAGTCACTTCAGCTTTGGCTTCTCATCGACCCTTGCGGCTACCTCCACACCCACCATGGGAGGCTTCCCCAGCTGTGGCCTAAGGGCCCTCCTGGGAGACTCCAAGGCGCAGCTGAGACAAAGCTGAGGGTTCAAAAAGACCTTACCAAAGGCTGATGGATTACAAAGAAGAAATAAAAAGCTAGACCATAATTTGAGGATACCTCAAATTAAGTGAACCCCTAGATGTTCATGGACTCCAGGTTAAAAAAATCTGATATGCATAGGTATATTTTAGATTTATATGCAAAGTGATTTAAATCTTTATTTCCCAAAGTAAAATAATACTTTATGCAAAGGGTCAAACCTACTTCTTGCCAAAAAATTACCTTTTTGGGATTTTTATATGATTTTAAAGTAAGTAAACATTTGGTCTTTTCCCTCTTCAGTTTTATCTATAGACCATGCTAAAAAACAAAACAAAACAAAACAAAAAACCAAGAACAGAGGAACAAGAAGAGCTACTTGATGTAAAGAAGTGACTGAAAGAAAAGTTCAGAGAAGAATTTAGGAATTTGAGAGAACTTGAAAAACATGATCCAGAAAAAAAGAGGCAAAAAGTAAATGTATTTTAAGAATTATACTTGGCCCACATTCCATTGTTTTACATTTGAGGATTTTTCAGATTAAAAAACATATATTTATTATAGACAAATTGGAACCTATAGAAAAATATAATCAAGAAAATGTAAATCACCTAATAATGTCATCACTCAGATCAACACTATTATTATGTTGGTTAACAAATTTTTAAATATAAATAAAACAAAATTTGTGATCATCCTCAATTATTATTATTTTGTTAATGTTGTTATCATTATGTCATGAACATTTCAACAGATCATTAATTAGATTTTTGACATGAATTTTAATATCCACCTAAGATTTTATCAAATGGATATATTATAATTTAACAATTCCCCCAAACTGGTAAATTATTACCAGTTATTCACTATTATATTTACTATGTTTAAGACTTTAATGGATATACTTAAATATTTATTCATTTATTTCCTTCAGGCAAAACATAATTGTGACTATCTTTAGGAATATTTTTAAAACCGCTCTCCAGAAACTTACACCAATTTACCTTATTACTAACAGTACATATGCACATCAGCGTTAGCTTTCGCCCTGGCCTATGTTGGGTGTATTGGTTATCTATTGCTGCGTAAAAAATTACCTAGAAGTTTGCCAGCCTAAAACAATAAACGTTTATTTTCTCATGGTTTCTGGAGGTCAGGAATTTGGGCTGGGAGTCTCTGGCCCGGAGCTCTCATGAGACTGCAAGTTCAGCTGCTTGCCAGGGCTGTAATCACCTCCCAGTTCACATGGGGGAGGATCTACTTCCAAGCTCACTCATTGGCTATCATCCAGATGTTATCAGGTCTTCGCCATGTGGGCCTCTCCACGGCGCAGCTCACAGCATAGCAGCTGGCTTCCCTCAGATTAACAGAATGAGAGAGAGTGCCCGAGGAGGAAGCACCAGTCTTTTTAGAACCTCATTTTGGAAGTAATATTCCATCAATTTGTCATATTCTATTTGTCAGAGCAAGTTACTACGTCCGGCCCATATTCCAGGGAAGGGGATTACACAAGGAAGGGCATGAATACCAACAGATGGGATCACTGCGGCCGTTTAGAAGCTGCCTATCATAGTATATTACCTATCAAAGTACCCTTATTTCAAAATTAAGCTTTGCCAAAAGTAGTAACTCAATTTTATTTTACTTTTTTCATATTTGATTGCCTGTACAGTTGACCATATTATTTATTTACTAATAAGCTAATATTTGTCTAGTAAGTTTTTTGTTTTGTTTTGTTTTTTGTTTTTTTTTTGAGACGGAGTCTTGCTCTGTTGCCCAGGCTGGAGTGCAGTGGTGCGATCTCGGCTCACTGCAAGCTCTGCCTCCCGGGTTCACCCCATTCTCCTGCCTCAGCCTCCCGAGTAGCTGGGACTACAGGCGCCTGCCACCACGACTGGCTATTTTTTTGTATTTTTAGTAGAGACGGGGTTTCACCGTGTTAGCCAGGATGGTCTCGATCTCCTGACCTCGTGATCCGCCCGCCTTGGCCTCCCAAAGTGCTGGGATTACAGGCGTGAGCCACCGCGCCCGGCCCTTATCTAGTAAGATTTCTTACAACAAATAGACATTTGTTGGCTCACAGTTCTGGAGGCTGAGAAGTCCAGTGTCAAGGCACCAGCATCTGGCAATGGGCTTCTTGCAGCATCATAACATGGCTGAAGGGTGAAAGGGTGAGAGAAAGAGAGAGAGAGAAAGAGAGAGACTGTAAGAGCTGGCAAACCCATTCCCATGATAATGAACCCATTCCCACAATAACAGCTTTAGTAACCTAACTACCTCTTAAAGTTCCCACTTCTCAATACCATCACAATGACAAATTTCACCATGAGTTTTGGAGTGGATGTTTGTTAAACAATAGTATAATATAATATTTATTGAACATTTACTATGAGCCAGGTATTGAGTTAAGCATTTTGTATGCATTTTCTAATGTAATCTTCCCCATGATCCAATAAGGTAGGCACTTTCATTATCAAAACCATTTTACACATGAGGAAACTGAGGCACGGGATTAAAGTTATCAAATGTTATATAACTGGTGAGGGAGCTCCACAGTCTGTGCTCTTAACCATTATCTTACATGCGTCTTATGCTCATGTGTGTATTTGTGCTTTTACACATATGTATATGTGCATAAACAATATAGACAATTGTGTTTTAAAACTACATATAAATGATATCACGTTGTACAAATATTTTTGCAATTTTCTTTTTTCACTGAGCGTTGGTTTTGAGATTTATCCGTGTTGATAGATGCAGGCACATTTAGTCATTTTAACAGTCTTGTGGAATTCCATTGTGTGAATGAACCACAGTTTAGCCATTTTCCACTGAGGGGAGGTTAGTTTCATTTTTTTCACAGTGAGATAAAATGCTACACTGAACAGCTTTCCGTATGTCTTTTGGGGCACATTTGCATGACTTTCTCTAGAATAGATAACTCAAATGGATTTTTTGGCTACTGGGGCTTGTGTCTCTCCAAAATGAATGTGCCCATTTATTTACCAGCAATGTGTAAAAATTCCCGTATTGTATGTCTCTGACATGGTTTGGATCTGTGTCCCTGCCCAAACCTCATGTCAAATTGTAATCCCCAATGTTGGAGGTAGGACCCGGTGGGAGGTGATTGGATCATGGGGGCAGTTTAGTACCATCCCCCTTGGAACTGCTGTCGCGATAGTGAGTTCTCACGAGATTTGGTTGTTTAAAAGTGTGCAGCCTCTTCCTCCTCTCGCTCTTCCTCCTGATCCAGCCATGTAAGATGCTCTTGCTGCCTCTCTGCCTTCTGCCATGATTGTAAGTTTCCTGAGGCCTTCCCAGAAGCCGAGCAGAAGCTGCCACGCTTCCTGTACATCCTGTGGAACTGTGAGCCAATTAAACCTCTTTTCTTTGTCAATCACCCAGTCTCAGGTATTTCTTTATAGCAGTATGAGAATGGACTAATAAAATCTCTAGCTGTATTAGTTTGCTAGGGCTGTCAAAACGAAGTATCACTAGCTGGGTAGCTTAAACAGCAGAAATGTATTTGCTACAATTCTGGTGGCTGCAAGTCAAAGATCAAGGTGTCACTGGAGTTGGTTTTCTTCTGCGGCCTCTCTCCTTGGCTTGCAGGTGTCCATCTTTTTGTGTCTTTACATGGTCTTCCTTCTGTGTGCATTGTGTCTTAATTTCTTCTTCTTAAAAAACACGAGTCAGATTAGATTAGAACCCCTCCCTAATAACCATATTTTATTTCACATTAATTAACTCTATCCAAATGTATTTATTTATAGAGACAAGGTCTCACTATGTTGCCCAGGCTGGTCTTGACCTCCTGGCCTCAAGCAATCCTCCTACTTCAGTCTCCCAAAGTGCTGGGATTACAGGCATGAGTCACCATGCCTGGCCTTAATTATCTCTTCAAAGACTCTATATTCAAATACAGTTACATTCTGAGGTGCTGGGGGCTAGAACTTCAACATATGAATGTTGAGGGAATACAATTTAGCCCACTCACACTTGTCAACACTTGGGCTTATCAGTCTTAATAATTTTTATCTGTGAAAGTTGACGGACTCAAAATTGGAGTCACTTGTGTTAAAAATCCTGACAAATAGGGCTGGGGAAGACCATGGAAGGGAGGTCTCTCACAAATGCCCAGGTGTTTGAGACGAGCCTGGGTGACATAGGGAGACCCTGTTTACAAAAACAAAATAAAACCACCTCCCACTCCCCAAACTTTGTCAACTAGCAATGGCTGTTTGCTCTCTCTCTGTGGTTGAAAAGAAAGATTTTCTTTCAGTCCTGAAGAAGTTGGCCTGGCAGCTGAAAGAATATTTTGATGATTTCCTGAAGAGAGGAAACCTTATAAACAGTCCAACTGGCATTAGTTATTTGGATTTCCTGAGAAACTTCCAGGGTCACAGCAATGACAGGGATCATGTACCATATTCTCTCAATGCCCACACACAGGTTACTGCCTGCCCCTCTAGACTGGGAATGCCATTCTTCTAATCCACTGAGTCCTACCAGTCCCAGTGAGAAATGTTCAGGGAGGCTCAGCTCCTTCGATTCCTTCCGTGTGTGGTGCTGTCTTCCCGGAGACCCTATGCTAACGGACAAGGGGTATCCTGGTCCACGGATGGTCCATGAGCAGTCGACCTCTAGGAACAAAAGTGCTATAGGAATGAAATTACTCCATGTTGTTACCAAAATTATTGGTATTATTGTTAAAATTCCTTTTTTTAAAAAATTTTGAGACAGTCTGGCTTTGTCACCCAGGCTGCAGTGCAGTGGCAATGTTAGCTCATTGAAACCTCCAATTTCCAGATTCAAGCGATTCTCCTGCCTCAGCCTCCCGAGTAGGTAGGATTACAGATGTGTGCCACCAGACCTGGCTAATTTTTGTATTTTTAGTAGAGATGGGGGTTTTGCCATTCTGGCCAGGCTGGTCTCGAACTCCTGGCCTCAGGTGATCTGCCCACCTTAGCCTCTCAAAGTGCTGGGATTACAGGCATGAGCCACCAGGCCTGACCTGAAATCACTTTCATGTAAGAACCAGTCTGCTTTCCCTAGCTGAGGAGGTTACTGCTGTGTATAGGAGGAGAGGTACTGATTCAGTATGACTCATTTCCCCTGGACAGCTCCTTCATTTTCCCCAGTGCCACACTGTATTTTTAGCTTTGGCCTTCTACAGCGCTTGACCTTTTGCCTGGATAGAACAATGTGCTATGTAGTGCAAACCCACAGCCTTCCCTGCCCCATGCAACATAGGGGATGAATATATTAGATTATGCCTTCTTTGGCAGATCTGCAATTTAGGTAGGACAAAGCAATACTGCTTATACACACACACACACACACACACACACACACACACACTCCTTTGGTAACATTGCCGCCACCTCTTCTGCCATCTGATGCAAGAGATTAGTATAATCTTAATATTTATGAAAATATTTATAAAATGTGGACAAGAATCCTTGTACCAAAATATTAATTCTACTCATTCTAGACTAAGAAACAGAAACAACCTTTAAAAATAGAAGAGTAGTTAAATAAATCATGGATTATCCATACAATGAAATGCCAAGCAGGTATTAAAAATGATTACAATGAATTTTTAATGAAATGGGAAAACCCTAAATATGAAATATTAAGTAAAAAGTCTTAAGCCAAAAACTATAAATACAACATTATTAACAACAGGCTATGCCCGTGCTTGTCTCACCGAGCCCACTGTCACAGCCTCAACCAGCAGTGAGCCCCTTCAATCCATCCTCCACATTGAAGCCAGAGAGGTCTTCTTAAATTGAATCTAACCTTGTCCACTCTACACTCAGGCTCTCTAGTGACTCTCCTACTGATGTTCAGACTCATTGACATGGGTTCCAGGGTAGCAGAGGGCTCTGGAACCCATGTCAAGGAGCCTACCCGCAGGAAGATGTTCAGGCTCACTGACATGGGTTCCAGAGCCCTCTGCTATCCTGGTCCTGGCACCGCCTCAGCATATGTGGGTGTCCTATTCCCCCATCTTAAGCAGCGTGCTTTATATTGCCTAGACTTTTGCACATGTTCCGAACAGAAAGTCCGTGCCTTCTTTTTGTCTTCATATCTTCTTCTCAGGTGGTCCGAGTGCAGTCACAACCAGTTAAGGATTTCTTTGTTCCTTCTCCACTCCCACTGCTTCACTTGACTAGCCGAAAAAAACAAAAAAAAGACATCTTCTTCTCATCCTTCAAATCTCAGATTAGCCCTCATTTCCTCAGGAATGCTTTCCTCATCTCCACCAGGATCTCCTCACCCCTTCTCCATGCTTTTATTCCTCTCTGCGTGTCCCCTTACAGTAGAACCTATTGCCTATTTTTTTTTTTTTTTGGGGGGACAGAGTCTTGTTCTGTCACCCAGGCTGGAGTGCAGTGGCATGATCTCAGCGCACTGCAACCTCCGCCTCCCGGGTTCAAGCAATTCTCCTGTCTCAGCCGCCTGAGTAGCTGGGATTACAGGCACGTGCCACCATGCCTGGCTAATTTTTGTATTTTTAGTAGAGATTGGGTTTCACCATGTTGGTCAGGCTGGTCTCGAACTCCTGACCTTGTGATCCACTCACCTTGGCCTCCCAAAGTGCTGGGAGTACAGGCATGAGCCACTGCGCCCGCCGAACCTATTGCCTTTTAAAGTAACTGCTGATTTCCTTACGAATGAAAGCTGGATCTATGCCTGTCACGTTCATTATTTGCTGCCAGGAAACAGCGCCACAGGGTAGGGCACTCATTAACTGTTGAAAAATCAATAGTGATAAGCTCCCATTGGTTAATAGAGATTTTCTCTCTGAGGTATTCACTTTTGAGTGGTTTAAAATTTCTTCTTTATTCTCATACTACAACAAGTTTTTTTTTTATTGTGGTAAAAAAATTCTGACATTAAATTTTACCACCTTCCTGTGCGCGGTGACTCACCCCTGTAATCCTAGCACTTTGGGACGCCGAGGTGGGCGGATTGCCTGAACTCAGGAGTTCAAGACCATCCTGGCAACATGGCAGAAACCTGTCTCTACTAAAAACACAAAAAATTAGCATGGTGGTGTGTGCCTATAATCCCAGCTACTCGGGAGGCTGAGACACGAGAATTGCTTGAACCTGGGAGGCGGAGGTTGCAGTGAGCCGAGACTGTGCCACTGCACTCCAGCCTGAGACTCCATCTAAAAACAAATAAAAGAATAAATAAATTTTACCACCTTAACCATTTTTTAAGTGTACAGCTCAGCAGTGTTAGGTGCATTCACACTGTTGTGCAACAGATCTGCAGAACTTTTTCATCTGGAAAAACTGAAACTTTTGTAAAACAAAAATAAAATTCTAAGTTTCCCCAAGTGATTGAATGGACCCTCTCTGAGCAAATGGGACTCCAGAAAAACCTGAAAAACTGAATTCCCAGCCATCATGGGAAGGGAGGTAGGACACACCTACACCTTCCCTTTGGAGTTTTGGCACAACTGACCAGCATTAACATTACAATAGACATGTTAAGCCTGACAAAACAGACTCTTTGTGGCAATAAGATACAAAATTCCAACCTGACTCTGGTATAGCATCATATGACAGACAGTAGACCTTGAGGAAAATAAAATTATTTTACCCCAAAATATATTTCTTTGACATATTTTGAAATGGTCCTGCAAAGTCTTCTGTGGGGGAAATTTGCATCTGTAGAGGATTTCTGTCAATGCAGCCAGGCCTTTCCTGGATCTAGGAGAGATTAACTAAGAGTCTGACACCTGTTTTTTTTGTGTGTGGTTTTTTTTTTTTTTTTTTTTTGGAGATAAACTCTTGCCCTGTCACCCAGGTTGGAGTGCAGTGGCATGATCTTGGCTCACTGCAACCTCCACCTCCTGAGTTCAAGCAATTCTCCTGCCTCAGCCTCCCAAGTAGCTGGCACTACAGGCATGTGCCACCACACCCAGCTAATGTGTGCGTTTTTAGTAGGGATGGGGTTTCACCATGTTGGCCAGGCTAGTCTCAAACTCCTGACCTCAGGTGATCTGCCTGCCTCAGCCTCACCAAGTGCTGGGATGACAGGCATGAGCCACGGGGCCTGGCCTTGACACCTTTTACGGTCTGAAAAGACACATTTGCCATCTATTCTCTCTGAAGGCTGCTACCTGGAGGCTTCATCTACGTAATAAGAACCTTGGCTTCTGCAATCCCCCTTATCTTAATTCAAGCATTTCTTTCTAGACTTCAAGTCTTTAGACAAAGCTTAATTCTTTCAACTAATTACCAATCAGAAAATCTTTGAATCTGCCTATGACCTGTAAGCACCTTACCCACCTTCCACTTCCACTTTGAGATGTCCTCACTTTCCAGGTTGAACCAATGTACACCTTACATGCATTAATTTGTATCTTTGTCTGTAACTTCCGTCACCCTAAAATGTATAAAACCAAGCTGTAATCTGACCATCTTGGGCATGCCTTCTCAGAACCTCTTGAAACTGTTCCCTGGGCATGGCCACTCGTGCTGGCTCAGAATTAACCTCTGTAAATGTTTTACAGGGTTTGGTATTTTGTCAACACACTACATCCACTAAACACTAATTGCTCCCACCCCTTTCTGGGAACTTCCTTTCTACTTTCTGTTTCTACAATTTTGACTACTTTAGATACTTCAGAGGAAAGGAATCATGCAGTATTTATGACTGGCTTATTTCTCTTCGCATAATGTCTTTGAGAGTCGTCTATCTTAAAATACTTTTTTATGATATGAACTGTTACCTCTATAACTAGAAAATAAGTTTTAATAGAATCGTAGGAGCTAAAAGTGACTCTAGAACTTATTTTGACCTATTTCCCCAACTTCATACTTTACTTTTTCTAGATGATGTAAACCAAAAATAAAATTCTAAGCTCCCCAACTGACTAAATGGGTCCCCTTCTCAGCCAAGGGCATTCCAAAGTCAACCTGAAAAACTAGTTCCGGTCATGATGGGAAGGGGGGTTAGATATGCTTGCCTTATTGTTCCCTCCTCCTTTTGGAATTCCGGGCACAACTGACAGCATTAACATTAAAACAGAGCTCTTAAGACTGACAAAATAGTCTCTGTAGCAAAAAGATACCAAATTCTAACCTGACTCTAGTGTAGCATCACAGGACAGATAGCAGCCCACAAACACACTGAAGTATTTAACTCTGAAATATATTTCATTGACATATTTTTAAATGGCCCTGCAAAGCTGTCTCTTACAGGGAAAATCTGCATTCTGTAAAGAATCCCCTTCCCTTTTCAGGTCTTTTCCTGATCCAGGAGAGATGAACTGAGTCTGGCACCTTTTTAAGTCTGATGAGAAACATTTACCATCTATTCTCTCTGAAGCCTGCCACCTGAAGGCTTCATCTGCATAAGAACTTTTGTCTCCATAACACCTTATCTTAACCCAGACCTTCCTTCCTATTGATTCCAGGTCTTCAGATCATAATTTAACTTTTTTTAACCAATTGCCAATCAGAAAATCTTTGAATCCACCTATGACCTGGAAGCTCCTGCTTCGAGCTGTGCCGTCTATTTGGACTAAACCAATGTACATCTTACATGTATTGATTGATGTCTGCCTGTAATTTCTGTCCCGCTAACATGTATAAAATCCAGCTGTCAATCAACCACCTGGGCCTTGGTCACTCATATTTCGCTCAGAATAAACCTCTTTAAATAGTTTACAGAGTGACTCTTTTTTTTTTTTTTTTTGAGACAAAGTCTCGCTCTTGTCCCCCAGGCTGGAGTGCAGTGGTGCGATCTCTGCTCACTGCAACCTCTGCCTCCCAGGTTCAAGCTATTCTCCTGCCTCAGCCTCCTGAGTAGCTGGGATTACAGGCACCTGCCACCATGCCCAGCTAAATTTTGTATCTTTAGTAGAGACAGGGTTTCACCATGTTGGTCAGGCAGGTCTTGAACTCCTGACCTCAGGTGATCCACCCACCTCGTCCTCCCAAAGTGCTGGGATTACAGACGTGAGCCACCGCGCCCAGCCCAGAGTGACTCTTTTCATTGACACTAGATGAGAAGCCCAAAGACAGAAAAGAAACTTGCCAAAGGATAAAGATTGACTAATGGTAAAATTGAGCCCAACTCATATATAAATAAGTAATAAAAGTAAATTTTAGTCCTTTTACACATTATAGCACTTTTCAGCCTTTTATTTTCTACTAG
Source organism: Homo sapiens (assembly GCF_000001405.40). Classification (NCBI taxonomy): domain Eukaryota; kingdom Metazoa; phylum Chordata; class Mammalia; order Primates; family Hominidae; genus Homo; species Homo sapiens. The sequence continues at coordinate 185,107,219 of NC_000004.12, read as the reverse complement.
TATTAGCTGTTTAAAAATAATTTTGTTCTCTAATATTTCATTTTGTATTTGAAGCACAACTAATCTGCCTAGAGAACAACAATTCTGTTAAAGATTGTCCTTTTTCAATTTGTTTATAAAATGCATTCCATTGGTGTTCAGATTTGACATTCTGGGCATGGGGCATCCTGTTGGCATTAAGAATAAAAGGCTTCCTCAGGTTTGTGGGAGAATTTGATTCCTGAGCCACTCAGATCTCACAGGGCTGGAGTCACCAGCAAAATGTCACAGAGATATTTTAGTTCAGCTGCTTACAATTACACATTTTCTCCTCCTGAAAGAGAAAGATCCCATAAGTGACAGTTTGTCAAATAGCTACCAAAGAAGACCCTCTTGTTTTCAGGGCCCAAACTAATTAGTTAGCTCAACAAACATGGATTACGAGTCCACCACTGGCCCTGTTGTCAGTTAGAGACAAATTTAAGACACTTATTTCTTGAGTTGGTGAAAAAGAAAATGAGATAATCAGTGCCATTGAGAGCTAAGGGTCATAGCAGTTATGGAATAAAACCCCTTCATTTTATTGCATATGAGAAACCGAAGTCCAGAGAGGGACCCAGGGGCAAATGGCTAGTCAGTTATGCGCTAGACCTTGAGATTCCTGCTTCTGACTCCCAGGCCAGGGCTCCAGGCAGTGCCCTAAGTGGTCAAGTAGGACATGACAGCCCCCTCATTGTATGCAGGCTCAGTGTGAAAAGAGAGACAAAAACTCACTCAGCTGCTTTTCTTAGAATTTTATTCTTCTTTTCTAATTTACGTGTCAGGGTGATTTTCAGTCTTGTCTTAGTATCTGTACTGGTTTTGAATCATGAGGAGAAAACTCTGGAGATTTCCAGCCCGCAGTGATTTAGGCTAGCTTGACAGGATAGTCCAACATGGATGGATTATCTTTCTTTCTTCCAATAGATAGAACGAGGAAAGGAAATTGCAAGCCTCAACTGAGACTAGGCCCCGTGATATATAGTGTATTTACCTTGGTTTATGTGAAATAATGGCTAAAACCTGCTTGGGGAGGATCTTTTGCTTGATGTTTTCGGTTTTGTTTATGACTGGAAGATAGGAATCCTTTCCTATCTAAATGTGAGGTTGCAGCACATTTTGGCAATTTTTCTAACATAAACACATTTTGTATGTTAAGATTTGAAGGAGAATAGACTCCCAAATGTTTTATTGTGCATTGCCCATAGAGTACTCTAAAATGCAGTGAAAATAATTTTAGAAATTTTGATTAAATGATAGATTGCTTCACATTTTATATTACTGTATGACTTTATAAGCTTATGTTACTGATATGAAACTTAGTGAATATATGTACAAATAAATAATTGCAATTCTTTGAAATGTAGGCAAAAATTATCACATCATTACGACACTTTGTTCTGTAGGGTTGCAAGAAAAGAAATAATATCCTTTGGACAAAAAAGTACCCCAAGCCAGGTGTGGTGGGGTGTGCCTGTAGTCCAAGCTACTCGGGAGGCTGAGACGGGAAGATCACTTGAAGTCAGGTGTTCAAAGCTGCAGTGAGCCACGATCACACCACTGGACTCCAGCCTGGGTAACAGAGTGAGACCTCATCTCAAAAACAAACAAAAAGTATCTCAATTTATAAAAGCATCTCAATTTGTTGCAGAATATCCACACAAATGAGGAGTATGTTTAAATTTATGTAAATTAGTTTAAGGGAATGCACATTGTAACATTTGTTAAATACTGTCCTGTAACTATTGCTGTTGATTGGATACTCAGCAAAGTGACACTGTTAGACAGGACTAGTGCTTTCCACAGTCCCTCAACAGGTGCTGTAGTTTCAAAATTACCCAAACGTTCTTCTCCATTGGGCAGAAATTATTTTCTGTGTATAACTTTTGGTAACGTAGATGGTCAGAGGTTCCATGTTTCTCAGTGTGGTGGTCACCAGGTGGATTTCATACTACAGCAGGTCCCTGTTTTCTCAACTGCTCTCTTTCCAGAGCTAAAAGCTGACGTGAATCTTGCTCACAACATGTAGAGTGGAAACCCGCTCAAGCACATTCAGTAAAAAGTCAACCAGCCAAGTGAAAGTGGATGAGCAAGAGGGCAGAGGTGAATGACTGAGGGTCTACTAAGAAGTGTTCCCCAGAGACAAATTAACTATCAAGTATTTCTGATGGACTCCCCCAAAGGAGTAAGGAAACTTTGCCAGTATTTACTTTCAATCTGTCAATTTTAGACTATAAGTTATTTCAACATAATTTACTTTGGCAGTTATATCATGTGTGTTTACTTATGTGCCAGAGTTCTGCAGGCAAAAGAATGGCCCAATTCAAGTGACAGCTTTTTAGCTTTAAGATGTTTTCAACAAAATGCTAATACTTTTACCTCTCAGAATAAATAACTCAGTTCCCTCCTTTTGAGGAGACTCAGAATTAGAAAACATTCTGGCTAAATAAAATTGGATCTAGGTCAGCTCTTTCATTTGACAGAGGAGGAAACTGAGGCACAGAGAGGCGAAGTGACTTTTTCCTAAATCTCATGGTTAATTATTGGCAGAACCTGGACCAGAACTCAAGTTTCTTGATTCTCAGTTCATTGCTCTTCTCCACTTAAAATCTGTTTTCCTCAAACATGGCTTTTTACTTCATCATATAAACATTTTCTCAGTTCTACATCTCAGCTCACCCTCACGGGTCCATCCTTTTCTGGTTCCTTTCTACATGCCACCTTTCTGGCAAGCTCTTTCTGGAGTGCAGTGGCATGATCTCAGCTCGCTGAGACCTCTGTCTCGTGGGTTCAAATGATTCTCCTGCCTCAGCCTCCCTAGTAGCTGATATTACAAGTGTGCGCAACCACACCTGGCTAATTTTTGTATTTTTAGTAGAGACGGGGTTTCGACCATGTTGGCCAGGCTGGTCTCGAATTCCTGACCTCAAGTGATCCACCCACCTCTGCCTCCCAAAGTGCTGGGATTACAGGCGTGAACCACCACACCAGCCCCTAGCAAGCTCTTTCTGAAGAGCAGGCTGCTCCTCCCACTCTCTCACTGCCGCTCAGTCCAGTGGCTTGGCTTCTTTGCCCTTGAACTTGCTCTCTCCAAGGTGTCCAGTGACAATGTCCACCCTCCAGTCCTTAGTTTATTTGACTTCTCTGCAACATTAAACTCTACTGTCCACTCACTCCTTCCTAAAACCACGCATTTTTTTCTTCTTGGCTTCTATGATACAATCTCCTGGTTTTCTTCTCTCTCTGGCTTCTCCTTCACGGATTCCTTGATGGGGTCTAGTTTCTCACATCTTAAATGCTTGTATGGCCCAGTTACTCTTCTCATGTATATGTTCTTAGACGTGCTGTCGGGCACATCATGGCTCCAACATCACCTCTGTGAGGATGACTCTCATGCCCACATATCTGGCTCAGACCTCCCTCTATCTCTCCCCGCCCCCACCTTTTTTTTTTTTTTTTTTTTTGAGACAGGGTCTCACTGTTACCCAGGCTACAGTGCAGTGGCACAATCAATCACACAACTCACTGCAGTCTCAAACTCCTGCGATCACGCAATCCTCCCACCTCAGCCTCCCAAGTAGCTGGAACTACAGGTGCACACACCATGCCTGGCTAATTTTTTATGTTTTTGTTTTTTGTAGAGTTGAGATCTCCCTATGTTTCCCAGGCTGGTCTCCAACTCCTGGCCTCCAGCAATTCTCCCACCTGGGCCTCCCAAAGCACTAGGTTTACAGATGTGAGCCACCATGCCCAGCCTCAGACATTTCTTTTGAGTTTCAGCCACATATATCTACTATAAACTTCATCTCAAATTCACCACATTCAAAACCTGTGCCACTTCCTCTACCTTCTGTATCTTAGTGTCTGTACAAATCAGAAAACAAAGTAACCTAGACTCCCATTCTCCCTCAACTCACACTTAACAAGCCACCAAGTAGTACAGAATCTATTGCTTTATCATCTCTCCTGTCTTCTCCCTCGTCTCTACCTTGAGCAGACACTGTTTTGTCTTGCCTGGACTACAGCAGTAGCTTCTTAGCTGCCCTTTCTGCCTCCAGTCTGCCCACCCCTACATATTGCTGGACCCTCAAATACTGCTGGATGTATGACCCTTCTATTTATTTATTTTTTTGAGACAAAGTCTCACTCTGTCACCCAGGCTGGAGTGCAGTGGCGTGATCTTGGCTCACTGCATCCTCCATCTCCTGGCTTCAAGCGATTCTCCTGCCTCAGCCTCCCAAGTAGCTGGGATTACAGGTGTGCACCACCAGGTCCAGCTAATTATTTTTGTTTTTTTTTTTTTGAGACAGAGTCTCGCTCTGTTGCCCAGGCTGGATATTTTTGTATTTTTAGTAGAGACGGGTTTCACCATGTTGGCCAGGCTGGTCTTGAACTCCTGACCTCAGGTGATCCACCTGCCTCGGCCTCCCAAAGTGCTGGGATTACAGGCATGAGCCACAGTGCCCAGCCTGTATGACCCTTCGAAACTGCAAATATGATTAGAACCCTTTGGCATGCATGCCAGGTCTTGCATTCTCTGGGTATGGCCTTCCTCTCCAGCCTCGTCTCCCTTCACCCCCGCACATCCACCTTCCATCTCAGCCTCTCCAAACCACATACAAGCTCTAAGATGCACTGTGCTGTTTCTTGCCTCCAGTTCCCTTCATGTGCTGTTCTTGAAATGCTCCTCCCTTTTTTCTCATTCACTCACACTCATCCTTTAAGTTCAGTCTAAGTGTCGCCTCCTCAGAGAGCCTTCTTGCATTCTTCCATCTGACCTAGATGCCTCCTCTCCTCCCTGACTCTCTCACAGCACCCACTCCATACCCTATTATAATTGTTTCTAAACTGTAAACTCTCAAAGACCGAGTGTATTTTCAGCCTGGTGTATTAATATCGCATTTACAGATTTTACTTGAGTTTTTCCAGTAATGTAGCATATGCATTACAGCACAAGGTGATTATGTGCCCCCAACTTTCTCTGCTTTCCGGAGCTCCCAGGTGAGGGGTCTGGAGGCATGCGCAAGACCATCTACTGCTCAGAGCCGGGAGTTGCAGGTGCCACCTCCTTCCCCTAACCATGCCCCCTGACCTCTCCCTACTCTTGCGAGTGAGCCTCATGGCCAGGCTGCTGCGGAGCCAGGAAATGGGATGTCTGGATGCCCTGCTGCTGGACTGCCACAGCTTCCCAGGCCATCTTCTTGGCCCCTCCCTACCCCCACCCCAATAAGACTGGGTGAGAGGGGAGGTGTTGATGCTCGTTCTGCTGACTGGCCCCTTTGTGGGGAGATGGCTGGCCCCAAGACAAGAGATGGTGGTTCTCTAAGCATAGAAGGTGGGAAACTCAGCATCTTTTCTTTTCTCAGTCAATTCCAGAAGTAACGGTAATAGCCAAATTCTTCTTGTGGGCCAAGAGCAATTTTGAGGGCTTTACATTTAATCCTTGTGGTAACCCTATGACGAATGAATTAACTTTATTATTCTCAAGTGACATATGACGAAATTGAGTGAAAGAATGGTTAAGTAACTTAACAAAGTCATGAGCTAGTAAGTGGCAGCGCAGATTCAAACCAAAGCAGGCTGGTGCCAGAGCCCTTCTGTGTGCCCCCGGGGCTCCACTGCCTGTCTCCTCAACCAGATGTTACAGGGAGGTTCACTGACACCCACGGCGATGGTCCAGAGCACTGCTTGGCAGCCAGGCGTTCCTCCCTGCGCCTCAGTGACCTCATGGGATCATGGTGCTTCTCTTTGCCCCTCATTTAATTTTACCTGCTGGATGTGGTTTTCAAGTTACAACATCTCTTGGTTGGCCCCCCATGGGTTTTTAAAAATATTTCTCTTAGAGTTTAATTATTAGTCATCTGCCCACTATTTATTTGTACTTTTCATGACATTTACTTTCATATGCTTTTACTGCTTTTTTTAATTGATAAAGTAATATGCACTCATGATAAGCTATGCCAATTGCAAAAAGTGGACAGTACGTAGAACAAAGGTATACCTTTTGTTCACAACTTAAATGTGGTAATAAAATGTATGCTTTTTCTGTGACTAATCTAGCCTTGTTTCTAACTCCATCCTCACCTTACCTCTCTGCCACCCCCACCCACAGACTAGCGGCAAAAAATTAAAAAATAATAATAACTCGTGGCTCACACCTGTAATCCCAGCACTTTGGGAGGCCGAGGCAGGCGGATCACGGGGTCTGGCTAACACGGTGAAACCCCGTCTCTATAAAAATACAAAAAATTAGCCAGGCACGGGGGCGGGCGCCTGCAGTCCCAGCTACTCAGGAGGCTGAGGCAGGAGAACGGCGTGAACCCAGGAGTTGGAGCTTGCAGTGAACCAAGATCGAGCCACTGCACTCCAGCCTGGGAGACAGAGCCAGACTCCGTCTCAAAAAATAAATAAATAAATAAATAAATAATAATAACAACTCAGTGTCTGATCTTGGTTAAATCTCAGTCTGCCTGGTAGTTTCAGCTGTGCTTTAGTGGGGAGGGGGGGTTCGGCCTGTCTTGGAGGAAAGGGTCAATCTCCCAGAGAGCTTGTCCTTCACCCTGCTCCTCTCAATGAGGAGAGGCAGGGACGCGGTGCAGCTGTATGGCCTGGAAGCCAACATTCTCGCATCTACTGGGTGTCTGTCTGCTATTCCCTGGCTTCCCCGGCCCCTGGGCAATGCTCTCTAGCCATCAAGGACACCCTGAAGACCCCTGGTGCTGAAGTTGAGTGTGGAGGTCGGGGTCTTGTGTGGGGACAATGCTCCTGGTGGGTCTTCCTGGCTGCCCTGACCTCAGCCAGACTCCTGACAGCCCTGCCACCCTTCTGGGTCTGGGGAAGCCTCCATTCAACCCTACTCAGGTGGTCTTTCTGCAGCCCTCCACAGAGCCAGTTTGCCCTGGCCACAGCAACTGCCCCTGGTCAGCTTCCCAGCCAGGGCTAGTCAGCACAGGGACCCAAGAGCAGCTCAGGAAAGCTAGGCGTGGGTGCTTCTTCCTCTTCATCACAATGCACAACTAAAGCGTGTCTCACCGTGGCTGTGCTGGGTTGGAATGGGACACCCACGAGGCAGTCCTCCCCAGAGCCCCACGAGGCAGTCCTCCCCAGAGCCCCACGAGGCTGTCCTCCCCAGAGCCCCACGAGGCTGTCCTCCCCAGAGCCCCAGGCAGAGCGCTTTGGGAGGGTGCAGCTTCTCTCTCTGCCCTTACTGTTGCTTGCACTTACTTTCTTCACCATCCCTCCTGGATGTATTTAAAAACAAAACAAAGCATGGCCTGTCACTGACTAGAGTGTTATTTTCTTTACTGTGCGAGAGAATCCAACATGTATGAGTCCCGAGGCTTAGGTGCTTGTATACTCAAGGGGCAGATAAAGGAGTCTGAATCTTTTCCTTTTTCTCAGTAAAGCTCTATTTTCAGATATCGGTGATTGAAAGAAAATTGCTTCAGTCCTTCTTTAGGCATTCCTTCCACAATGTGTAAGTTTAAAGATTCTTGGCTGCAAGTGACAATATCCAACTAAAAGTGTCTTAAACAATGAAGACACTGATCATCTCAAATGACAACAGTGCTGGGGCTCCAGGCTCCAGGGTTGGTTTGGCAACTCCAAAAGGCCACCAAGCACCCAGCCTCCAGCTGCCCCGTGCTCCACCATCCTCAGCATGCTGGCTTCTCATGGTCCGGCTCAGCCCCCAGGCCTGGGGGAAGCTGCAGCTGCTCCAGGCATCCCTTCAGCAGGCAGCCTCATCAGCAGGCAGGGGAAAGGGGCGCCTTCGGGGCGGACAGACAACTCCTCAGGTCTCTCCTCTTCTTATCAGAGTGAAAACCTTTCCAGAAGCTGTCCCAGCAGACTCCTCTATTTCATGTCATCCCTAACCTTGCCATATGCCCGGAGTTGGAAGGAACACTGGGAAGGAGAGTGCCAGGCGTTTCCACAGCCTCTGCTGTGGGAAGCAGGATCTGCTGCCTTGGAGGAAGTGGGAGGTTGATGGCTGTGGAGTAAGAAACAGCAGCATCTACCGCCTGAAACAGACCCTGCTCTTTCCCCTGGACAGGACTATGCTTTAAGTGCTCTAGGCTTGTGCTCAGAAAAGGTAAATAGAAGAATCCACTAATAACTTTAAAATATTATCTCCTCTATATGGCAACATGCACTATGGATACATGGTAATATGTACTTTTTTGTATTTTACTTTTTTCATTTGACTATGCTAACTTAATCATATACTAAATTCTATATACACTGGAGTCTATTTCTGGACTTTCTGCAATGTCTAGTCCTGTGCAGTGTGACACTTTGTGTTGTACAATCTGGCAGGGCTAGGCATCTTTACTACTCTTCAAAATTTGCTTAAATATTTTTGCAAGTATGTTTTTGTAATGTTAGCCCCCATTGAGAGCTGAACTATGCCTTAAAGGCCTGGTTATACTCATGTTTACACACACATATTCATGCTTAACTGGAATTATGTGCTATTAAATGACCAAGCTCCTCTTGTTAGCTATCCCAGAGGGTCACAACTTCAAATTTCTGCATGAGCCAGGCAAGTAATGTAAATGATTGAAGCAGGCTGTAGTTCAAAGATTAAACACACAGCAATATTCTTAGCTTCCTGAAAGAAACAGTCTTTCCTCCATTTTTCTAGAACCATGTGTCTCATTTAATCTCTTTTGATAAAAACATAGTAACTAGGAAATATTTCTCAACTACCAAGTGACTAGTAAGTTGCATCCAACATTTGGCCTTAATTATGGGGAAATAATAAAGAGTAGTGGGGATTGTGGCAACTCTGCCTCTTCTGAAGAGAGTAATGGCATCAGCCCTACCAATGGCTGCTATTGGGGATTACAGATATTCACATATCTGCTGATTTTCACAGAGAGCTAAAAATACAGATTTTATATGAAATTTCCTTATTTAAAATGCTAATATTTAACACATCTGCAGGCCAGGTGCCATCAATAGGCTACTAGCATGTAAGCTCTCAATTGGACCTATATATTACTACCACTAAAAAGTAGTTTTATTTTTGCTAAATTGTAAACTATCGTTTTTAACTGACTAAACCAAATACTAATCAAAATAGCTAAAAACCCAAAACAACTCAGAGGAAGCTGTATGTAAAGTTACGTTGGATAATGTTAATATTAACCAAGGGGAACCAAATTGAGATCTAATGATTTCCCCAGCTTGTTTGGGCATAATCTTATTTATTCATTTTATTCAATTAATTTATTTACTGAGTACCAACTAAATTCAAAGTATGGCAGTGGACTTAGAAGGAGGGAGAAAGAAAAAAAGACATGACACCTTCCCTGGTTGGACTTACTTTCTTAATGCCATTAATGCCGATATTAACATAAAGCAGCTAATATCAACATTAGCCCAGCTTTGGACTAAAGTTATCACACACACACACACACACACACACACACACACACACACTTTATTAAGATATTTAAATAAATATTGAGTTTTTTCTTTTAAGTATCACCAATAATGCAAATAAACAAAAAACCCTCCGAATTCTAGAAGAGTTCTTGTTTTCATTTAGAAGTCCAAAGAATGGGAAAATTAATCAAGGTAAAGCAAAGAATTTAAAAATGTGAAGTTTTCAATTAAAAAAGAGGAAAAAGCTGAGGCTGGATTCCTGACTTTATAACATGCTGTCTTCACCCAGAGACATTAAGTAATATTATTTAATGTTACATTTTAAAATAGGTTTTGTAATGAAAGAAGAATCAGCCCCATCTCTACCTTAACCACAATTGAAGTCAAATTGGCAAATTTGTTTCATTACAATTTTCTCTAATTCTTGACCACTTTCCAGTAGGTATTTGATGAAGGTGAATGTTCTACTTTCTGTTTGTTTCTATACTGGTTACTTCCTCCTCAAGGGAATTACAAAACCAATCATTATTTAAGTGTCTATTAAATTAGAAATATTTTTGATAGAGATATGATATAAATATACTTTAGTTGACACTTCTGTTAAAGTGATGGAGAGTTCTGAAATCATCTGTAGTTTGGTTTGTATGTTATCAATAACTCTGAAGATTGTGAAGCTGCATCTTGAGAAGATATTTTTCTTCTGCCTGTGCCAACTTGTCTATACAATACAGTAGAAAAATGCTCATATAAGTTGACTCACTTATGCTAGAAATCGGACCATTTAAAAAATCTATTTTTTGTGTGTGTAATTTGAGGGAACTGTTGAATAATTTTCAGGAAGTTAGAACTATAGCACCTGGATTTACCATGACAAGGTCCATTTTTCTTTTTCTTTTTCTTTTTCTTTTCTTTTGTGTGTGTGTGTGTGTGTGTGTGTGTGTGTTTGACAGAAAGATTAACAAATTAAAATAACACATCATTGGTCAATAGAATTTCAAAAATAACATACATGTAAATTATTGAAAGCAGGTAATAAGAATTTACATATATGTTATTTTTCAATGAAGTACTATATAAATAATGGAATCTTTGGTCATTTCACTTTTCTACAGCGCCGTTAAGTGAAATAAATTTTTTTCTGTCTCTTCACTACAAAATGATCAATATTTTTCTTTGTTTGTTTTACTTACCTTTATAAAAGAAAACTGTATGAGCTGTCATTTAAAAAATTTCTGAGGCTGGGCATGGTGGTTCAAGCTTGTAATCCCAGCACTTTGGGAGGCCGACAGGGGAGGATCGTTTGAGCCCAGGAGTTCAAGAGCAGCCTAGGCTGAAATTAGGTGAGAGATTTTAGGTATTAACCCAGCCAGTAAAAAAACTACAAATGGTAATTTCCTGAATTTGAAATTATAATATTAAAAATTCATCATTTTATTTCCTTCTCTGTATGAATATCTCTTATCATCAAATAATCTCTGATTCTACATATTATTAATCAGTTCATTATCATTATCATACATGGTTGGAGTAAGAGAGCTTTTGATTCCTGCTGGGTGACTATGAAAATCTCTAAGCCACCAGGTGGCAGAGTGTCCTTGGTTTAGATTGAGCATTGCATTTTTTTTTTTTTTTTTTTTCACTGATTGCCAAATGAATTAATAGTTTACAGCTATTGTGAGCAACTTTTAAACCTTTTACTCATGTACCCCTACAATCATTTTGAAAACATGTGCATCACCCACAAACTTTTAAGTTTACATATATTTCAACAAAAGTTTAAATAACCGAGGAGATGTAACTTTTGGCATACTGTAGAAACTTTAAAATAAAATTGTTATATCAATCTTTACATACATCTAATAGAATACAAAACATTATAGGGGTCGATAACCACCATCATCTGTTTTTAAAAATTCTGAAACAAGCTCATCTTTCATAGTTGGATGCTTTATATTACTCCTTTTTTCCTTGAATCTCATTTTCCATTTTATCTCCTCTACAGAATTTTATACTAATATAAAATATTTCATAATCAAAAAGCTGTGATCACCCTATTGTACTTCTCTGCAACAAGAGTATGTATATAGATACTTTATTTTTTATTTCTCGTGACCAAAGGTGTTGAACGTCAAAATTTTACTAACATACAGTTATCCAACACCATAAACGTATTACTTTTGATAAATAGTTATAACAAAAAGTGAAATTAATTGGAAATGCATTCCTGAATGAGTCAGCTTAGGGGGTTAGAAGTTTTCACTGTTTGGGGCCCAGGATTCTTACACTCCCAGGCAGTGCACTGCAGTAAGATTCTGGATGGGAAAGAGGGGGCCTTTTGTAAAGTAGGAGAAGGTTGCTTGTAAAAGAAGAGACAGGAAGAGGAGATCCAGCCTAATGAAATCTTGTTAATTTTAACATAATGGGCGCAGGTTAATTTTAGGAAAGAATATGTATATGAGCTGATGATCTAGAAATTTGTTTTCTTAAAACAGTTGTTCTCACCTGGGGGACATTTAGCCCACAGGGCACATTTGGCAATGTTTGGAGACATTTTTGGCTGTCACACTGGGGGCAGGGTGCTGGCATCTATTAGGTAGAGAACAGGGCTACTGCTAAACTACTCTGTTCCCAAAGCAACACAGCTGAGAGCCTGAAACCTAGCAAGTGCTCAATAAATGTCTGTAGAAAGGGAAAGACAACAAAAAGGAGGGAAGGAATCACACAATTGGCTGCAGAGGGAGCTACAATAAGATGACTGGACTCTTGCAATTAAATTTGCTGAAAACTTCAGAGTACTGCCTTCTCTTCTGTGTTTATACAGTTTTCTTATCCGAAAGGAGAAATTCGAGGAATAACATTTAAAACGTCTACATTTTCCCAGTATATATTTTCATTAATTAGAGAAATCCTGAAAAACACAAAAAAGACCAAAATGACCCCTAATTGTACCACTTAAATATCTACAGAGAATGATAAATAGCAGGCCCTGTTTTGCTTATCTCATCCCACTTTGCCTAGATAACATCTGCTAGTTAGTTGATGCCCATTCCTTCATAATTTTTTCAAAGTTTTTTTTTTTCTTTTGATGGGAGTTTCGCTCTTGTTGCCCAGGCTGGAGTGCAATGGCACGATCTTGGCTCACTGCAACCTCCACCTCCCAGATTCAAGCGATTCTCCTGCCTCAGCCTCCTGGGTAGCTGGGATTATAGGTGCCTGCCACCATGCCCAGCTAATTTTGTTGTATTTTTAGTAGAGACAGGGTTTTACCATGTTGACCAGGCTGGTCTCGAACTCCTGACCTCAGGAGTGATCCACCTGCCTTGGCCTCCCAAAGTGTTGGGATTACAGGTGTGAGCCACCAGGCCCAGCCTTTTCTAAGTTTATAAAGAACAATTTATACCTTTAAACTTTAGAGTATAGAATATTAAGATGGCTTCAAAATTGCCTATTTGAGAGATTCTTTCTTTCCTAATATTAAAAGCACAGTGGTCCATCGGGGGTATATATGTATACTCACACACACATGCGTGCACACACACACCTACACACATATTATTGTGTACTATGAGAAACAAATGACCATACGTTAAAAATAATCTTTATTGAGATATCATACTGCTAAAGTTTAGAAACATCTCCTTGGGGGTTTAGGTAACCGCAAAGTTAGAGGGAACCCAGCCCTCTATAAGACCCACTGCTCTCCTGACACTAATCGCAGGTTTGGGGGACCGGTCCCAAAACCGCCCTTGAGTTCAGTTATTCACTAGAGGGACTCACAGAGCTCACTGAGAGCTGTGATACTCACAGTTATGGTTTATTACAGGGAAAGGTTACAGATTAAAATCAGCCAAGGGAAGAAGCACAAAGAGCAGAATCCAGGAAAAACACCCAACATAGAGCTTGTGTTGTTCTCTCCCCATGGAGTCTTAGACGTGATTTTCTCAGTGTGTGTCTGTAACAATATGCGTGGAGTATTGCCAAGTAGGGATGTTTTCATGGGCCTCCATTATGCAGGTGTGATTGATGGCCTGTGTGGCTGATCTCCGACTCTGGCAAGCTGATACTGTGTGACTCAAACCCCCACCCTACATCCCATTGTTGATCTTTCTGATGGGATCATCCCCACCCTAAATACTATCTGGCATGGCTAGATCCCACCTTACATGACATTGTTAGACTACTAGCATAATCCAAGGCCCCCAGGTAAACAAAGACGCTCCTATCTCCTATGACATCCAAGGGCTTAGATGTTACCACCCAGAAGCTGAGGGCAAAGGCCAGAACTCTTTGGGTGTAAATTTAAATTCTTTACTACACATATATACATACAATCTATATATAGCCATTTTAAGTGTACAGTTCAGGCTGGGCGCCGTGGCTCATGCCTGTAATCCCAGACTTTGGGAGGATGAGGTGGGCAGATTACCTGATATCAGGAGTTTGAGACCAGCCTGGCCAACATGGTGAAACCCCTTCTCTACTAAAAATACAAAAAGTAGCTGGGCATGGTGGCATGTGGCTGTAGTCCCATCTACTTGGGAGACTGAGGTGGGAGAATCGCTTGAACCCAGAGGTGAAGGTTGCAGTGAGCCAAGATTGCTCCCCTGCACTCCAGCCTGGGCAACAGAGTGAGATTCTATCTCAAAAAAAAAAAAAAAAAAAAAAAAAAAAGGAAAGGAAAGGAAAGAAAAGAAAAAATGTACAGTTTAATGAGTTTTGAAAAAATGTGTACATCTGTGTAACCACCACCACAATCAAGAAAAAGGACATTTCCAGCACCCCAGAAAGTTCCCTCTTGTTCCCTTGTGGTCAGTTCCTCTCTGCCCCCTGGCAGATTTCCCCTTTTTAGAATTTCATGTATAAATGGAATCATACAATATGAATGATTTGCCGTCTGGCTTCTTTCAGGCAGCATGTTTTTGGGATTCATGCATAGTGTGCCAGCCGTGTGTTAGTGCTAGGTAATATTTAATCTCCTATGTATGTGCCGCAATGTGTCTATATATTCATCTGTTCAACATTTGGGCTGTTTACAGTTTTAGGCTACTTTGGACAAAACTGCTATAAACATTCCCATATATGTGTTTGTGTAGACATGTTTTCATTTATTTTGGGTAACTCGCTTGGAGTGGAATTGTTGGGTTGGATGGTAATCATGTGTTTAATTTATAAGAAACTGCCAAACTGTTTCTATCGTGGTTCTAACATTTTACGTTCCTGCCAGTAAAGTATGAGAATCCAATTGCTTCACAGCCTCTCTAGCACCTCAGGCTTTCTAACTTTAGCCATTTTCATGGGTGTATAGAGTAATTACTTATTGTGGTTTTAATTTGCATTCCCTGGTGACTTTTTATGAGTTTACTGGCAACCATACATCTTCTTTTGTGAATCTGATGAGATTCTTTGTCTATTTTCAACTGGGTTGTCTCTCTTCTCATTGATTTGTAGGAGTTCTTTATATTTTTTGGATATATCCTTTTCCAGATATGTATGTTTGTAGCTTGCTTTTTTTAATCTCTTAGTGGTATCTTTTGAAAAGCAGATTTAATTTTGATGAAACTGAAGAAAACTACATTTTAAAATGGTGCTGTGAACTGCGAATACATTTACAGCTATTTCGTTGCCATCCAAAAATTCTACAAACGTTATCCAACAGGAAACTGATGAATTTTAGAGGAGTGCCCACTTACAAAGCCTTTCTCCTAAAATTAAGTGGTGTTAATAGTAATAATATTACACAGTTTCTCACAGATCATCCACCAAGTCCTTCTTTGGTGGGAAAGGCAGATGCTTTACAAGAAATAGGTATTAATTCTACTTCCTACTCTATTTTTTCTTTACATAGTAGACACAAAAACCATTAAAGCTGGCTGGGTGTGGTAGCTGACGCATGTAATCCCAGCACTTTGAGAGGCTGAGGTGGGTGGATCACCTGAGGTCAGGAGTTCAAGACCAGCTTGGGCAACATGGTGAAACCCTATCTCTACTAAAAACACAAAAGTTAGCTGGGCATGGTGGCGCATGCCTGTAGTCCCAGCTACTCGGGAGGCTGAGGTAGGAGAACAGCTTGAGCCCAGGAGGCGAAGGTTGCAGTGAGCCAAGATTGCACCATTGCACTCCAGCCTGGGCGACAAGAGTAAGACTCCATCTCAAAATAATAATAATAATAAAATTAAAAAAAAAATTTTAAGCCATTAAAGCAACCAAATAGTACAATATTGGCTACTACATTGCTTTGGCTGCTACATTTCAGGCACTGTGCTAAAATAATTAATCCTCATGGAAACTGTGTGAAGCAGATATTTTTGTCTTCGTATTCAGATACTCAGATAAGGACAGTGAGTTCAGAGAAATTAAATACCTCGATGAATATCACACAAAGAGGTGGCTAAGCTGTGATTCCAAGGTAGGTCTAATTCCAAAGCTGGTGTTCTTCATTAGTATTCTGTATCTGTTCAGGACATGTACAAATCAAATCATAGACATTTGATTTTAGATATACCGAATGTTGATTTTGGCAGGTTGTAGAGGGAGTAGAGGGCTGAGGAGAGGGGATGGGGGACAAAGATTAGGTCTGGAACTTATTTTGGCAGGGGCTGTTCATGCCTCCAGTTCCTCATCCCCTAGATAGGCTTGATAACTTTATGAGGGTCAGAGTAGCCAAGCCAAACTGAACCAATTTAAACACATTCAGAAGCAGAACTTCTTCAGATAATCTAACCAGTTAGCAGGACATTCAGCTTATCACATGCTCTGCTGGAGTTTCACGGGATCCTTCTTTTGTTAAAGAATATTGGAGAGTGACTTCCTGAAACTTTATGCTAAGGCTTGATCTAACATTTCACATGTAATCAATACTTATCTTGCTACCACTTATGTCAGATCTCCTCATTAAAGTCATGTAATTATTTGGAATCTTATCCCAGTGATTAACACAATTAATGCCAACTCTCTTTTGAAACCTTTAATGCATTGTTATTTTCCAGCTTGGCAGATGTGAAGTTCCTTTAGTTTACTGAAGCTGCAAGTTTGGGACTTCGGCAGTCTCACATCAGTAGTCACACATTCCACTAAGGCCCTTCCTTCTACTTGATGCCCTGAGTGGATGTCACTTGCACAGCAAACATCAAATGCTCAGAGATCATTAAGTTATAACTGCTTTAATCAGCAATATAGTGTCCACTAGTGTATAATTACACTGAATTCTGACTCTTTGGATTTTCCTTTTTACAGTTAATTGTTGCATTTGAAAATCCAGATGATCTTGACTAGTCAGACTGAGACGAATTAAAAGACTGTGCATAACCTATTAGAAGTTATGCACTTATTAATAAAAAGACAAATCTGTGTTTTCCTCCTCCTTTAAAAATCAAGCACCAAAACAATAATTTAGTTTTCGAATGCATTAATATGGTATTCAACTGCATTGCGGAAGGAAGGAGTAAATTAGAAAGAAAGTGATAGTTATATGTGCTTAGAAATGGGCTGTTTTCAACCAAGGGAAAAAGGAACCCTTATACAAAGGTCAATGCTCTTTTTTTTTTTAATTGCAAAATAATATTTAAAAGGTAGTTAAAAGACTTTCAAGTCTTTTAAGAAATGACAGTTAAAAGAGAATTTTACAGCCTTTTCTTTTATCATAAACTATAACAGGAAGTGAAATCCACAGTTTTCTGAAATTTTGTCTCCTTTAAGCTTCCAAAATGTTTCTTATTTTTAAGCCTGAAAAACATTAAAACACCTTTATCCTGAGAAGTTTGTCACGTTCGTATCTGCTCTGATCCTCCCACAATCCACTATTTGATTATTAAAGGTAATTGGCACTTAGCATCAAATCTTTAATACACTGATATCTAAGTATCTAATTTTCTTACTATCAGACAGGAATTTAGACTTCTTATAAAGTTTTTATGCTTATTTGATTGTTGCTGCTTATAATTAAGGCCTCAATAATCATAAAAACATTCCAATAAATGTTTCAGATATAAAAGAAATTTAAGCAATATTTTTAAAAACTAGGGTGAAAAAAATGACAATAGCCATGTCTTTCTCCCTCTCTGAACATATTCCCTGAAAAAACTCCCCCAAAATAGTTTCTCATTAGAAATAATTATGAATATATTGTCTGTGCTTCACAAATGAGTTGTAAATATAAAAAAAGGAAGTCATAAAATATGTATACTAAAAAGGGAGAAAAGACATATAAATAATATACTTTGTTCCTTTGGAATCCTATTTTCAAAGTGCTTTACAAATTACCATATTCTTATAGTATTTTGTGAGTTAAGTAGGTAGTTAATATTCTTGGTATTTGGCAACTCAGATCATAAAGAGATAATGCATAAAGAGATCATAAAGAGGTAAAACATGCTAAATTGTCCACATCCCTTGAGCCTACACCTGAGTACTTTGTCCACGCTTTTCTCCTCTATCCATGGTGCTCTGCCTAGGGGATGTAGATAGCCATCCCACCCTATAGGGGTTAGCTGGGCCAACTAAGAAGGGGCCATGACAAAGAATAGCTTAGGCATCACTCGACATCAGGCATAGAAAGAGAACAACTAATGGGTAAGAAGAGTCAAGTGATATTGATTGGTGGCTCCCCAGGGTTGAATTCAGAACATGTTCTGCTGTCTCCTGGGTGCCAAGTTTTGACGAAAAGGGCAAAGGACAACTTGAACAATGTGGGGTGGGCGGGTGAAATCTCCGTTCATTGTTGTTCACGTGGGAATGGAGTGCTCGGAATGAGGGAGATCTTGACAAGCCTCCCTGCCAGCAGTGGCCTCTTGTTTCTTATCAAAAACTGAATACTATGTCCTTCTTTCTCTTCACCACTGGGGTTGGAGAGTATTGGGAGAGCATATTGGTACCAGAGGGCAGAGATATTGTGTGAAGGGGACCTTTGTGCTTAATGGGAAAAAAATAGGAGAATGAAAAGAGGAGATTCCGAAAGAAAGGACAAGACTTAGAAGTTGGAAAACAGAAAACAGACGAAATGAAAAAGAATAAGCAAGAAAGTGGCCCTGGGTCTAGAAAACACCAATTTTTTTCTTTTGCCAGAGGGTAGGAGGTCCAATGTAAAGGAAATACACACACACACACACACACACACTTCAAGAAGCTCATGTAACAAAAGAGTAGGCACAACCTATATATACATTAGTAGGGAGTGGGTCAAATACATTATGGTACATCCATACAATAGAATATCATGTAGGCTTTTAAAAGGATTTAAGTATACAAATATTGGCACAGATATCTAAGAATGATTTACTAAAAAAAAAAAATGGCAGAGTAATTTTTAAGATATAATTTTATTCTAAAAATTATAATATAGGTTAGTATATGTGTAGAAAAGAATATGGAGGGCAAAGCATCAAGCAGTCAAAGGTAGTTATTTCTGGTGGGAGAAGGAGGAGAAATTATTGTGGAAGGTGATTATGTTTTATATTACACATTTTTGTGTTATTTGAAACTTTTTTTTCTTTTTTTTGATGGAGTCTCACTCTGTTGCCCAGGCTGGGGTGCAGTGGTGTGATCTCAGCTCAGTGCAACTTTCACCTCCTGGGTTCAAGCGATTCTCCTGCCTCAGCCTCCCAAGTAGCTGGAACTACAGGCACACGCCACCATGCCCAACTAATTTTTGTATTTTTAGTAGAGACAGGGTTTCACTATGTTGGCCAGGCTGGTCTCGAGCTCCTGACCTCATGATCTGCCTGCCTTGGCCTCCCAAAGTGCTAGGATTACAGGCGTGAGCCACTGCACCCGGCCTATTTGAAACTTTTAAAAATAAAAATTATATTGTTTCCATTGTGTATTAGAAAGAAATCAATAATAAGTATAGAAATAAATCATATTGCAAAGAAGAAACATAATACATAGGTTAAAAAAAGAAAATTTTATAATTTGGAGTAAAACTTAACATTGAAGTAATCTATACCCGGATGTCTGTATCTGTGAAATGGTGATCCCAAAGTAAGAGTTTTAATTTCATTTAAAGAATGTTTGTCTTAAATTGACATGAGTGGTGAATTTTTAAAAGGTGATAATTACAGAAGTGTATTATACTTTATTAGCTCTAAAACTGAATATTAGATATAATCCATAACTTACCTATTGATGTAATTGACATTTGTCAGTAATTGAGTATTTTCTTCTGATCAATTTGAATTATTCTCTTCAGCTCTTATATTTGGGTAAATCTTATAAAGTAACTCTAATTGCTTTAATTTAAAGACAGTCCTTCCAACAAGAGACTCACAAAGCACTAAGAGGAAAGGGAGAGCAATAAAATTTTACAAATACGTATTGAAATACATGAACAGCATATTTTAAATCAGGTCTTTAGAGAACAGCGGAATTTGGAAGCTGTCTAACTGGACTGCAATAGTCAACCTGCATAGATGGGCCCAACTGCTGTAACGTTTGAAGTAACTAGACTAGGTTACATGTGAAACATATAGTAATGACAATTTCACCTGGGAGTTTGGACATTCTTCCACTTATCATTTAGGAAAAGCTGTTATATGGAATCAGACCAATAAGCTATCCAGGGCATTGTAAGATCTCAGTCGCAGCCATACCAAAAAGAAAAAAAGTGTAGGCCGAGCACGGTGGCCCATGCCTGTAATCCCAGAATTTTGGGAGGCCGAGGCGGGCAGATCACCTGAGGTCGGGAGTTCGAGACCAGCCTGACCAACACGGTGAAACCCCGTCTCTACTAAAAATACAAAATTAGCCGGGCGTGGTGGCGCATGCCTGCAATCCCAGCTACTCAGGAGGCTGAGGCAGGAGAATTGCTTGAACCCGGGAGGCCGAGGTTTCGTTGAGCAGAGATCACACCATTGCACTCCAGCCTGGACAACAAGAGCGAAACTCCGTCTCAAAAAAAAAAAAAAAAATGTAAATCTTTTGTTGTGTACAAAATCACATAGAAGCTATGTTCCAGTTTGTTTGCATATGTCAGTCAGGTCAGATAGAATTCTATTTACTAGGATGTCATCAACAATCCACTCACACAGAGCTGGGGCCCTGTCCCAAATTAATGCAACCGTAAGATGAATTGCTTAAGATGGAGAAACTTACACGTATTTATGATTTTGGAAACTCTTGAGGGCTTGTCTTATACATTTCAGGCTGAAGTAAAACTTCAGAGACATTTCTCCCCATAGTATATTGTAAAATCAGAGGCCAGGCAGAAAAGAAGTAAAAGGCTAGGATGAGGAAGTCAGTAGGGGCGGGGCGGGGGGGATCGTTAACACCTAGAACAGTGCGAAGAGGCCACAGGAAACGGTCCCCTTCGGCCATCTGGACCAAGGTGAGGCACTAGGGAAACCCAACGGGAGACACCGCTCTCAGACAGGAAGAGTTGCTGGCTGTAAACAACTCAGGCTGTCTTGTCTTGTGAGAACAGTTACAGAATGGACACCACGAGGGCAACGGACTTCTGAGATAACTAAACGCACCTCTCCTTGGCCACTTAGCTCCTCAAAAGGCCCCAGGGCCCCACCCTTCCTAGGTTGCCTTCCCAGAGTGCCTCGCGCCTTTCCCGGCGTGCCCTGCTGCCGCTCCCCAAGCTGCTCTCCCGGAGGCCTCGGGGCGCCCCTCCGCCATCTGCAGCTCCCTGCAGACTTGCATGCTCAGACGGGAGCTGTCCACCGCCTGCAACAGGAAAAGGGCTTGCTTGCGTGTGGTAACCACCTTCTTCAACGTGAGATTCCCCCAGGTCCCATAAATGCTTGGGAAATTTCCCTAACCCCCTCGCATTCCATGTGACCTTCAAAATCCTGAAAAACCTATGGCCCCAAGGCTTACCCACCTGGGAACAAATCTCGTTTCCAAAAGTCAATCAACCTCAGGTGAAGCAATCTAGGGAGAACATCTGCTCAGGATCAAAACGTTTCCTCTTCATTCTTTTGCAGAAATCTTCAGCTTCAGCCTGTCTTGAGCTATTATTCATTGTCTAATTGCTTTGTTCCCCAGTAACTCAAATGAAATCAAATTCTGCAGAAACTGAGTTTCACTGTGTCTGGAGGAACAAGGAATGCAAAGGGAGTGTGAGGAAACGAACCATTCACCTTTTTCAGTCGCAGCGTCGAAGTGAATGCAAACTTTACCCAATTGTATTGTTGATACTATGAATGTGTGACATTAAGAATTTAGAATTTATAGAGTAGTCTATGTGTTCATTAACAAGCTTGAATCTAGAAATAATCTTGTTGATTGGTAACCTAATTGTGATTATCCTGCACATTTTAAAAATGAAGAAACAATCTGTGAGAGCTTACGAGACTTTCTAAAGCCTCACATCGAGTAAGTAGCAGAACTAAGGACTCAAACCCAGGACTTCTCACTTTATTACTCATGTTAAGAAATTCTTTTTAAAAAAAGTCATTGAAATTATTATTCAAAGCCCTTCACTTATGTTTATTTTGGTTAATATAAATAAATGACTGTTCTATGATGACAAATATCCTTTTCTTTGAGGATAGTCTGATAAAAAAAAACACATCCATGTATAGAGAGATAGATACTGTAGATACAGAGATATTATATATAAAGTGAGAGAGAAAGAGAGAGATACAATATAAGTGTGCCATATAGGAAAGGCAGTTGTAGGGAAAGAAGGAGAAAGAGAGCAAAAGAGAAAGGGAGATCTCAAGCTGATATGGTTCAAAAGAGAGACCTCTCAGTTGGGAGGTCCTCTGGGGATTTGGGATGACAGTGGGCCACTTGTGGTTCATAATACCAGGATCACACTAGCAATTCTCATATCTCAGGCCCAGCCCCACCTGGCCCTTCTGGAGCCTTTCAAGCCCATGGATCTGACTTTGGAGTACAAGATGGAGAAAAGACAAGATGTATTACTCAGGATGGGTAATGAGTATGTCATATACCAAGAGATCTGGCATATATGATCAGGATTAATGTTTTTTATCATCACCCTGTGTTTGATCAGAGGTTTTTGTTGTTGTTGTTGTTTGTTTGTTTTTAATGTGCTTTTAACGTCTAATGTTAGAAAAGTAAATTCCTGGAAAATCAGTTAAAGGCTGGATTATTTCTCCATTTTGAAGTATAGGCTAAGGATATTTTTACCAGAGCTTGAGAACTTATTTTATAATAATACCCAGATATTTTCTGAGGGAATATAGTATTAAAGATTTTGACAGTAATAAAGAGAACAGAAGTGATGAAAAATACTGTTTTTCCTGCACTATATATCCTGCTCTGTATTTTAAAGATAAAGTAATCTACTGGAAAAGATGTCGATGTAAGAAATTAAAGTCTTTAAAAACAAGCTCTAAACATTGTACTTTTTAAAAAGAGGATAAGAATATCATCCTGAAATACTTTTTGAATATTACACATGATTTAATTGCATACTAAAATAATTTAAGTATCCAATTAAACACAGATTTCTGAGGAAAATAGATGATTCTGTTTAGGGATTTGGTTGAAGAACCAATGCTAAAATGCAATGAAACAAACCCAGATTTATATCAGTAGACATAATATTATTTCTAAAACACATAATTAGAAAAATATATTTAGCCAATATAGATTTTTTGTTTTTGAAGAATATGTCATTTAGTAAAAATTACAAAGTCTTTAGTGAAGAGGTCTAAAGTCATTAATACATAAGCACTTCAATTGTAAGCCTTTCCATTGTAGTTACCTGTAGGAGTAAATAAAGGAGCTTTATTACATGTAAGGCCCCATCTTTTCTACTTAAGTCTTTTAGACTTTTAGATTCCTTGGAAATTTCACCTACTAAAATCAAAGTGTGATTGCTAAATCAGTATTAAGATAGAAAGAATCCAACTGTGGGTTTTTTTTTCCAGATGATTTATTTTTTATTTCTTCTTGGATTCTATACACAAATACTATGCTTTGATATTTTGAGACTTAAATAACAGAAAAGGGGGATTTCTATAATGGGATTCCTACTACTTATTTTATATCTATGAAAGCTACTTTGCTTGTTTATTTGCTATATACAGACAGAAAAATGTATGGAACTAATTTTAAAAACCCCATATATTTTCTGTTATGGAATTTAAAGTAAGCCTGACAGTAACTTATTTTTTTTGTCCTTAGGGAGAAATATCAGAAGCTAGTTTCCTCTCTGAGGGCAGAAAAAATTTATTGTGTGACAGATAATTTCTTAAACACACTGGATCTGTCCTACAATACTGTCTTTGAGATATAGGCCTTAAGAAGACCTTCTAAGTGAAGGAGGTCTTTGGGATACTTAAGAATGTAAGCTCTCTTGGATAAAGTCTGAGATGAACTATCCTTATTTCAAAATCCACTTACAGAGTATAGTGTTAAAGGTTAGCTTTAAGTGTATTGACTTCATCATAATCTTATACATTAATATTTAAGTTTCTCTGGAAGGATTGTGGAGAGACCTTTTTCTGCTAGAGAAAGTGTGCAACATGGTAAAGAGAACTGTAGGAAGAGAAATGGCAGCCCTGCTTGAGCAGTGAGAATAATAAAATGGTCATCTGGAGAGCTCCAGAGACAGTTGGCAAGGTTCAAATTCAAGCTTTACCAGGTAATAACTATATAAGGTTTCACTGTACAACGGAGATAATATATAGTACATTCACCTCATAGTGTTGTTGTAAGGATTATATAAATACAGGTAATGTATCTGACATGTAGTAGGCAGTCAATAAATGTTTGCTATTATCATTACAGCTGAAAACTTAAACTACCTATACCTAGAGAGACAGTGAGTAATGAGCTAAAAGTATGGCCTAGATGATTATGTTTGAGGTTTCTTTTAGAATCTTAATCCATCTGGCCTCATACTAATTTTCCTTGTTATACTACCTGTAATGTAACCTCCGCCCCCCAGTTGTCTAGCCTATATACACTTTCAGCATTCTCTTACCCTAATGTTCATCTGGGTTTCTTGTTCACTCTTCCAAACTCTGATGCTTCCCCTTGTAAAATCCTCCAACTGTGCCCTCCAGAATGCCCAACCCATGATGCACAAACTCTTCTCCATCCTCCACCCTTCTAAATGCAGTTTAATCACAAACTGGCTTTTTGCCCAGGACATTACTTCCTTTTTCAGGAGGAAGCTGTTCATTTGCCTCGCTCTTTAGTGCCATTTCCAGACTATTTCCCTTTAACTTTCTTCACCCGCAGTCACCTCAGAGATCTCAGTGACACTATTAGGACAGTGTTAGGAATGATAATAATTGATACTGGTAGGGTTAAATGGGGACAATGCATGTAAAATGCTTGGCATAGTGCTAAGAACATATGAAATTCTCAGTAAATTTTAGTTTTTGCTATTATATTCACCTTCTAAGTGAAGGAGGTCTTTGGGGGATACTAAGAATGTAAACTCTCTTGGAAGTCTGAGATGAACTGTGATATCCAAAATAACTACACCTAAGAAATCATGAATTGAGCCATTCCTGACTATTATCTCCTATCTGTTCTAGTCCACTGATCTTCCTGCTGTTTCCCAGTTCTATCCCTGCACACATGTTCTCTCTTCCCTCTCTAAGCTGGAGCACAGTTTAGATTCTATTTTTCCATGAGTCATTTTTTGGTCAGTATTCTACACTCCCTTGCTTTGTTGTCTTTTATTCACATCTATCTGACAAATTCTCAAACCTAGATGTGCGCAACTGCTCATCTTGTCTTCACCTGCACCCAGGCTGCTTAGTGGTGCTGGGGAAAATCATGCTACTGAGTAGACTTACATTACTGTAAATTCATTGTCACCAACTTCACCTGGATTCCTAGTATTTCCTGTCAATCCCCACTATGTTTTATTAGTCAACTCTGTATTCCATTCTCTACTGTGCTTATTTCAAACCTTTTTCAATCTCTTCAAAGCACACATTCTCTACTGGTATATTTATTGCAGCACTATTCACAATAATAAAGATATGAAATCAACCTAAGTGTCCATCAACAGAGGATTAGATAAAGAAAATATGGTATATATACACAATGGAATATTATTCAGCCTTAAAAAAAAGAATGAAATCATGTCTTTTGCAGCAACCTGAATGAACCTGGAGGCCATTAGCTTAAGTGAAACAACTCAGACACAGAAAGACAAATACCACACGTTTTCACTAATAAGTGGGAGCTAAAAAAATGTGTACACATGGATGTAGCATGTGGAATGATGGACAGTGGAGACTCAGAGGGTGGGGGCTGAGGGGGTGGGAGGCAGGGTGGAGGATGGGGGGTTACTTGGTGGGTACAGTGTGTGTTGTTCCAGTGATGCACTGAAGGCCCCGACGTCACCACAATGCAATATATCCACGTAGCAAAATTGCACTTGTACCCCAGGAATATATACAAATAAATACATAAAAGCTCCTTTTGATGTTATTATTATTTCTTTATTCTTTTTTAAGTTGACATAAAATTGTATATATTTATCATATACAACATGTTTTGAAATATGTATACATTGTGTAATGGCTTAATCAAGATAATTAACATATGCCTTATTTCACATAATAAAAATTCCTCTTCTCTCAAGTACATATACTTAACTTCTCTCAAGTACATATACCCTTACAGTAGAAATGAGTTAGTCATTTGTTCATTGATTAAATATTTATTGAGTACCTTCTGGTTGTTGTTACAGATTCTAGGGATACAATGGTGAACAGGCAAATGATGAAGTCAAGTCCTGGAGATGACTGGTGTTTAGTCCCTAGTTGCACTAAACCTGTTTTCATGGAGTTTACACGAGAAGTGGAGACAAAAGACAGACAATAACCAAGTAGTCAGTAAACCAATAAAATAATTTCAGATAGTGGTAAGAGAGATAAGATAATAATAGCAGTGTGATAAGATAGAGATTGGACACTGAGGTGGGAGACTAATTTTGGTGGTTAGGGAAAGCCTCATTTTATCCAATACAGTGAAGGTAGTTTCACTGTTAAGAAAATACATTTTACATTAAAGAGAATATGTGCATATTTATTTACTTAATTGATTTTCAAAATAGCCTTTCTTGTTATACAAATGAAAATTGAGGCTCAGGGAATTAAGGAAATTGCCCAAGGCCACACACAGCTACTAAATGACAGAGCTGGGATTCAAACGTTGGTCCAGTTAACCCGAAGGCCATGCTATCTCCACTAAACCATATGCCACTCACCAAGACGGGCTCTTGAGAAAAAGGGCTTGTGTTACTGTTAGGTTTGAACAGTCTTTTCTATTATGTTTGGGAGGCCTTTTTTAACCTGTTTTCGACATCAAAAATAGTAATACACAATATTTATGTGATGTTTTTCCAGGCACTTTTGTTATCATTATCTCACTATCACATAACCACTCAGTAAGATACAGAACACTCACAGACCACTGAGACCACTTTTATAACTGAAATGTAAAAGTTAAGTGATTTTCCATGATTGCATAGCTGTAGAATGGTGGATATAAACTAGATTCGGATTTCTTGACTTTTCATCTTTTTTCCCCCAATATGCCTATACAGAATGTTTGTTTCCTTTTAAAGTACTGAGTTTAAGAGTTTAAATCCAAATCAAACCTGAGAATTAATTTTCATTTCTGATGCTAAATACCAAGGATTTCTCCATTAGTCCAGGTAACTTCATTGTGAAGAAATGATAAAGAGAATAAAAGGGAGTAAGATAAACACTGTGCAGGTATAACATTAAATTACCCTTTTTTTCTAATTTTATACAAATGAAAAAAAGGATACCCAACTGCAAAGTCCCTGAGATGCTATTTAAATTCAAGTACTTCTGAAATACAAATACATGATAACTTAATTATTTGCAGCTTAGGAAAAAAAGCCATTTTTGTTTGTTGCATTGTTGTTGATGGTGTGTATATGTTGTTTTATAATTACTAAGAAAGTATACTCTGGTTTCTCTGAAGATCATATAAATATTTTTCCTTTTTATAATTATTAAGGAAGTAATAATGAAAATGGATAAAGAGACTTTTTGATGTTATTCTGTCATTGTGTTGTCAAAAGAAAATATATTCCCCTCTTTTCCAAAAGTCAGCTGGGTTTTATCAGCTTTGCAAAATGATGAATGAACGCCTTGTTCATTATTATTGCTTAAGTCATTCTTATTTATGCCAGTGATTCACGGATTATGTTTTGATTGTTCTTGAGAGATGAAAACACTTTCTTGCTGATGAATAAACACTGCCACTTTAAAAATATTTGTATGCAAAATGTCTTTAAAGCCATTATGAAATGCTTTGCAAGAGTATTAGGAAGCTGTTTTTCGAAAGGCATTTTTTTCTCTACCTTTTCTTTCATGCTAAGCAGCCCAATTGAAAGGCTTTTCAGAGTTAACTTGTTTAAGCAATACCAGTGTTTTAGTGTAATGA
The DNA here is from genome assembly GCF_000001405.40 of Homo sapiens. Taxonomy (NCBI): domain Eukaryota; kingdom Metazoa; phylum Chordata; class Mammalia; order Primates; family Hominidae; genus Homo; species Homo sapiens. The sequence continues at coordinate 185,079,451 of NC_000004.12, read as the reverse complement.
ATAACTTTTTATAGAGGACAATCACACACAATTCAACATGCCGGTGTTTCTATTTCTGTGCTCCACCAATGCAGGGATTCTGTGGTAGAATCTTTCTCTGAGAAAGCTGAAGCGATCAAAACCCTGATTAACCTCTGATATTCACGTGGTGCTCTTGATCTTGAGGACTGCAGCAGTCACAAAGCTTTAATGGCAGCCATATGCTTAGGGTATTGTGGGCATGGGTGACCCAAATGTGAACTTGGGAGGTGACTGATGCTAACTGCTATTTGTTTCAGGTTTGGTGTGGAGATTACTGATGAAGAGCTTGACTTACTACTTGACAGAATCCCCTTGATGAAGATGGAAATGTCAGAGACCCCCGATTCATGCCACGTTGGATTCTTAGCACTTCTTTTCCACATTTTCTCATTTCTTCGTACATTTTTTATTCTTGCTTTTAGTACAGAGAATGTACCCCTCAAAGTGCTAGGATTATTTAAATTTTCTCTTTATTGGCTGGTATCTCACTTATTAATATTTTATAAGTGACAAAGGATTTTTGAAAAAACATTGTTAACAAAAAGGTAGAATTTTTAAACGATGAACTATGGCAATGCATTTGAAACTAGTTAATGTCTCGGAACCTGAATAGTGGACATGGGAGGGTAATGTGTGACTGAGGTGACAAACGAGGCATGTAAACTGTGTTTGCAGAGTTGGGAAGAAAATTGCAGTTAAGTGGCAAAATTCAAGTCCTGGAGATGACTGGTGTTTAGTCCCCAATTGCACTAAACACTCCCACACACACTGACTTTTACCCCTCACTTGCCTCCCAAGGGACTCCCATTTACAAGACATCTTTCTACTTTCTTCCCAGAGGATTCTGCCTGGACAGTACAATACACACCTATTGCCAATGGTTGTGTTAAAGGCAGAGCAAGAATGCCTTCTGAAATACTCTCAATCTGTATTTCTCTATCAGGGAACCCAAGTTTTTACTCTTTTCTAAAATCTTTTCATGGATTTTATAGGGTAGATCAAGGCTTAAGTATTTAAAATTCTGATCAGTATTGACCATTTCATTCCTCGAGTACTTTAAGGCATGTTGCAGTCCCAGGCATCTGATGATTTGGGCTGAAGCCACTGAAAGATGGGCTGCTTCTTCCTAAAGATACTTTTTTTTCCATGGCAGTTTCGGAATATAACTATCTTCATCCCATATGCCTCCTGGACCATCCTCCAGATCTCATGATTATCTCTTTAGCCATGAAACCCACCCATGTTTTCTGTTAGTTCTTGATAGCAGGGTGGAAGTTACCAACCTGGTTTGGCTTGAAGGGCATTGTAAGAGCATGCTACAAGTCAGAGAATGCCCTCAGACAGAGTCGCAGGTGCTGGCAGTAGGAAGCCCTCGAAGTGAAAGAGAACCAGGAGTGCTGAGGAGGTACCAGTAGGCCTTACCTAAAGGTGGGCATCTCCTACCGTGCAATTATTCCATAATTTCCCAAGCTTATTTGACCTTCTTTCATGGAGCATCTTAGAGGCTAGCATTCCACAGAACATGGGAATGCTAACTTAGTTGAATAAGTTATTCAGCTAAGTGTTAGCCTTTATTTTAGGAGGTGAAGATCAGGTGTCTGAGAGAATGAAATGAAGCGGGGGGCGGGGGTTGTTTCTTTGGTTTTGTTTGTTTGTTTTTTGAGACAGAGTCTTGCTCTGTCCCCTAGGCTGGAGTGCAGTGGCACGATCTCGGCTCACTGCATCCTCTGCCTCTCAGGTTCAAGCGATTCTCCTGCCTCAGCCTCCTGAGTAGCTGGGATTACAGGCATGCACCACGACGCCCAGCTAAGTTTTTTGTATTTTTAGTAGAGACGGGGTATCCCCGTGTTGCACAGTCTGGTCTTGAACTCCTGACCTCAGGTGATCTGCCCACCTCGGCCTCCTAAAGTGCTGGGATTACAGGCAAGAGCCACTGCACTTGGCCTGTTTGTTTGTTTAAATATGAGGTCTGTAGGCAAAGAGAAGTACAAGCAAGTTGTTATGAAGGGAGTGTCCTGAACTTCCAGAAGGCAGCAGGGTAGAGGCACTGAGGTCCAAGTGTCAGTGCCAAAGGAAAGGGGCAGGGTGGAAAGAGAGAGGTCGGGGCACTAACCATAGAGGTGACATGAGCCTGGCCTATTCCCCTCAATTTCAGGTAGATAAATGTTAATGACAGGTCACATCTCTTTGAATTCTTTATATTATTTACTCAACACATAAAATGACAGATTGTAATTTCATTGTTAACATTAACAAATGCCTCTACTTATCGATATTTTACATACCCAATCTCATTATTATTCCTTTTTTGCCTGTGAGAAAACAGATACATAGAAAGATTAAGTGAGTTGCGCAGGTTACATAAGTCAGTGAGTGTACACTGCCAGCTAAACCTAGGTCCATCTGATTTGAAAATCTACAAGGGTTTCCACTATTTCACATTGCATTTCTGAATCATACAACAACAAAAATAATTGTTCCCTTTAACAAGCGTTTATTATGTGCCCCATGTCCTGCTAAGGGCTTGACATGTGTTATTTAATTTAATGGTAAATACCATCTTCCTCAATTCTGCTTGAGTTCACTGATGGATTGCTAACTGTCCATCGTATCTGCCAGATAGAAGGATGGCATTTATTGCCTGGTGGTATGGTGTAAAGGCCCCTGAACTGGGTGTTAGGAGACTTGGATGACAAGAGTTACAGCTTGGCTTCTCATTTAATAATGACATGCCCTTCGTCAAATCTTTAATATCCCCTTGCTCCAGTTTTCTCATCTGTAAAATGAAAAGTTCAGCTCAAAAGATCTCCAAGGTTCTCTCTAAGTGAAAAGTTCTGCTTGAAGTAGTTTATATTCTTATAAATATTAATGAAGATTTGAGGCAGCCACTTAGTATGACCTAAGAAGATACTGTAACAGAAGCATGTGTTTTCCTGGTAAATAAGAAGAATTAACAAGCCATAACATTAAAGTAATAAATTCATTTTTAGAGTCTATTTTATAATCATCAAATTAAAATCAATACAATAAACATTTATGAGTACTTGTGTTTACAGTCAAGCATTCCTGAATTGTGAAAATAAATGTTTCTTTTAGAGAATTTTTTTGTAATTTTGTCACAGAATCTGCATATATGATTGAGAACTTCATTTCATATATATATATATATATATATATATATATATATATATATATATATATAAATGGAAATGGAAAAGAAACATAAGTGTCAAATTGAGAATGAAGAACTATAGAAAACAGTATATAGAATGGTTAACAGTTCCAGGAGTATTAACAATATAAAAATACATATCACTTTAGACTATTTTTATTTTACTTCTTTGTGAGTCCCACCTTTAGTCCCCCAGTTTTTAAGGATACACATAAATACCAAAACTTTTTAAAAATCTGAATTAAACTCAGGAGGCTGAGGCAGGAGGATCACTTGAGCCCAGCAGTTTGAGGCTGCAGTGAGCTATGACGGTGCTACTGCACTCTGGCTGGAGTGACCAAGTGAGACCCCGTCTCTAAAACAAAGAAACAAATAAAAAACTGAACGAAAATTAATCTTTTGACCATAATAAGATGTTTGAAAAAACTGTGGCAAAAAATGATAAAGTCCATTAAGAACAAATGGTAGACTTTGTGACATGCTCGCATTAGTTTAATCACCAAGAAACCAATGGAATTATTTCTCTGGGTTTGTGACTTACCTCATTCATTTTATAGGTAGCTGTCCCACCAAGAATACCACGTCCAAGAGCAGGATTCTCCTTCCAAAGTGTGTGTGTGGACTTGAGAAGCAGCCTTTGGAAGACGGGGCTGCCCAGACTTTATAGAGCCTACTTCAATTTCTCGGAGGTCTGCAATCTCAGGTTGTCAGTCATCCAGGACCTTGGCTGTTGGTGAGACAGAGTGCTTCCTTTTGGGTGAAGAACTCTGTATTACTTTCCTAGGGCTGCCATCATGAAGCACCACAAACTGGGTGGCTTAAAATGACAGGAATGTATTCTCTCAGAGTTCCAGAGGCTGGAAGTTCAAGATCAAGGTGTGAGCTGGGGCACGCTCCCTCTGAGCTCCGAAGAATCCTTCCCTCCCCTTTCCTTGCTTCTCAGGGTGACTGGTAATCCCTGTGAGCCTTGTTCTGCGGCTGTTCCACTCTCATCTTTGCCTCTGCTGTCATATGGCACACTGCGTGTCTCTGTCTCTGTGTCCAAATTTCCTTGCTCTCATAAAGACACCAGTCTTCTCCGATTGAGGGCTCAACTTACTGCAGTATGACTTGTCTTAACTAGTAACATCTCCAACTACCCTATTTTCAAATGAAGGCATATTCTGAGGTGCAGGGGATAAGGATTGTGACATGTCATTTGGGGACACAATTTAACACATGACAAACCCTGTTATATAGACCTAGCATGTCTAGTTTCTTACAAATTTCACTGGGGGGAGGGTACAAATAATAATTAGCTCTTGTGTACTCTTGTGCATTCTCTGACAATAGCAGTACCAATAGCTAACATTTAATGCCTACTACTTGTCAGGCACTAAATACTAACTCATTTCATTCTTACAACAGCCCTGCTTCACATATGAGAAAGCTGGGACACAGAAAGTAACTTGCCCATTGTCCTCCAATTAGCAGTGGCGGAGACAGGGTGCAAACCCAGACTGCACCTGCCCAGAGCCCACATACTCAATACCACCTTGCCTTCTGGACAGTCAGGACAAGCAATTGTGCCTCTGCTAGCCATTACTGTGCCAACAAGTAAGGTTACACTTGAAATGTGGCTTGCAATGCAAGGTTTAGATTTTACAGGAAACTCACATGTTTTCTGGTTACTTATTTTTTTTTAAGTCTGAATTCAATTTAGACTTGGTATTAAAAATATATTAAAACCTCTCAATGATTTTTATATTGATTACATATTGAAGTGATTATATTTTAGATATATTGGGCCACATAAAATATGTCATTAAAATTAATTCCACTTAAAAGCATCTTTTTTAGTGTGCTGTTAGCAAATTTAAAATTACGAATGTAGTTTGCAGTGTATTCCTATGGGCCAGCCCTGAATTCGACAGCAAATCTTTTAAATTAGAGTAGGCAGCATGATGGAAGAAAGAAATTGATTCAGTCTTTTATCCCAACTAAATCAGTTCCTAAGGTCTCTGTGCCTTAGTTTCTCTGTCTATACAATGTGATAGAAAACTTGAATTTTCCTCACAAGTTTAGTAAATTGAAGAAAGTCGATTATGAATCATTTTGCCCAATGTTTGCAGGAGGCTAGACAATTATCCACCAAAGCCAGAATATTATAATAAAATAGCTCATCTAGATTAAATATGAATTTTAAGTATTTATTACTTTCTTTAAGCAAATAGATGTGTATCTTTGAACTACAGACATTGAATCCAGAACGAAATATTTCTTTATTTTATTTTATTTTTTTGAGACAGAGTCTCGCTCTGTTCCCCAGGCTGGAGTGCAGTGGCATGATCCCGGCTCACTGCAACCTCTGCCTCCTGGGTTCAAGTGATTCTCCTGCCTCAGCCTCCCGAGTAACTGGAACTACAGGCGCGCACCACCATGCCTGGCTAATTTTTGTATTAGCCAGGCTGGTCTCAAACTGCTGACCTCAGGTGATTGCCTGCCTCGGCCTCCGAAAGTGCTGGGATTACAGCGTGAGCCACTGCGCTTGGCCAGGACAAAACATTTCTGTGGCGAGGCCTGGCTTGCTTGGCTCTAAGGCCAATACTTTTCTCATTATACGTTCCAGGTTATGAAAATTATGCTAAAAATATAAAAAATTAGCCGGGCGTGGTGGCGCACACCTGTAGTTCCAGCTACTCCGGAGGCTGAGGGCAGCAGAACGGCGTGAACCCGGGAGGCGGAGCTTGCAGTGAGCTGAGATGGCGCCACTGCACTCCAGCCTGGGAGACAGAGTGAGACTCCGTCAAAAAAAAAAAAAAAAAAAAAGAAAAAAAAAGAAAATTATGCTTAATAATTTTTAGGTGAGGTGATGATCAGCTGGGCTTCCCCTCGGCAGTGGAAGATGTATGTAGATAAATGAGATGAGGTTAAAGCTTCTATGCTTTTATTTGACATGATGTATTGATTTGTGTAGCCAATTTTTACATAAACCAGAATCTCAAAACTTTTACTCTGTACTTTGCTGGGACTGTGAAATTGCCACAGTGGCACTTTCATATGAATAAATTCAGAAAACAAAACCACTTAGAGACGATAAGATATTCAGACGTTTCAAGCACTTCATGTGTTTTTGTCACTTACTCTTACTTTTAAGTTGGAAAAGCAATAATGGGTTATCATAAATATCCAAATATAAAGTGTATCTAAAATGAAGAGGGAAAGTTTCTGCCCTTATCATTTTGCCCAAATCCAGCCTTCAAACAAAATCAATTAATTATTAATTTTAACATAGAAGTCAGTACATTAGTTTTGTGGCTCTAAAGTATTTTATAAATTATCATAGTGCTCAATATGAACCTATTTATGGCTGTGGCCTCTAATAATGTTATATGTAGACAATTTTTTGTTTGTTCTTTATAGTCATATATTGGATAAAATGTATACATCTCACATTGGTTAAAGATGGCAGTTCTGCTAAAAATATGTGTATTTTCCAACAGTTTTTTTTTCTTAGCAAAGAATAATGAAAAGCTGATTTAGAACAATGATCTCCTCCAGAGATATTTGTTAGAAAAAGCAGACTTTTTTCACATCCCAATTTCACTGTGTGTTGGCATGGCGTATTATAGGGTTTAGAAAGATCATCTATGTGGTCTCATGAATATGGGAGGGTATCCATAAAATTATATCAGTTATTGGTTTTGTTTAGATTTGTTTTGAATGGCAGAGAAATGGCATCATTTAAAAATATTAATGAGCTATGGAAAAAGAATAATTAGGTCAGGGTGGTAGTTAGGGTATAGTTTCTTTAGCTTCATTAGTACATTTACCACAAGTCATTTGAACATGTTTATCCCACACATATAATTACATAAAAATCATAGATATATTCTGTCTTTATGAAGGTCACTTTCCTTATGTTAAGGGGACTCATCTATGAGTAAATTAAGTTTGGCCTTTCGGGGAGTCCCACAGTTTAGTGAGCCATAAGATTTTCCCTGCTGGATTGTAATTGAGTCTTGTCAAATGGCAAACCACTTGTATTTCAGTATCATAATTAAGGAGTTTTGGGAAATTTATTGACAAATGGTCTAATTCTGAACATGTTATCTGAGAGCAAGAGGACAGTATTTGCAAGTCAAATGATGGAAGAATCTATTGTCAGACAATTAAAACATCTTCACTGAGACCCACCGAACTAACCTTTGTGTGGTCTGTTCTCAGATGGAAATGATTCCTAGAGACAGTTGACAGCGTGAATTTTGAGACGACACTAAATGTGTGTGGGAACTTGCAAAAAAAAATCCAGAAAAAGATTTAGGATCAGGGTTTTCTTTGCTACTTTTTTGCTATGATGGGGCGGGAATGGGAGCTGGGGCCAGGGGTTGTGGGGAGGCATCAGGGGAAAGGTGACGTTAGAGATGCTGGTAAAAGTTAGTCCTGGTCGAGCCCGGGGTGAACAATGACACAGTGTTGTTGTGGGCTGCCTCCACGACTTAGATATTCTTCCCATGTCAGTATAATCACTACTGGGAGGTAGCTCGATTAAGGATTACCATATCATTAATAGTATCCATGACTTTTGTTCAAAAGCTACTTGTGCAATGTTGCCTTGTGGATGAAGCGCCGTAATCCTCTGAGCCGCAGCTGTAGAGAGGGAGGCTCCTTAGAGCCGCCCACACTGACTTCCCTGTCCTCTCGGATCAGTTCTAAAAAACAGACAGAAACAACAGTCAACTCAAAGCCAAAAAAAAGAAACATCCATTCTACATTTCCACATTCATCCCCAAGCTTCAATCCCTGCCAATGTCTCCCATTCATCTCTTCTCTAACATCCAGATCACCACTCGGATGGTGGCCAGATTAAAGGGGAACAATGCAGTTTTAAATGTAAAGTTTGCATCTAATTTTTTTCTTTGCATGAGAAAAAGCACATTGATTCTATCTATGTGTCTGTCTAATGCTTAGCCAGTAGTTTGTCAGGTCTTTCTTATTTTCTTTGGCAACATGAGGCATGCTTGTGTCTTCCCACTGTCTAGGGTTTCTCAGTTTATTTGGTGAAGACACTTAACTCTGAAATTTGTACTTGGGTAGGAAATCATATATGCAGTTAGTAAACAGTGGGGTTTTGCTTCATTTAATTAATATTTTTGCTGCTAAGAAACTTCTACTTCCAGTGGGTGGGAGCACTGACAGAAATTGAAAAATTTAGCAGTAGCTTGAAATCTAAGCAAACACACCCAGGTATTGGGATTGGGCAGAAGAAAATAACGGAGTGAACCACATTTGGTAAAACTCTTTGTGTTAAAGGACGGGAAAGAATGGATGTAAGCTTTAGAGGACATTTCATTTCATAAAGATCACCCCTCAAAAGGGGAAAGGAAAGGGAAGAGGGAAGAAATGACCTTTATTTATTTGGCAGAGGAAAATGTTAAAAAGTAATATGAAACCTAGAGTTCAGTTTCTTGAATTTTAGCTTCATAATCACTTTTATTCCAAATTGAAATGAAGCTTTGCCTTGGTTTACTCATAAATCATTATTCTAAAGAGTTTTAGTCTTTTATTTTCATCTCATCGCTTCATTTAAAAATCACTGTAACTTTATTGTTTACAAAAAGCACTGACAACTTTTATCTATCCTAAGTTATTTTCCTGAGGAATCTATAAAAAGATTTGGACTATGGCCTTTGGATCAGAATGTTTTAAGTTCTTTCTGGTTGCCCAAAGATTTATGTTTGTCTAAAGTACATGGGAAATTTTACGTTTTAAAACCTTGCTCAGTGATAACACTTTATTTTCCCATCTCTCCTCTTTCCTGTGGCATTGACACCCAAGCTGTGCTGTAATTTAATGTCACTGACATCACTTCCTTTTAAGATATATTTATTGGGACGGAAATTACATAAGTCTTGCTACCTGAAACACTGTCAGTGTGAGACAGCTGGGAAAACTCAGGAATAGTTTAACACATTTCTAGGCCAAGAGTATCTATTCAACAAAATCATTCTATTTGGCAAGAAAGACTTGACAATACTCATCAGACACTTTAATTTAGTGTCTCTTTATGTCATGAATGTATATGCTCAAGGGATATTGTTTACATGTAATGCTGCTTAATCTTGTATGTAGTATTTGAGGAACAGAAAACTTGGGAGAATGTGCTCTTGTGCTCTTCACTAGGAAAAACAACCTCGTTCTGACTGTGCTCATATTGGTGAAAGAAGTACCCGGTTCTAGTAGACGTACTGGTAGTTTGCTAAGACATGAGCCATCATTTCCATCCCCATTCCAGGATTCGTCTTCGTTGAATAGATGCCTATAAGTAGAAGTTCTTCAACCTGGAGTTACTTTAAGAAGACACATTATTCCTAATATAGATGACAAGTATCTGAGATTTTTTAGAAAATTATTTAACATGTCGGCATAGCACTTGCAGGTGAAGGCAAGAATGAACGAGGAGAAGAAAGGTGAACAGTGGTCCAAGCAGGCATTAACATATGGGAATGTTAGCATATTAAAATGTGATACCAATTTCTGTGAGTGTAAATAATACCTCAATGTATCATGTATTCACTCTTACAAAGAGGTTCACAAATTATACAGGTTTTTTTAGTGATAGGAAAATTTCATAAAATTGGTACCCTGCTAAAATATGTAATTTTAGGTAACACAACAAACTTGCTGCTCAGTGCCATATGGGATAATACTGATTAGCCATTCTTTTTTTTTTTTTTTTTTTTTTTTGATGTGGAGTCTCACTCTGTCACCCAGGCTGGAGTGCAGTGGTATGATCTTGGCTCACTGCAACCTCTGCCTCCCGGGCTCAAGTGATTCTCCTGCTACAACCTCTTGAGTAGCTGGGACTAAAGGCACCCGCCACCATGCCCAGCTAATTTTTGTATTTCTAGTAGAGATGGGGTTTCACCACGTTGGCCAGGCTGGTCTCAAACTCCTGACCTCAAGTGATCCCCCTACCTCGTTCTCCCAAAGTGCTGGGATTACAGGCGTGAGCCATCGTGCCTAGCTCGTATTATCCATTCCTGATGTTCTTTTCCTTGTTAGGGGAGCCCCACTAGCATAACATTCTTGGCTTCTCTCTTCTCTCTCCTTATTTTTTCCTCCCAGGAGTAGAAGAGTGACATTTCTGATTTGCACTGTGGGAGAGCATAGCCCAGCCCCTTTCTCTGCACTGGGAGCCACTGCCAACAGGGCGCTTGCGTTCTGGACTGCCTTTCTGGCTCAAAAGTTTTACAGGAGCCTGCCTCTGGGGGGAGAGCTGCAGTTTTTAGCACTGTGACTAGGCGATAAATTTGGGGCACAATATTCAGAAGATCATTGTTACCATACAATCATGCCATATTATCCAAGAGTTCTGTCAATAATAAAGCTGACCCACATAATACTTCTCTCTCAGTTCCAGACCCAGGTGATAAAAGCAGAGGGTTTTTTATCGAGCCCCCGTGAGCAGCAGTGTCTATAACTTAAATGCTCTGAATCAGTGGTTCTCAAAGTACGGTCTGAGGACTTTTTGGAGTCCTTGAGACCCTTTCAGGGGCCTGTGGGGTCAAAACTATTTGTAATACTACTAAGATGTTATTCACACTCTCGTTCTGATGTGCATGGAGTGGGGTGTGCAGAAGTGACGCGTGATAACACCGTTGCTCTGATGGCTACTGAAAAGTATGCTGCGTACTGCTTATGTTTTAAATATTTCTCAGTTTTTATATTGGTAAACATTGATAGTTAGAATGAATGTATGTGCTCTGGATTTCTCAGTAAATAATTACATATAAATAATTATCTCCTACATAAATCAATGCTGATTGGGGTCCTGATTAATTTTAAGAGTGTAAAAGAATTCTTAGATTAAAAAATTTGAAAGTTGCTGCTGTAAACCATAATGGGGAGAGAAGCACTTAAAGTTAGACACCTCTGGGTGGCTCTGCTACTGAAATGTGTAAGAGTTCCCTCAGGAGATAGCCAAACTTTGTAATCTTGGACATCTCAATCTACCCAGATGAAAACTGGAATAGATGAATTACGCATTAAGCTGATATTCTTTGAAGGTCTGTTCTATGTTGGGCACTCTCTCCTAGGCAGAGGGGGGCACATGGATGAGCAACTCCATCACTGTCCCCTAGAGTCTCACAGTTAAGAGGAGGCAACAAACTGGTGAAGAGATTGACATAGAGTGTCAGGTGTATAAGAGGTGCTGTTGGAACACAGAGGGCTACTAATCCAGGGAGCAGGAGACGGATAGACACCCTAAACTGGATCTTGGCAGACAGGTAAGAGTTGGCCAGGAGAAGAAAAAGTAAACGATATTCCAAGCAGAGACACTAACACATGCAAAGGCCTAAGACAGTGCTTATTGAATAGTGGGATGGAATCCATTAGTAGGTCATAAAATCAATTTAATGTGTCATCACCAGCATTTAAGAAAAAACAAAATAGAACAGAATGTAGGAGTGCACCTCATATAGTAAGGGTATTTTTTTCATGAAACCTTTTTTCTCTGTGTGTGTGTGTGTGTGTGAGTGTGTGTCTATACTGGGTTAAGGTGTAAAATGTATTTCTTAGTGTAGGAAAAGAATTTTAGATATTATCTAGGAACATAATTTTAGATATTTGATTTTGCAATAAAATTTGTCTTTTCAGTGTAAGGAATGAAATGCTACAATCTTACGCTAATTCTTTCAGAGCATGTTATATCACATGAACACTGAGACCTGTTAGTACATTTAGCTGGTCAGTAAGTTCAGATGTGTAAGTTTAGCAGTGCTGGCATGGAAAAGCCTAGGGGAAAATCTACTGAGGCAGACTGAAAAGTTTTGAAATATTATACATAGAAAAAATTATTAGTGATTGATCATAATAAAATTAAGAAAATGCTATTGAGGCATTCATCAAAGTGCCTAAAGAAATAAACAAGCATTTTATTAATGCATCCTGAAACTCATGACAGAATTTTAGGGTAATAAATGTTAAGAGTTTTAGAGACTGGACTAACTCCACATTAGAGTCCCAGATAACTATGATCTAGTGTTCTGGCCTAATTTCTTATGTTACCCACTGCTGAACATATTCCATGCAGTGGATGGTAAAATGTTGTTTTATCTCAGTGAGACTTCATGGCAGCACTGGTTGCAAATGTTAGGTGTCATTCGTCTGCTGTCCTTCTGGTCTAATACTTATGTCAGCAGCTGAGATACTGATTCTAGCCAGGGTTTTTGTATGCGTGTGGGGTATTTAAAATACCCAGAGAATTGGATCAAATATGATTATCTGGTTTGTGTTTTTTGATGTATGATTCAAAAAAAATTGAACTCAGGTGTATGGAGGTATAATTTACATACAATAAAATTCACCTCTTACGTACACAGTTGAATGTGGATTTGATAAATGTACATCACTTTCAAACTCAAGAACCAGAACGCCTCCCCCAGACTTTATAGTCAATCTCCTACCCCAGCCACAGGCAACCAGTGATCTAGTCTCTGTTCCTAGAGATTCGCCCATTTCAGAATTTGCCTGTATGACTTCAGCAATAAAAAAATTGACATAGAAATTCATATGGGATAATTTAGTGTGCAAGGAGCAATGTTACTTACTAGGAAAATCACAGCCTATTTGGTGTGAGTCACAGTATGCCTTTTCCACTTGTTACTATGTAACCTTTGTCATGACTGCCTAGTTAGTTCTTGATGAACCAAATGGATTTCAGAGAGGTTTAGGAGTCTAGGAACTTACGATGTACCTTGTGAGAGGACTCTGGGCTCTCAGAATTTCAAAGTAAACCACTCCTTCGGCCTATCAGCCCAGGGGCTTGCAGTCACACTTTCTAATTTCTAAACTACACTGGGTTGTTTCCATCTGGCCAGGTTAGGCTTACTAGCCAGGATGACCACATACCGTGCATTAAACTGTAGGGAGGACGTTTAGACAAGCCACAAGCAGAAGGACTTTGTAACCACTTTATTTCCCACAGATTGCATTTAGCCACCCAGTAGGATAAGCTTGGTGTGTGGCTCTCTCAGCCAGGGCAGATAGCCGAAGTATCTGTATCTAAGAAGGTCTATTGAAAGTATTAAGATTGGACAACTACGTACATGCCAAGTCCGCCTTTGATTTCCACAGTAACATGTATTTTTAGTTTTAACGTAGTACTTTCAACTTTCAAGGTCTAAAATAACTAGCGACTTGAAATCTTAAGGGAAAGGTCATTTGTCTCAATAGCCAAATCGTTTGCTTACTACGTACATCCTGAAGCATGTCGGTTTTTTCCCAGAACATTTCCATTTCATCAAATCTGAAGACAATGTGTTTACTTAGTGTATATGTACTATTTTTTTTTTTTTTGAGACGGAGTCTCGCTGTCGCCCAGGTTGGAGTACAGTGGCGCGATCTCGGCTCACTGCAGGCTCCGCCTCCCGGGTTCACGCCATTCTCCTGCCTCAGCCTTTTGAGTAGCTGGGATTACAGGTGCCCGCCACCTCGCCCAGCTAATTTTTTGTATTTTTAGTAGAGACGGGGTTTCACCGTGTTAGCCAGGATGGTCTCGATCTCCCGACCTCGTGATCCGCCCACCTCGGCCTCCCAAAGTGCTGGGATTACAGGCGTGAGCCACCGCGCCCAGCCGTATATGCACTATTTTAATTTATATTTTTATGTTTTGGTCACTTCCAGAAGAGAATTCATATCCTCAGCAAGGGAACCGCAGAGGTCATATTGTCCACTTTCTTTCTGGAACAGGGAAGAAATTTGAGACTCAAGAAAGATGAGGCTTCTAAGGAAGATTAATTTCAGGAATTAATGTTTTAAAGAGTACAATGTTTTTATTCACCAATAAACTGAAAGTCAATTTCTAGATGTTTCTTTCTCGTGTATGCTCGATTTGTTGTATTGGTAAGCAAAGCCCTGGAAGGAAGCTTTACCTGCTCCTCAGGCTCACCCATCTTCACTGTGACTGATGGGGAGGCAGTGAGGTCAGTGAGGCTCCTTGCAGGATGCAGCCACTCAAGGCCAATCACGAAGATTGTTCTCCCTAAGGTATTTCTTGGTGAGGCATTTTAAGGACCTTTTAGAAAATTGTTTCTCAGAAACAACTGTGATTTTATTTTTGAAGCATTCACTGTTAACAACATCTGTGAGATTTTCAGTTTTTCCATTGATTTTAACCTTTTAGAAACTGTTCAAAATTTCCAGAATCAAAAGTTCCATCTTCTATTGAATGAGTAAGGTCCAAATTAAACTTCCATGTTGACCACATATGCTTCTTGTCTTTCTTCGGCATCATCTTGAGAGCCGGCCATATGATATGAGGGCAGGAATTAATGTTTGTGTGAATCTAAGTATGTTTGTTAGATCTCTAAGCCTAAAATTGGCAATACATCTGCACTAGAGCCCAAACTACCAATCCACACTCTATTCCACCAGTGAACCCACCTATGCTTTGCAGCAATTCCTCACTGAAGATACTGGCATATGCATTATCTGCCCTGTACTACCACCAGCAAACCATTATCATAGGTCTAAAACTCATCACATTTAGGCTGGACGTGGTGGCTCATGCCTATAATCCCAGCCCTCTGGGAGGCTGAGGCAAGAGAATCACTTGAGGCCAAGAGTTGAAGACCAGCCTGGGCAACATAGTGAGACCCTATCTCTACAAAAATAAAATAAAATAAATTAACCAGGTGTGGTGGCACACACCTGTAGTCCCAGCTACTCAGGAAGCTGTGGTAGGATCACTTGAGCCCAGGAGGTTGAGGCTGCAGTAAGCTGAGATCACACCATTGCACTACAGCCTGGGTGACAGAGCAAGGTCCTGCCTAAAAAAAAAAAAAAAAAAATTCACATTTTTCTCACACAAAAAAATCATGAAACATTTATCTGCACATGGCATTAAGATAGCTACTATATTATGTTCATTAACTAGCACGTGAGAGGCCTAGCACATGTAGGTCTTGGTGAGTCTAAGTCTGAGTGGTACATAATTCAGAGAAAAGACAGAGGATCTAGATAATATATTCATCTTACATATGGTCAACAAGCACTGTATTTTTAAGAATTTTAAGAAACTGCAGAGTTTGAGAATTTTAAGAAGCTTCTTCTGATTAGATCAGCATTTCAGGGACTCCTTGATGGACTTAGCTTTCACCTTACAATAATTCTCCAATCTTTATGTTGGAAGAAATAAACCAGATTTGGGACGTGAACATTTGATGTGTATGTATTCACCTTTTGCTGTATCACTAGGGAGCAGTTATTAAGTATAGTTCTATGAATCTCGTTATTGAGGTGGTTTCCAGCATAGCAGGTGTAGTCGTTAACCATGGCTACTGAGTGTGACTGGACCTCTCTGCTGAGGCCTCACAGACATGCTGCTGTATAACCTCACTTCCGGCCAGGTGCAGTGGCTCACGCCTATAATCCCAGCACTTTGGGAGGCCAAGGTGGGTGGATCACTTGAGATCAGGAGTTCGAGACCAGCCTGACTAATATGGTGAAACCCTGTCTCTACTAAATACAAAAAAATTAGCCAGACGTTGTGGTGCATGCCTGTAATCCCAGCTACTTGGGAGGCTGGAAGGCTGAGGCAGGAGAATTGCTTGAACCCAGGAGATGGAGGTTGCCGTGAGCCGAGATTGTGCCATTGCACTCCAGCCTGGGCGACAAGAGCGAAAACTCCATCTGGAAAAAAAAAAAAAGAACTTCATTGCCTTGCTCTCCTCTCTCCGCTCATTCCTTAGAGAAAGGATTCCATTGGATCTTTTTCTGTTAGACCTTGTGTCACTTAGGATGAGGCTCTGTGTGAGTAAAAGAAACTTGGCCCCTATGTCTTAAACAGGACAGAAGCATGTTTTTCTGTTCCATAAGAGAAGAATGGAGGCAGCAGCCCATGCTGATGTGGCGGCTCCAGGTATTACCCAGGCTCTCTACCTTCCAAAGCTGAGTTTCCTGCCTTCAGGGTCACATCGTGGCTCCAACAGCTGCTGGAGCTCTGGCCTTCGTATTCTTGTGGCAGGCCTGAAGAAGGGGAAAAGGTGGAATGGTGGAAAGGGCTTCTTTCTAGCTGAGTCTGTTCCCTTTAAGCACGATTCTCAGGGCACTTGCAAACACTTCTGCTTAGGCTCGGCGCGGTGGCTCACGCCTGTAATCCCAGCACTTTGGGAGGCTGAGGCGGGCGGATCACCTGAAGTCGGGAGTTCGAGACCAGCCTGACCCACATGGAGAAACCCCGTCTCTACTAAAAATACAAAATTAGCTGGGCGTGGTGGCGCACGCCTGTAAACTCAGCTACTCGGGAGCCTGAGGCAGGAGAATCACTTGAACCCAGGAGGCAGGGGCTGCGGTGAGCCGAGATTGTGCCATCGCACTCCAGCCTGGGCAATAAGAACAAAACTCCGTCACAAACAAACAAACAAACAAACAAAAAAACACTTCTGCTTTTATCTTACCGGTGGAATTTAGTCAGGTGGATAAACCTAGCTGCAAAGATGGCTGGGAAATGTAGTCTTTATTCTGAGTAGCTTTTCTGACCAGCTAGGAAGGGAGGGAGGGAGGACGGTGGATGTTGTGGTAGAAAACTAAGCTTCTGCCAGATCACTTAGGTGGAATAGTCTGTTTATATCCATGAAGGCTTAACGCCTCATAACTAGCGACCACTATTTTATAGAAAGAACCTGTATGGATACACGATTGATGCAATTAGTGCAGTCAGCAGTCATCTGGACATCCTCAAAGAAGCTCAGAGATTGTTCTTGTGTCATATGAGCGTATTCGCAGTAATAGTTTATTCCGTACTTGAATGTTTTCAACTGTAAGAATTCATATAAAGCAAATTTAAACTAAAATCACAAAAATACATCCACTGTATATATTTAACAAAGTCTTCAGGGAATATAATAGACTGACGTAAAACTGTGAGACATCTAAAACACAGTAAAAGGCTATAAAATAACTAATGGCCTTTAATGAAAGAATTAACTAAAGTATGATTGTTTAATACAATCCCCCAAATAAGCTTCTTGTTAATTTTTAGGGAGGTGGAGGAACTCCAGCACCAACTTATATATTCTACATCCTATGTCTTTGAGTAGGTTTACTAATCATAGGTCTTTGAAGATAACTTTCTTTACAACTTGTGCTACCGTTTAATAGTCGTGTGATTTTACAAGGAGGTTTATTGAAGTATAATTTACGTATGATAAAATTCACCCATTGTAAGTGATTTTAGTAAATTTGTTGAGTTGTGGAACTGCCACCACAAACCAGTTTTAGAACATTTCCATCTGCTTTCTGCTTCTGTAAGTTTGTTTTTACTAGATATTTCCTATAAATGGAATCAATTATGCAGTATGTATTTCGTGTCTAACTTCTTGCGCTTAATGGTTTTAAAGTTCATCCATGTTGTAGCATGTAAAGAAATCCATTCCTTTTCATTGCTGAATAGTATTCCATTGTAGGAATGTACCATATTTTGCATATTCATTCATCAGTGGATAGCTATTTAGACTGTTTCCAGTTTTTGACTAGCATGAATAATAGTGCTATAAACTTTTGTGTACATGTCTTTGTGTGGACATGGATTTTCATTTTTCTGATAGATTCTTAGAAATAGAATTGCTGGGTTGTATTATTCGTTTGTTTAAGTTTTTAAGAAACTGCCAAACTGCATTCCAAAGTGTCTGTACCATTTTACAATCCTAGTAGCAATACATAAGGGTTTCAATTTCCCTGTTTCCTTAACAACACTTGTTATTGTCTGTCTTTTTCATCATAGCCATCCTAGTGGGTGTCTAGAGGTATCTTCTTCTGGTTTTAATTTGCATTTCCCTAATGAATAATAGTTTTGAGCATCTTTTCTTCATATATTAGACATTGACATTTCACCTTTGGGAAAATGTCTATTCAAATCTTTTGCTCATATAAAAAATTTGGTCATTTGGCAAGAACTTTCTATGTGTTGGTCATTGTAAATGCTCTCTATATATTCTAGATTTAAGTCTTTTATCACATATATGATTTGCACACATCTTATCCCAGCCTGTGACTTGTCTTTTTATGTTCTCAATCGTGTCTTTTTTTTTTTTGAGACAGGGTCTCACTGTGTCAACCAGGCTGGAGTGCAATGGCACAATCACAGCTCACTACGGCTTGACCTTCTGGGCTCAGGTAATTCTCCCACCTCAGCCCCCGGAGTAGCTGGGACTACAAGTGTGCACCACCACACCCAGCTATTTTTGTATTTTGGGTAGAGATGGGGATCTCACCATGTTGCCCAGGCTGGTTTTGAACTGCTGGGCTCGAGGGATCCACCGGTCTTGGCCTCCCAAAGTGTTGGCGATTACAGTCATGAGCCACTGCACCCAGCCCATTGGTGTCTTTTAAGCACAAAAGTTTTAAATTTTGATCTAGTCCAGCTTATCAATGTTTTCTTTTATGGTTTGTGCTTTTGGTGTTGAGTTGTAGGATTCTGAACAAGTTGTCTAACCTCTTCAAGCTTCAGTTCCTTTGTCTATGAAATCGTAATAATAATTCTTACCTCAAAGGTAACTGTAATTTAAATCTGATTTCTTTGTATGTGTCTGGAAAAGAGGGAGGTATAAGCAGTGACTGCAAGTTTAATTTTCAACTTCCTCTTAAGTTTCATAAGTTCTTGGTACTTATGGCTGGCTTGCTGGGGGCAGGGAACTTGGTATGTGTAAAAGTTACTGAATGTATCTGCTAATACATTTTGCCCTCATCTTGGATCCAAGCGATCAAGCTTCACAGATGGAAGGAAATGAGCAGGTGAGGTAAGGGGAACTGAAGTACATAGGGGGTTAATAACTGGTTGAAGTTGCCTGGGAAAGGGAGTGGTGAGGAGGAGGGAGAGATTGTGAAGGGGCTTGAGGAAACTTCTGGGGTAATAGAAATGGTAGCAATAATCTTGACTGTGATGACGGTTTCATGGGTATATACATATGTCAAACCGTATCAAATTATACACATTAAATATTGCTGTTTCATTGTACGTCAGTTACCCCAATAAACCTTTTTTAAAAAAATTTTAAAGAGAATGGTCACACCTGTTAGGATGGCTATTTTTTTAAAAAAAAGCAAGTGTTGGGCCAGGCCTGGTGGGTCACGCCTGTAATTCCAGCACTTTGGGAGGCCAAGGTAGGCAGATCGCTTGAGCTCAGGAGTTTGAGACCAGCCTAGGAAACATGGGGAAACCCTGTATCCACCAAAACTAAAAAAATTAGCTGGGCATGGATGCATGCACCTGTGATCCCAGCTATTTGGGAGGCTGAGGTGGGAGAATCGCTTAAGCCCAGGAGGTAGAGGCTGCAGTGAGCCAGGATGGCACCAGTGCACTCCAGCCTGGGTGAGAGAGTGAGACCTTATCTCAATTAAAAGCAAAACTAAACAAAAAAACAAGTATTGGCTGAGGATATGAGAAGACTGAAACCCTCACACATTGCTGGTAGGAATAAGAAATGGTACTGACACCGTGGAAAACAGATTGGCAGTTTCTCAAAAAAGTTAAACATAGAATTACCATATGATCTGGCAATTTCACTTCTGGGTACATATCAAAAAGAACTGAAAGCAAGGACTTGAGCAGATATTTGTTCATAGCAGTATTATTCACAATAGTTAAAAAGATGAAAGCAACCCAAGTGTGTATCAACAGATGAATAGATCAACAAAACGTGGTATATAACTATAGCGGAATATTATTCAGCCTTAAAAATGAAAGAAATTCTGATACATACTGCAACATGGATGAACCCTGAACTCATTATGCTAGATGAAATAAACCAGACACAAAGGGACAAATATTGCATGATTCTATTTATGTGAATAGGTAACTCCTAGAGACAGAACCTAGAGTAGAGATTACCAGGGACTGAGGGAGGAGCGGATGGAAATTTGTTGTTTAATGAGCACAGAGTTTCTGCTTGGGATGATGTAAAAGGTCTGGAAATGGATAATGGTGATGGTTGCACAATATTTTGAATGTATTTAACACCATTGAACTGTACATGTAAAAATGGTTAAAATGGTAACTTTTATGTTATTCTATTTTCACACAAAAAATGCAAAAAAGAGAATGATGAAGTGATATGAGTTTAAGCAGTAATAACAATAAAAGAGGTATAGTGGGAAGCTGACAAGTGAGCCTCAGGGATAAGTCCAGAAATCTGGAGATTCCGCTTCCTTCCTGGTTTCCTGATCCTACCACTCACACCTATCCACTATTATAAATTCATTCTCCCATTTCTTTACTCCCTCATTTTCAGGTGCTTAAATGGGAGCATGGAGAAATGTAAAGTGGAAAATAAGTGGAATGCATTGAGCCTGGAGAGGAGAAGATTTGGGGGAGGTCATGACAGCTGTGTTGCAATATTTACAGGGCTGTCAGGTAGAGGAAAGAGGAGGCTTATTCTGTGTGCTTCAGATGACAGAAATAGCATTTCATGGGAAGCAGAACTTTTTTGCCTCCAAAAAAGGGATAACATTTTTGCCTCCAAAAAAGGAATAACATTTTAATAGTAGGAATAACATTCTAATAATAGGACGGTCTATGAATGGAATAGATGCCTTGGAATGCTGGAAGTGGGTAAATAGAGGCTGGGGATGTTGCAGAGCAGATTGCTGCATTTGATGGGAATTTGGACCAAGTGGTCTCTGTATTAGCAACCCAACAGGAAGAAGGAATTTTCAGCTGGGATTTTTGAAGCGTATCAAATGAAAGAGCTATTTACAGAGATGTGAGCAGGATTGAGGAAGCCTACAAAGGATACTGAAGTACCCAAGAACAAGCAACAGTGGGAAGGCCCCACCATCAGGCCTGAGGGAGCAAAGCGGAACAGTGCTGTTCAAGGAGACCAAGGGAGCTGTAGGAGAGTGGTCAGCAACAGCTGGAAGGGAGACCCCCCCGCAGCAGGAACTGGTAGTTCCAGAGGGAGCAGCCTCTGGCAGAATTGTGGTGCCAAGGCAAAGAAGTAGCTGGGCTAGAACTTCCCGGCCTCCATTTCCTGCTGTCTCTCACTGGCAAATCGAGCTCGAACGCAGAGGCACAGGAGCTCAGGGGATGAAGTTTGCAGGGAGGGATGACCTTTGTAAGGTACTGAGCAGGGCGGAGAAGCACATCTGTAAGGTTTCTTCCATCTCAGAGACCTTTGAGTTCCCTCACCACCCCAAACTTCAAACCTGAAGAGAGCAAAAGACCTGAAGATTACACTACTC
Organism: Homo sapiens; assembly: GCF_000001405.40. Classification (NCBI taxonomy): domain Eukaryota; kingdom Metazoa; phylum Chordata; class Mammalia; order Primates; family Hominidae; genus Homo; species Homo sapiens. The sequence continues at coordinate 185,058,036 of NC_000004.12, read as the reverse complement.
TATGAATGACCATTTCATCCTGTGAATGTAAAGATGGGATTGAGTTACCGCAGTTTCAATAAGGATCAGGGAAATGCCCTTGATAAGCCAAGATGGGAGAGAAGCTGTCAGTCAACATGTATTTATTGGGACCTACTGTATGCTAGGCATTCTTCTAAAGACTGTAGATCCACTGGTGAGCAACATGGAAATTCCTCTCCTGTTACACACTAAAAATAGGAGGCAGACAATAAGCACACAAGCACATCACTCAAGGTGCCATCACACGACACAATACATTGGTTAAGATCATGACCTGTACCATTTCCTAATTGTGTGACCTTTGTTAAGTGACTCAATCTGTGTCTCCGTTCCATATGTGTAAATGAGGATCAATGACTGTACCTCCGCAGTAGGGTTGTTATGAGGTTATAGCTACTTAGTACATATAAATCCTTTAGAACAGTGCTGAGCACATATAGAAATGTTTGTTATTCTTATTAGCAGTCAGTATTAAGTACTAGGTGAGAGAAGATCTAATAAAGCAGAAAAAGGCAGAGAAAAGAAAATGGTGGGTCTGGGCATGATGGGAGCCATGAGAGAGGAAGCTGGGGGCTGGTGAGCAGACTTGCCATTAGGAAAGGGCCAGAGCTTCTAGAGGAAAGGAGGAAGTAGCCACCCAAACCTTCACAGAATCCTGTCAACATCTCCAGGGACAAATCAAGCCACCCTACAGAAAGTACACTTGTATGGCCTGTTAATGCTGAGGTCGAATTCATTAGAAGAAATTGTGCAATGTAGAATCGAATCATTTTTAAGCATTTAAAAGCAAGAAGCAGAAGTGAACCGTGCTTAAAAGAGGCAGGCACATAGTATCTAAGAGCTTGGGCTCTGCAATTAGACTGGCACAAGTTCAAATCCCAGCTCTGCCCTTCACTATTATCTGACCTGGGAAGGGTTACTTAGCCTTGTTGATGACTAGTTTCCTCTTGTGGAAAATGGAAATAATCATAGCTATCTCACAGGTTATTCTGAGTCTGAAAGGAAGTATTCTATGATAATTGCTTTGCACAATGCCTGGAATATTCTAAGGCATCAATACATGTTGCTGTTGCTTACTGCTATCATAATAAAAAGAGAGAATGAACACCTGTGCATGACTTGGAAAGGGTGAGCATGGTAAGATATGGATGCATTTTGCTTTAGTTGCTTTGTATGATGTTCGGGCTTATAAAAGATAACTTTTGAATTTCTTTGCCAGCTCTGAATCTCCCACCACTAAGGAGCAGCATCCTATCTATGATGCCCTCACAAAACCAGAACATCTGCTCGTGTTCTGCATGAGCAGTTATCAACAAAAAGATGTCCCAACACTCAATGGAAAACAAAGTATTTTAATGATAAAATTCAGTACGTGAGCTATGTTTATTTTTGATTATTTTGACATTTCAAGCTCAGAAACAGCATTCGTGAAATGGGGATTGCTGGTGAAAATTAAATGGAAAATTGGCACTTAAAAATTTTGCATTTTTTTCCAGCTAATTCCTTTCTAAATTCCATCCATTCCTTAAAGAGTCTTGCTGTGATGATTTCTGCTAATTTCTTTCTTGGTAGTTTCCAATAAATCAAACTTCACAGATAACAAGAGAATAACAAAATGGTAAAGGTGCTTCTTTCCTTCCCTTCAGAAAATATTCATTTGCGGATTTTTTACAGAGTACAAATGAAGGCCTGAATGTCAAAGTTTTGTTTTTGTTGTTAAATGACAAGTTGTTCCGGGGTACATATACTTTGACTTTCAGGCATTCATTCGTACTCTGTAAAAAAATTTGCAAGTGAGTAGGAACTTAAAATAAAGGCTGAAGAAATAACAAAGAAACACTAGAAAAGAAAAAAAGTAAAAACTCAGTATCTGTGAAGCGCAATAAAATGAAGCACAACAGAAAGGGGAAAAAAATGCCAAGTTGTGTCGCCAGGAATAATAAACCACGGTATTTCCAAGTAGATGTTTTTGTAAAATACATTGGGGTAGATCTTTACGTTTACTCCTTTTCTTCACTCTGTCACAGTATTAAAATAAAATGCTCATTATTTGGAATCATGGGAAAGAAGGCTTATCTATCCATTACGGGGAAAACTTAAACGTGGAGTGTTACTACTTCAAGCAGCACTATCCATATTACAAATAAAAACCTAACTAGGAATAAGTGATTTAAAAATTCCTATTCAAAGCAGGCATATATCACTACATTGCAACGTGCCACAAACAAAATAAAACTCTAACACAGGAAAATTAATTATGGGATTTAAAAGTTGAAAACACACCTAAGGAATTCATAATTTTATGAAGGTTTGGCTTATAACTGTTATTGATTTTAGACTGACTATCCCTTTACTCTTAGGTAAGTCCAAGCTGATTTATGAGGAGATAAATTATTTTGAAGGTTTTACTCTTTAGGTAGTTTGGTATTTAGTGCCAAAATACCCACTTTCAAAATAGTGGAGAATAAATGAATGATGTTCAGCAGTATAGAAAAGTCCTCTACGTTTTCCCTTTTCACCTTTAGAACTTAATCAGCACTTGGGTGCTAAATATTTTAAGGACCAAGAACAACTGAATATGTGAGAGATCTTGCTGTTCTATTTGAAGGAGTTTCCCTTGTTTTTTTTTTCTTTTTTCATTCTTTCATTTTCTCCCCTTTTGGAGACAGCTTACCTCTTTGTAATTCAAGAGGGGTCTCGAATTCACCTTGAGAGGCAACCGTATATCATGAAATGCGTTGTTTCCTGAGTCCACATCATTTGCTTAGCATCCCTTACCAATTTAGTAGAAAGATTCTCCTCCAGGGATTGTCAGCTGTCATATATCTCTTCTGCAGAGTAAGTGGGTCTTTCTCGTCAAGGAGAATTCACTGGCTTGGCGTTACTGGCTTCAATACGTGCGACTTCTTTTCTGGATCCCCCACGCTGAGTTCTTGTGTCCTTTCCCCCAAAGGTCATGTCCTACACAGCGTCCCCACTGTGCTGGGTCAGCAGGAACACAGACTGACCATTTTTGTTCATCATTATTTGCCTAAACCTAGAGAAAATAAGATCATGACTGATTTAACCCTCAGGTTCCCTCTACAAACTATGTTGTCATACATACAGAGTAATTATTTGTTTTTCACTCCTTAGGCGTGTATAGGAGGTGAAGATGGGTTCTCTGCTTTTCAGTTTGGGCAGGGCACTATTCAATAGTGAACACGATACAGAGAATGGCTGATTCAATCTCCTTATTTCTTCCAGTGGTCGCACTGAGACGATTTCAAGCATGTACAAGATCAAGGATCCATTAGACCTTTTTATTTTGTGTAACTTTTGTGGGTTTCCATGGAACTCCGGAAGTGCTGTACCTTCTTTTAAAAATTAAATTAAATTAACTAAAAAGAGAAAGAAAAAGAGCTTGCATTTTCTGGGGTTTCCCCAGAGGCTTTTTTATCTGTTTAAACTAACCAGGATTTTTCACATATTGACATAAGCATTCATTTGCTAATTTGTTGGACATTCAACTGCATGGAGTCTTCCCCAGAATCTCGAATGAAGCTGAAATACTTGGGTCCTTAGGACTGCTTGAGTCCTGCATCGTTCCCTGAACACATATGGTTTTTCCTCCTCTATCTCCTTAGATAAAAGTCAGTGCTGATCGCCTTAAGGAAAGAATGAGTTAAATGGACCCATATTCTAGGCCTGGATCTAAAAATCCCGGCCTTTTCAGAGGCGCCTTAGCATCTGCAGCAGCAAGGTCATTTGCACATACATAAATAAATAAATTAACAATGAATAAATAATCTAATCCCAGCCACACAATGCCACCTTGCAGATTTGATCCTTTGCAGCTCCCAGTGAATTTGTCCATTTCTAATTCTTTTTGATAAAGTCCTCAGATACTTGCTGACTGTCAGGCTCATTTTCTTATTGTTTTCGCTTGATTAGTTCTGTATGACCTAAGGTCGCCCTTAAAATCCACATCTCTCGTGAAGACTCCGAAAGGCCTTCTTTTTAGAACCTACCCCCCAGAAAAGGATGGAAAGGGCCTGCCGTTTCTCCGCACAAAAGCCAGGCAGGTTTTTCGTCACTAGCCTCCTGAAGCAGCCCTTCGTTCGCCCAAGCGCAAAAATATCTCATTAGGGGCTGCCATGTTTTTGTAGCCTCTTTATCCGGCGCACTTGAGTGTGCCTGTGTCAGGTCTCCCGGGTCCTGGAGGAGCTGGGCCACCTCCCCTTTAACCCTGCTGGGCTGCCCCTCAGTGACAGCACCAGGCCCGGCACCTGCCCATCCGTACTGAGTGCCCGAGGCTGTTTTTTCCTGGTCTTCTGAAAAGATGCTGGTCTTCACGGGGGCTGGAGAGGAGTGGAGGAGGGTTGCTTTTTTCTTCCTTTTAAAAGCTGGCTGGGGTCGGGCGCGCAGGCTCATGCCTGTCACCCCAGCACTTTGGGAGGCCGAGGAGGGCGGATCACGAGGTCGAGAGATCGAGACCATTCTCGCCAACACAGTGAAACCTCGTCTCTACGAAAAATACAAAAAATTAGCTGGGCGTGGTGGCGGGTGCCTGTAGTCCCAGCTACTCGGGAGGCTGAGGCAGGAGAATGGCGTGAACCCGGGAGGCGGAGCTTGCAGTGAGCCGAGATCGCGCCCCCGCACTCCAGCCTGGGCGACAGAGCGAGACTCCGTCTCAAAAAAAAAAAAAAAAAAAAAAAAACTGGCTGGGAGGTTGCTGCCTGTCCCTCATTTTCAGGCTGCACACTCACTTGATGCTATAGATCCAGGGATGGGAACACTGTCTAATTCTCCAGTCTCTGTGCTCCCCAGGTCGGGGCAGGGCCTCACCTTATACCATGGAGGCCGCCTCACAACGCATGGGCACTGCTCACTCACTGCTCATGCTCTTCCGTACCAGAAGGTCAGCTTTTCCTTGAATGGAAAAAGAAGTGACACTTTGTGCTGGCTTAATAAATAGACTTAATTAATGGGAACCCAAGTCCTCACTTCTGTTTTTAATTGAAAAATTCACAAAGACTGTTTGAATCAACTGTTCAGTATCCTTCAACAGTTCTGATAGAATGTTCCATTTCTGACTGCCAAGTCTTTTGGAATTTCAAGAAGATTTTGTTTGTAATTTTTTTCCTTTCTTCTTCTGGACCATCAAATAAAACCCTGCTATATTACATGGAGTCTTACAGTTGTTACTTTCTAGCAGCAGTGAATCTCTTGAGTACCCAAGGAAGATGTTAATGAAAATTGTACCACAGGAAAGTTTGAAAAAGTGGGCTCCACTACCCACATGGAAATCTACTACACAATTTAATTTTAAAATCTCATTGTAGACTTCCTTTTATGTGATGAAATTTAAAAAATGGATTTTTATATATTTTGGTGTATTTCAGCAATTTTCCCGAAGGACAAATTACCTAGGCCGAATTGCCAAAGCCCTCCAAGAATTTGGTGCCATCACCTGAATTTGAAAAAGGTGACTAGTCTTGACCTCAGTCAAGATACTCTTGTTAACAAGCACCTCAGCTCAGGAAGCTCTGGAAGAGCACGCTTTGTGTGATGCACAGGGAGGTGAGCTCTGAACACAGTGATATTTCCCGAGTCAAGGACGTTCCAGCTCAAACAAGCCCTTCAGGCACCAGAAGGCATGGATTTACACTCATCATCTCTAAACCATTAAAAAAAATGTTCAGGCTGGGCCCAGTGGCTGACACCTGTAATCCCCGCACTTTGGGAGGCTGGGGTGGGCGGATCACCTGAGGTCAGGAGTTCAAGATCAGCCTGGCCAACATGGTGAAACCCCGTCTCTACTAAAAATACAAAAATTAGCTGGGCTTGGTTGCACGCACCTGTAATCCCAGCTACTCGAGAGCTGAGACAGGAGAATTGCTTCAACCCGGGAGGCAGAGGTTGCAGTGACCTGAGATTGCGCCACTGCACTCCAGCCTGGCGACAGAGCAGGACTCTGTCAACAACAACAACAACAACAACAAACAAACAAACACAAAAAACTTTCAACCTTCAAAAGATTAATCATCTCGGGATAGTAAAGGGAAAAAGAAAATGTCGCTTCAAGCACTTTCCTTACCATTTTGTGTCCAATGCTTACTATTCTCCCACAGTTATGCTGGGTGCTCTTTGAGGCTCTGGAACTCAGGACAATCAACATTCTATGTTACTAAGGAAGGAAGAGGGGTTGTTGAAATGATTCTACCTTTCTTTTCAGGAAAGGGTTACCCAGTCTTTGTGATGGGAAATCTCTATTGGATGTTCTTGAGCCTTGCAAAGAGAAATTTCGTGAAAAAGCAGAAGCCTCTGCATTCTGAGAGAGCCCGCAGTGTTGGCAGCAGCCCCCTCCCCCAAATTCTGGCCATAAATTGCCCCCAAAACTGGCCATAAACAAAATCTCTGTAGCACTGTAACATGTTCATAATGGCCTTAACGCCCAAACTGGAAGGTTGTGGGTTTACGGGAATGAGGGCAAGGAACACCTGGCATTCGTAAGCCACAAACAATAGCATGAGTGATCTGTGCCTTAAGGACCTGCTCCTGCTGCAGATAACTAGCCCAACCTATTCCTTTAATTTGGTCCATCCCTTTGTTTCCCATAAGGGATACTTTTAGTTAATTTAATATCTATAGAAAGAATGCTAATGACTGTCTTGCTGTTAATAAATACGTGGGTAAATCTCTGTTCGGGGCTCTCAGCTCTGAAGCCTGTGAGACCTCTGATTTCCCACTTCACACCTCTATATTTATGTGTGTGTGTCTTTAATTCCTCTAGTGCCGCTGGGTTAGGGCCTCCCTGACCGAGCTGGTCTCAGCAAGTGGTGTCCATCCATTGGGGGCTCGAATCCAGGTTGAAGGGTTGCCAGAGCGACGGTTAGAAAGGAAAAGTAGCTGGAGGACACCCGAGTACTCTTAAAGCAATCCCCATGGTGAATAAGAAGGGGGGCTCGGAAGTGTCAGGGTAACAATGGGACAGGTATGGGGTCTGGTTCGTTCCACCTTGGAACTTTTTCACACTGAGGACGAGGAGGAACCAGAATATAGCGAAGTAACAGAAGAGGTTACAGAGCGTGTTTATTTACCAGCTAAAGCTAAAGCAGCAAAGGAAGGAAAGGTTCATCCCTACCCTTCTGCACCCCCTCCTCATTATTTTGAAGAAAAAGACCCTCCAGATCTTTCTTTTCCAGAGGACGCTGGGCAAAAAGTAGTTGCCCCAGTGACAGTTTGAGCAGTGCCTCGAGCGACCGCTCTTAGTTCTATTCAGGCAGGAATTCAGCAAGCCAGACAAGAGGGTGATTTAGAGGCTTGGCAGTTCCCTGTTAGAATACACCCCCCAGATCAACAGGGAAATATTATAGCTACTTTTGAGCCTTTTCCTTTTAAATTACTCAAAGAATTTAAACAAGCTATAAATCAGTATGGACCAGGTTCTCCTTTTGTAATGGGACTGTTAAAGAATGTTGCTGTTTCCAGTCGAATGATTCCTACTGACTGGGACGCTCTTACTCGAGCTTGTCTAACTCCTGCTCAGTTCTTACAGTTTAAAACTCGGTGGGCAGATGAAGCTTCCATTCAGGCTGCTCGCAATGCCCAGGCCCAACCTCAAATTAATATAACTGCACACCAACTTTTGGGGGTTGGCGGCTGGGCTGGTTTACATGCACAACTGGTCATGGGGGATGATGCCATAGAACAGCTTAGAGGAGTGTGCATTAGAGCTTGGGAAAAAATCACTTCAAGTGGAGAACAATACCCTTCCTTTAGTGCTATAAAACAGCGACCCAAAGAACCATACGTTGATTTTATAGCTCGGTTACAGAAGTCTCTTAAAAAGATGATTGCAGATTCGGCTGCTCAGGATATAGTGTTGCAGTTATTAGCTTTCGACAATGCTAATCCCGATTGCCAGGCTGCTCTGCGACCTATCAGGGGGAAAGTGCATTTAATTGATTATATCAATGCCTGTGATGGCATCGGAGGTAATCTGCATAAAGCTACTCTGCTAGCACAGGCAATGGCAGGACTGAGAGTAGATAAAGGAAATGCTCCATTTCCTGGAGCTTGTTTTAACTGTGGGAAGCATGGTCATACTAAAAAAGAATGTAGAAAAAATCAGTGAGTCAGGCCACCAGATAGGGGAAAAAAGAAAACTGTTGAGCCTGAAATATGTCCAAAATGTAAAAAAAGGAAAACATTGGGCTAATCAGTGTCACTCTAAGTTTGATAAAGAAGGGAACCCTATTTCGGGAAACGCCATGAGGGGCCCGTCCCGGGCCCCGTTCTAAACCGGGCATTTCCAGCTCAGGCCATTCCCTCACCCCCGTACAATGTCTGTCCCCCGCCACAGCCAGTAGTGCTTCAGTAGATTTATGCTGCACAAAAGCTGTGAGCCTTCTGCCTGGGGAACCCCCGCAAAAGGTCCCAACAGGAGTCTGCGAACCCTTGCCAGTGGGGACGATAGAATTACTTTTAGGAAGGTCTAGTATAGGTTTAAAAGGGGTACAAATACATACAGGAGTCATTGATTCAGATTCCAATGGGGAAATTCAAATTGTTGTATCTACTTCTGTTCCCTGGAAAGCAGAGCCAGGAGGGCGTATAGCACAGCTCCTGATTGTGCCGTATGTGGGAATGAGAAAAAGTGAAATTAAACGAACAGGAGGATTTGGAAGCACAAATAAACAAGGCAAAGCAGCTTATTGGGTAAATCAAATTACTGATAAACGTGCTACCTGTGAAATAACTATTCAGGGAAAGAAATTTAAAGGTTTGGTAGATACAGGAGCAGACATTTCAATCATTTCTCTACAGCACTGGCCATCTGCGTGGCCAATTCAACCCGCTCAATTTAATGTGGCTGGAGTTGGTAAAGCCGCTGAAGTATATCAAAGTAGTTATATCTTGCATTGTGAAGGGCCTGATGGACAACCTGGGACTATTCAACCAATTATAACTTCTGTACCTAAAAATTTATGGGGAAGAGATTTATTACAACAATGGGGAGCACAAGTTCTAATTCCAGAACAATTATATAGCCCTCATAATCAACATACGATGCATGAAATGGGGTATGTCCCTGGTATAGGACTAGAAAAAAATTTGCAAGTTTTCAAAAAACCACTTTAAACAGAAAGACAAAGTTCCCACCAAAGATTAGAAAATAATTTTTGATGGCGGCCATTGTTAAGCCTCCAGAACCTATACCTTGAAAATTGTTAACAGATAAGCCAATTTGGATAGAATAATGGCCACTAAGGAAAGATAAACTGGAGGCTTTAGAGAAATTAGTTACTGAACAATAAGAAAATGGGCACATAGCTCCAACATTTTCCCCTTGGAATTCTCCAGTTTCAATAATTAAGAAAAAATCAGGTAAACGGAGAATGTTAATTGACTTAAGAGCCATCAATTCAGTTATCCAACCTATGGGAGCATTAGAGCCAGGATTGCCTTCTCCTGCTATAATTCCAAAAAATTGGACTTCAATAGTCATAGATTTAAAAGACTGTTTCTTTACTATCCTCTTAGCTGAGCAAGACTGTGAACTGTTTGCATTTACAATTCCTGCAGTAAACAATCTGCAGCCTGCTAAGCGTTATCACTGGAAAGTGTTGTCATAGGGCATGTTAAACAATCCCACAATTTGCCAGATGTATGTGGGGCAAGCAATTGAACCTACTCGTAAAAAGTTTTCACAGTGTTACATTTTTCACTATATGGATGATATAGTTTGTGCTGCTCCCACTTGAGAAATATTACTCCAATGTTATGATCACTTGCAAAATTCGATTTCTCATGCTGGTTTAATTATAGCTTCTGACAAAATTCAGACTACTACTCCTTAATCCTATTTGGGGACCTTAGTAAATGACACTACCATTGTGCCACAGAAAGTAACCATACATAGGGATCAATAAAAACATTAAATGACTTTCAGAAATTACTAGGGAACATTAATTGGATACGACCTGCTCTAGGCATTCCTACCTATGCCATGAGTAATCTGTTTTCTATCCTTAGAGGAAATCCTAGTCTTACTAGCCCTCGGCAATTAACAAAGGAGACTGAGGTCGAGTTACAACTGATTGAAAAGAAAGTCCATGAGGCTCAAATAAATAGAATAGATCCAGAGAAGACTCTAGATTTGCTAATTTTTTCAAATCAGCATTCACCTACTGGTGTTATTGTCCAAGAACGGGGCTTAGCAGAGTGACTTTCTCTTCCACATGCTAATTCATGGACTCTAACTCCTTATTTAGATAAAATTGCTACTATGATAGGAATTGGGAGAACTGAGATTGTTAAATTACGTGGATATGATCCTGGAAAAATTATTGTCCCTCTCACGAAGGCACAAATACAGCAAGCTTTTATAAAATTTATAAATAGTCTTACTTGGTAAGCCCATTTAGCTGACTTTGTGGGTGTTCTCGATAATCATTTTCCTAAAACGAAGCTGTTTCAGTTTTTGAAATTAACTAATTGGATTCTCCCTAAAATAATTAAATTTAAGCCAATTGAAGGTGCTGAGAATGTTTTTACAGATGGGTCTAGTAATGGTAAAACTTCTTATTTTGGATCAAAAAATAAAGTTTTCTAGACGTCCTATACTTCAGGTCAAAAAGCAGAGCTTGTAGCTGTAATTGAGGTATTGACTGCTTTTGATATGCCTATTAATGTGATTTCTGATTCTTCATACGTGGTTCATTCCACGCAGTTAATTGAAAATGCTCAGTTACGATTTCATACAGATGAACAACTGATGACTTTATTTATCCAATTGCAAACAGCAGTTAGAAGTAGAATGCACCCTTTTTACATCACTCACATTAGGGCTCATGCACCTCTTCCAGGACCTTTGACTAAAGGGAATCAAATGGCTGATCGCCTAGGCGCTAATGCAATATCTAATTTTCACACTTCCACAATTTAACCCATGTTAAAGCCTCTGGTCTCAAACGCAGATACAGCATTACCTGGAAAGAAGCTAAAGCTATTGTCCAGTGATGCCCAACTTGCCAAATGGTACATTCTTCATCTTTTACAGGAGGAGTTAACCCTCGAGGACTGGAACCTAACTCTCTTTGGCAAATGGATGTCACACATGTTCCCTCGTTTGGGAGACTAGCTTATGTACATGTATGTGTGGACACCTTTTCTCACTTTGTCTGGGCTACATGCCAATCAGGAGAGTCTTCCGCCTGTGTTAAACGTCACCTTTTGCAGTGTTTTGTGGTGATGGGCATTCCAGCTTCTATTAAAACAGATAATGCCCCAGGCTATGCTAGCCAAGCTCTAGGTACATTTTTCTCTATGTGGAATATTAAACACATTACTCTTATCCCATGTAATTCTCAAGGACAAGCCATAGTGGAAAGAATGAATCTTTCCCTAAAACAGCAGTTGCAAAAGCAGAAGGGGGGAGACAGAGAATATGGAACACCGCAGATGCAACTGAACCTAGCATTATTAACTTTAATTTTTTGAGCCTGCCCAAAGGACAGATGTTCTCAGCAGCTGAACAGCATCTACAGAAACCAGCTGCAAAGACAGAAGCAGAACAATTGATTTGGTGGAGAGAGCCAATAACAAAAAGTTGGGAAATAGGTAAAATGATAACTTGGGGTAGAGGTTATGCTTGTATTACTCCAGGCCAAAATCAACAGCTGATTTGGATACCATCAAGACACCTGGAACCTTGTCATGAGCCAGATGCCAAGGAAGAGACTCCAGGAGGATCCCGAGGACCCCCTGGTTGCAGCCATGTCAAGACCGATGCTGAGGAGGACCCCACCTGTCACGAGCAACACCCGTTGAACACAGCCACCCACCTGGGGACAGATCAAGAAGCTGTCATAGATGGCGGAAGAAAACCTGAGGAAAGCGGGACAACCAGTCACAATGAGTAATGTAATGGTAGCCATGATAGCGGTTATCACCACTGCCGTGAGTATTCCTTCAATAAGGGCTGACACAGCAAACAATTATACTTATTGGGTATATGTATCAATCTTGGCTGGCAATAATGCCTGGATGCAATCACTCTGACACAGTTACACATGCTTTCCGATCTCAGTATTTACCATAATAAATCTGATCCTGTAACTGAGGCATACCGCCCTCGAAAACCTATTTGTAAACAGGATTGGACCCAGTTAGAAAAAATGAACGTACTTGTTTAGGAAGATTGCATTGCAGAACAGGCAGAGGTGCTGCACAAGATTCCTATGGAATCATTATTAATTGGTCCCCTAAGGGGATGTTTAGCTTGAATTGCACCTCTCAGTCTGCGTGCCACGGCCACACTATGTTCAGATCATCTGAACAAAACGGTCAGGTGGTAGAAATGATAAGAAGTACAGCAAAAGTTCCTATTATCTGGAAGCATGGTGGTATAGTGGCACCTCAACCTCAAATGATATGGGCCGCTCTAGGAGCTTAACATAAGGATTTAAAATGAAAAGAACAAATATTTAAAGCATCCCAGGCACACCTGACCTTAATTCCAGGACCTGGAGTGCTTAAAGGAGCTGAAAATGGATAAAAACACTGGGACGCTCTGTGATTTCAATGATGATTGTGCTTTTAATCTGTGTTGTTTGTCTTTGTATAGTCTGCAGATGTGGATCCTGACTCCTGCAAGAAGTAGCTCACCATGACAAAGCTGCCTTTGCTTTTGTTGATTTGCAAATCAGAGAAGCGGGACATGTTGGGAGCAGGGCCCCCCAAAATCTGGCCATAAACTGGCCCCAAAACTGGCCATAAACAAAATCTCTGCAGCACTGAAACATGTCCATAATGGCCCCTAATGCCCAAGCTGGAAGGTTGTGGGTTTACAGGAATGAGGGCAAGGAACACCTGGCCCGCCCAGGGTGGAAAATCACTTAAAGGCATTCTTAAGCCACAAACAATAGCATGAGCGATCTGTGCCTAACTTAAGGACATGCTCCTGCTGCAGTTAACTAGCCCAACCTATTCTTTTAATTCAGCCCATCCCTTCATTTCCCATAAGGGATACTTTTAGTTAATTGAATATCTATAGAAACAATGCTAATGACTGTCTTGCTGTTGATAAATACGTGGGTAAATCTCTGTTCAGGTCTCTCAGCTCTGAAGGCTGTGAGACCTCTGATTTCCCACTTCACACCTCTATATTTCTGTGTGTGTGTCTTTAATTCCTCTAGTGCTGCTGGTTTATGGTCTCCCAGACCGAGCTGGTCTCGGCATGCAGCAAACAGAGAGCCCAGAAATGGTCAAAGTGCCATAAATGCAGCATGTGCTGTCAGAACAGCAATCCTAGTCTTTCCTTATTTTGGAAGTTATAAAATATTTCAAATGCATAGGAAAATATATGGAAAGATACAGCAGGTGCTCATTCACTTCTGCCTAGATTCCATGATGATAACATTTTGCCAAATTTGCTTTAGCTCTTTTCTTTCTTTTTTTTTAAAATGGAGTCTCGCTCTGTCCCCAGGCTGGAGTACAGTGGCATGATCTCAGCTCACTGCAACCTCCACCTCCCAGGTTCAAGCGAATCTCCTGCCTCAGCCTCCCGAGTAGCTGGGGCTACAGGCATGCACCAAAACAGCTGGATGATTTTTGTATTTTTAGCAGAGACGGGGTTTCACCATGTTGGCCAGGATGGTCTTGAACTCCTGATCTCAAGTGATCCGCCCACCTCAGCCTCTCAAAGTGCTGGAATTACAGGCACGAGCCACTGCGCCTGGCCTAGCTCTTTTTTTCCTAAGAAATCAAACTTTACAGATGCTACTGAAGCCCTTTGCATCCTGCCTGGTCACACACCCAAGGTCACTCCCAAGATCACTATAGTTCTTAAGAAACCTTTATTTCCATTCTCCTTGTCTCCATAGTTGGCCTACTAGGATGAAAATACAATCCATTTTATACATTCATGCACACGTGTACACACACAGAGGGCAGAGTGAAAATGGTACATGAAAAGGTTCACGGTTGATTTTGACAAAATTTGAGGACTTTTTTCTTTGCACTTGTACGTATTTTCTACATATTCTCACTGGTCATATATTTAAGTAATGATGAGTAATGATAAAGTAACAAATAACTAAAGATTAGTGACAAAAATGTGGTTAAATAAAAACATCTTTTACTATTTGCAAAAGGTAAGTGTTATGTGGCATGCGTGAAAAAGTATGCTAAGGTTCTTCAAATTCCCATCATAGTAGATCCTAGATGGATCATGCTGCACCAATCAGTGAGGTCCTACTCTTAACCTCCTGGTAGCTTCCTCAGCCAGAAGGCAAAAATCAGAAAGAAAACAATCAGGCATAGATAAACTAACAATTGGATATCGAATGAACTTTTAGAAGATGATTACCATCGACTTTGACATTCTATAAAGCTATTATTATATCAGCAAACACCAGGAGTAGCAAAATATGCATCTAATAATAAACAGCAGCATCCAGCCCCACGCATCCCTTAGTCCTGGTTCATTGGTGTGGTGCCAGCGTGGGCAACCACACACGGCAATTCTGCAGTCCGGCCTCTGTCACGGTTCTTCAGTCCTGTTCCCACTTTTCTCTGGTTCTTCAGAAATGGCCCCCTGTGCTCTGGCCTCTTACATTGGAATAGACCTGAGGCCTGGGACTGAGCTCGGGGAAAACAGGCTGAACCATTCTCCTGACCCGCTTTGGTTCCGCTGTTCGCACTGCCCGAACTTGGTGAAAGGAGATTCCATCAGCCCCGTGTGGCTTGCACAAGCCCTGCTTTGTAGTTAGGGCTGAACCTTCCTCTTGCTGGAAGTGTTTACTTGCTGTGTTTCATCATCTTGTCCACCTGTCCTTCAGAATCTCTTGAAAACGGGTGGTCTAAAGGGTTAGGGTATTCCCATTTGTCATATCATTTCTTAGCATACCCAACATCTCAACATTTGTCATCATCAGTGAACACCCAGTTAGACATAACTTACTTCAAGACCTTTTAACTCAACAGAATAAATATTTCATCCACTCTTATAGTGAATGATAAAATGCCTTGGGGGCCAGAGTGAAAGGCAATGTCCCGACCTATCCCTCCCAAAGGGAGGGGGTGAGTGGGGAAAGACCCCTGTGCTCTTCCAGAGGCCACAACAACTTTGAACTTATGAGTCCTTTTCTGAACCTCAGTTCCATAATGACAAGGGAATTTGGCAAGCACATCCTTGGATCCGAATCCTGACCACTGGAGAATCATTCTGCATAGCCCTCTTACCTGTGTATGGCGAGAGCCAACAGTGCGGGAATGAATAGCTGGGATTACCATTGTGTCTGTTATTCTACTGGTGGTTGGTATGGTCAATAATAAGGACTTCTAGCACATGAGAAGAGCCTAACAGAGGCCATCTTTGTCAGATACTGTATATGTTACTGAGCTATATGCCAGGAGGAGATAGCCATCAACCCAGAAAGTGTGGGACTTACTAGACTTGTAAATTTTAGGGCTACTCTTCCTTCCTGTGAATTTACTACTTGTTTTATTAAGTCTTTGTTTATGTTGCTGTCAAGTGAGTTTCTATCACCAAGGGACATTTCAAATTCCATCAGCTCTCCCCTCACTACCATATTCTTTGAAGGGCTTAGCTATATACTGGTATGACCTATCTAGTTCTAAAATTAGGGAGCAATCTAGGCCCCTTAAGCATGTAGATCCTTTATGTTTCATGTAGTTTAATAGAACTACTGGGGGTGGATGCTTGTGTTGCCAGAGTACTTTTTCTTTCTTTCTTTCTTTCTTTTTTTGAGACAAGATCTCACTCTGTCGCCCAGGCTGGAGCACAGTGGTGCCATCATGGCTCACTGCAGCTCAACGTCCTGGGCGCAAGTGACCCTCCTGCCTCAGCCTTCCAAATAGCTGGGACTACAGGCACAAGCCACCACACCCAGCTAAGTTTTGTGTTTTTGTAGAGATGGGGTTTCTCCATGTTGCCCAGGCTGGTCTTGAACTCCTGGGCTCAAGTGATCTGCCCACCTCTGCCTCCCAAAGTGCTGGGATTACAGGCTTGAGCCACTGCACCTGGCCAGAGTTCTAATTGTTAGCTCTTGGGAGAAAACTAAGAATCATCTAACTGAAACCCCTCATTTTATTGAAGAGGAAATCAAGTCCCAGCAAACTGGCATGACTTAGCTTTACTTAACTCATTGTGACACTTAGTTGGATCAACATTACAGAAAAAGGAACACATAATATCTAATTTTTGCCCAGTATATTGATATGAAATACATCCTACAGCTATGTTGACTTCTTGGGTTGTTCTAAATTCTTCAAGATCACTGTAATTTGGAGTTTCTGGTAATTTTAATATTTTATGTAATTCACATAAAAATTGGAACCTAATACTCAGATTCCTCTTATTAAAACTGAATTAAATCAGTATTTAGAAAATAAGTAAAGCTTCCTTTATTCTTTTTTTCTTCAAAAGTTACTTAAGATAAATAAAAATTTGGTTTCCAAACACTATCAGGCAGTAGAAAAAAGAATTTGAAGATCTAGATGAAAGGAACTTCAGATGCCTCCTCCAGGAATATATGTACTTCCTTTTAAAGAGGTAAGAAAGCTTACATCGTTTAAAGAGTTTTTTTTAAGGTAATATGTTGTACTGTCCTTCTTTACTACAGTTTTTCTTTGAAAATATATGCTTTTCTAACGAATAAATTATAATATAGTTTGGGAGAACAAATAGATAATTTTTAAGGAAAATTAAATATCATAATTTATAATTATGCATAATTTATGCATGTATTCATTTGATGGAGTTTATTGAAAACACTTTATTATTTTTCAATTTGCTTTTCTATAAAGTCCTTGAAAAAGTGTTCAGACATAGAAAAGTCAATGGCATAAAACAGAGCTAGTAGCTTATTTCTACATAGTCACATATTTATCCTAGTTCCTTTCACGATTCCACGTCTCATTGTTCCATTACAAGTAGGACTCACAATATTTTAAAGGTCATCCTCATGTCATCCTGAAGTGACATGAGGAGAGAGCTGTATTCTTTGGGAAACACTGATCACAAACCAAGAAAAGGCCCTGAACTTCAGGGAATTTGTAAGACATTGCGGCCACTCACCAAAATCTGTTTTCCCAATGCCAAAAATGAGCCCCTCTAGGAGAGGTGACAGCTGTTTCAAGATGCGTTCTCAGACGCTCATCTGTGATTCAGACATACTTGTAGATAGAGGAGGAGCAAAGGTAAGACCTCACATCCCACCCTAGCCCTGGCAAGCCCATCAGCAGCCCGAGTCCCTGTGTGTGGTTATCCACGGCTTCACAGCTTAGCTTTCTGTTAGGCCTCAGAATGAGAGCTGTTGATGACTCATTAATGCTAACCATTGATTCCTGTGTCCCGGGTTAAGACTCAAAGGACAACATGGCAAGCAAGACCAGTGTCCCTTGTGATTTCTCCCCAGTAGGAAATACTCTTCTGTTCCTCTGTGGCCACTCTGTCCTCACAGGGAGTGACTTCTTACCCTGTCCCGAAAACTCACAATATAGACCCTGGACCCCTCATTCTTTCTCCTCAGTGACAAAGGTCTATAGTTCATGTATTTTAAAAACTACTCTGTGGTTTATAACCTAATTTTTAAAGTACTATTTAAGTTGTTCTCCAAAAGAATTTCACTGAATATTTAAAAACACGTTTGGAAAACTTAAGCACTATAGTTTTAAGCCAGCTGTCTAGGAATTTAGTTTGGACACATGAGAAAGATGGTCAAGAATCAAGAGCAGCGATGGGGTCTTGGGTACCCACGGCTACGCTGGACTGTTAAGGTAGTAAGGATAGTCTGAGAGGTGGCTTCAGAGGTCTGGATTAAGTGTTAGTTTGTCAGTCCTTTATTATAAAATGGATTGTGTCCATTTTCACCTCTCATTAGAAGGCGCGTGCATGTGTGTTTGTGTGTGTGTGCACGCGCTCACTCGCACTTCCTTTTCCCTTTGAATTTCTCCTTGGTGCTGTTAAGTGTATACTTAATGCAATGTTTTTGGAGGTGGTGGGGTGGCGAGTAATAGCTGCCTTAAAAACCTCATGAGCTCCCCCTGCTGTTTTGCAGCTGACAATACAAGTCCCTTCTATTTTAATTCCCAGAAGCACAGAAGAGTGAAAGAGAATCCCTCGTGGGTTTGTTTGATCTACGAGGCAGATGAATACTTGTCAGCTTTCTCCTGAAGGTTTACGAAATCATAGAGGAAAGGGAGAGTTAGCATTTGATCTGGGCTATCACTTAACTTAGGGCACCGGAGCTGTCCCCCTCGTTTGATCTAAGTAGCGGGTCTATACCACTTTTGAATACCTGCCAAAGAAGAATGAAGAAACATATTATGAAGTTACATCAGATCTGAAATGAAATGACTGAAACCTGGAAGATGTGTTTCTAGTCATTTCATTTTTTAGTCTGTAAACATTTGGAAAAAAATAATATATTTTTAAAATATGCCATTGATACAGTTGCTGTTGTGTTTAAATTTTTTCTCCAACACTTCTTGAAACTTTATATATGGCTTGATTTAAATTAACTTAATTTAAATTAATTTAGTGTGAATTTTCAGTGAGAATTAAATATCACACAGAAATCACCTTTGTCAATCAAAATTTTTTCATATAAGTGTATAAGTTATCAAGTATCATTTAACATCACAATTTAAAAGTATCAGAAGATATGCATTTATCAGATTACGAATATATATGATGAAACACGTACTAGTCACCAGGCACGGGCTAGGTCCTGGGGTTATGATGGTGACCAAAACAGAGGTTTCAGTCTTTGTGTATCTTATAGTCTATGAAGGCAGGCATTTATGTAATAAAACATTCAAATAAATATATAACTTAACATTATGAGTTACTTTTGAATATGACACCAAAAGAACAAGCAATAGAAGAAAAAATAGATAAATTGGATTTCAAAATTAAAAACTTTTATGCATCAAAGTACACTCTCAACAGAGTGAAAAGCCAACCCATGGAATAGAAGACAACACTTGCAAATCATATATCTGATAAGGAGCTAATGTTCAGAATATATGAAGAACTCTTACAACCCAACAACAAAAAAGCATAGGCAAAGAACTTGAATCTCTGCTTTTAATTATTTTGTGTATATACCCAGAAGTGGAATTGCTGGATCATACAATAATTCAATGTCAATTGAATAGACATTTCTCCAAAAATATTCCAATGGCCTGTAAGCACATGAAAAGATGTTTAACATTAATGGAATGTTTGATTTGCCTCAGAGAACTACAAGTCAAAACTACAATGAGACTCTACTTCACACCCATTAGAATAGCTGTTATTTAAAAAAAAAAAAAGCAGAAAATAACAAGTGTTGGTGAGGATATGGAGAAACTGGAACCCTCTGCATTGATGGTGGGAATATAAAATGGCACAGCCATTGCGGAAAACAGTATGGGGGTTCCTCAAAAAATTAAACATGGAATTATTGTATGACCCAGCAATTCCACTTCTGGGTATATACACAAAAGAATTAAAAGCAGAGATTAAAACAGATATTTGTATATCCATGTTTATAACAACATTATTCACAATAGCAAAAAGATGGAAACCTCCTAAGTGTCCATTAATGGATAAATGGATAAATAAAATGTGGTATATAAATACAATGGAATATTATTCAGCCTTGAAAAGGAAGGAAATTGTGATACTACAACCTGGATGATCTTAAAGAAATTATGCTAAATGAAATAAGCCAGTTACAAATGAGCACCTTTTTTTGTTTTGTTTTGTTTTTGAGACAGAGTCTCACTCTGTTGCCTAGGCTGGAGTACAGTGGCATGATCTTGGCTCACTGCAACCTCCACCTCCAAAGCTCAAGCAATCTTCCCACTTCAACCTCCTGAGTAGCTAGGACTACAGGTGCACACCATCATGTTCAGGTAATTGTATTTTTTGTAGAGCTGGGGTTTCGCCATGTTGGCCAGGCTGGTCTCGAGCTCCTGACCTCAAGTGATCCACCTGTCTTGGCATCACAAAGTGCTGGGATTACAGGCATGAGCCACTGCACCCAGTTCAAATGAACAGCTACCATATGCTTCCTCTTACATGAGGTTCCTAGAGTAGTTTCATCCATGGAGACAGGAAGAGAATGGTGGTTACCAGGGGGTTGGGCTAAGCAGGAATAGGGAGTTAGTGTTTAATGGGTACAATTTCAGTTAGAGAAGATGAAAAAGTTCTGGAGATGAATGGAGGTGATGGTTGTGTTACCAAACGCCAGGGGTTTGATCTAGGTCCTGCTGCTCGCCGCACAGAAAGCCAACCACTGTGACAGCGAGTATTGCCAGGAGGAAGCTTTAACTAGGTGCTACAGCTGAGGAGATGGGATCTCAGTCTCAAATCCATCTCCCTGATCAGCTAAAACTAGGGCTTTATACAGCAGGGAAGAAATGTAACCATGTATGGGAAAACAGGAACTTGGAAGGGGTGAGGAACCCATCATGGTGAATGAGGGGCCTGGATCTCATTGTCCGGATGTAGTGATCTGGTGAGTTTCAGTTCTTTGATACTTTTTGAGAGGCCTGGGAGTCCTTTCCTGAGGAAAAAACTCAGATAAAACAAATGTAAGTTTTAAGCTTTAAGACCACAAGGGTCTATTTCTATGTTTATCAAAAACAACCGACCAACAAACCAAACAAACAAACAAAAAAACTGTTTATGGGACTATTGGGTCTGTTTCAGTTGCACAGCAATGTAACGCCACAGAACAGTTCACTTGAAAGTGATTAAAATGACAGATTTTATATTATGCATGTTTTGATACAGTTTAAACTAATTATGGTAAGTAATTTGAAGGAGAAAAAAGCAACAGGTTTCTACCGCCAGATATAGATGGGTGGGTAAGGGGAGGTGGTCCAGGAAAGCCTTGCTGACACCTGCTGGTGAGCGTGGTGAGGGGAGTGGGACGGGAGTTGTAAGGCCTGTGCTGATAAGGCCTGGAGTGCTCTGAGGCACCAGGGGAGACCAAGGTAGCAGGTGCAGAGGCAGCAATGTGGGAAGCAGAAAGCCACGAGGGTAGGGAGGAGGGCAAGAGTGGAGCACAGTCCTGTCGCTGTGGGGAGGAGCTTGGGTTTAACCTGCAGCAATGAGAGGTTAAACACTGTCTAAACTCCACCTAAATAGGCCGCTCAGACTGCTATGTGGGAAACAGATTCTGAGAAGCCAAAAAAGTAGCCTGGGAGTCCGGTTAGGTGGCTGTGGCAAAGGTGAGATATAGTGGCTTGAACTATGAGAGTATCACAGGATATGGAGACAAGTGGAAAGATTGAAGGTTTTGGTGATGGACTGCAAGGGGGAGAAGGAGAGGGAGGTGCCCAGGCCGATGGAGTGTCAGTGCTATGGTAGGCAGAACTGAGTGCCTGGCTCAGTCTGGTCTGAAAATTAGGATCTGTTATTTCACTTCCAGAAAAATGTATTGACAAGGCACTTTTAATTCTTCCAAAAATAATGCTCCATAAATCTAAATTATTAGGATGGCAGTTCAAAGCTATCCACTACCCGGATCAAACTTCGTTTCTGATCAGCTGTATCATAGGATACGACAATGACAGTAATAGGTAATAATTGTGATATTTTAAATGTCTCTGGGCCAAAAGTGCATTCAGAAGTTAAAAGGTGATCTCAAGCTGCATGTCAGAATTGTAAATGAGGTCATTGGAGCAGTTTTAAACTTTCAAGTCAATTTTTTTCCTTCAATGTGACTGAAAGTAATATTTGGGAAACGAATGGGGAAGAGGTTGAGGTATTTGAGTGAAAAAGAGAATCGCTGTCTATTCACTTTGTAGGTGAAGTGTCAGAGTGAATAGACTGGACTGGAAACTCCCACCTCAATAAGCCAGAGAGCTCTGCCTAAGGAAGTGAGACGAGGTAGTCACTCTTGTCCAAGTCAGAGGAACCGATTAGCGTTGCGAGCTGTTAGAACCAATAAGGGTGTGAGGGGGCCTGGAGAGCATGTCTGTGACTGGTGGCCCAGGACAGGATGCAACGGGAACGCGGGAGGCAGGCAGACAGGTGAGGCTGGGAACAACTCTGAAGGGGCCAAAGTGAAAGGAAGACTTATTAATACTTCATTCCAGTTGTTCAGAAACAAAGCACTTAGTTTAGCCGAATGGATGGAACCTGAGTCTGCTCCAGCCTCTGGATCCAGCTGCAGGAATAGAGAAGACGGAGGAACATACAGAGCTCACTACAGCTCCACCAGCAGCAATATCCTCCCTCTGTGACTGTCCAGGCCAAGTAGCCAATATATTGATCCAACAGATGGATTGTAAGGAAATGACGAAGATGGAAGGGAAATGTGTGGATTAGAAGAGATCTGAAAAACATGCCAAATGCTTTCAAATGAGCGAGACAAAAACTGGACTCTCCAGGGATGCATTTGGGTGTTAAAACTATGTTTTAAAAACATCCATGGAAATGATTACTATAAAAATCAGGATAATCGTTAGCTAGCTGGGGAGAAAGAGGTTGTGGTTGGGATGAGGTCACAGGGAAGGGGCAAAGTTCTATCTTGACCTGGGTGGTGGTTACAAGGCTGTTCACCTTAAGATAAATCAGTAAGCCACTATTTGCTTTGTGTGGTTTCCTGTATCTTTGTTTTATTTTATAATAAAAAGATGTTTTAAAGTGTTTAGTTCTTATGAGCATTACATTCTCTTTATTCTGTTCTCTAACACTCAAAATCCTATCCCCATAACTTAGCAGTGCAATTTGGCCGTGTTTACATCAGGCCTATTTTGTTTTATTAATTTATTTATTCATTTAAAAATAGAGACAGGATCTTGCTATGTTGCCCAAGCTGGTCTTGAACTCCTGTCTTCAAGTGATCCTCCCACGTCAGCCTCCCAAAGTGTTGGGATTACAGACATGATCCACCATGCCCGGCCTATTCTTTTGTTTTTGTTTTGTTTTTTGAGACAGAGTCCCTCTGTCGCCCAGGCTGGAGTGCAGTGGCACAATCTTGGCTCACTGCAACTTCCACCTCCTGGGTTCAAGTGATTCTCCTGCCTTAGCCTCCTGAGTAGCTAGGATTCCAGATGGCCACCACCACACCTGGCTAATTTTTGTACTTTTAGTAGAGATGGAATTTCACCATGTTGGCCAGGCTGGTCTCGAACTCCTGACCTCAAGAGATCTGCCCACCTCGGCCTCCCAAAGTTCTGGGATTATAGGCGTGAGCTACCGCGCCCAGCCCCTATTCTTATAGATGTATAATTTTTATTATTGAAGTCATTGTTATCATTTCCATGTCAAGCACACTCTTCCTCAGGATCAATTTCAGTGGCTACCAGAAACCCCTCACCTGTGGTTGGATCTTTGAGTTGCTGCCACTACTATGGAAAATACTTGTCATTTATTTTGAAGTTTGGAAATTGGCGTTTGTGTAATAAAGATGCTATTGCTTTAATTATACACACACACACACACACACACACACACACACACACATATATATTTCTTTTTTGAGGATAGAGTCTTGCTATGTTGCCCAGGCTGGTCTCAAACTCCTGGACTCAAGCAATCCTCCCACCTTGGCCTCCCAAAGTGCTGGGATTACAGGCGTGAACCACTGTGCCTGGCCTTAAATGTACATTTTATCAGAAATAGTAAGAGACTCCATTTTGTGTTGCATTCTTGCTCTACTCAATTTAACAACAAAAAAAAGAGCCTCATCTTAGAGCTTAAGCTACCATAAGGAATTGCTCCATTTGTCTTTTATAGACAGTTCTTGAGCCCATATTCTGTGCCAGACTCTGTGCTAAGTTCTGGGGTTGAAAACATGAGTATGATCTAGTGCCCTATTAAAAAGCTCGGAGATGAGTCAACCGTCAAAAATAGTGCAGAATTACGAAACCGAAATAAGTGCATACTGGGCTTCAACTCTTTCTAGAGGAATCCCACGTAAATGCTACAAATACTGGTCCCTATCTCGAGTCTTGCTCCTCTCTAGTTCTTTCTCTACATGGAAACCAGAGATTGAAAGGCATATCTAATCCAGTCTTCCAACAACTCACAGGCCATACTAGACAACCACCAGCTCCTCAAAAGGGCTTCTTGCATGCCTTGGAGCCCTCACAAAGAGGTTCTGTCTCCCTGAAACCTCTTTCTTCCTTTTCTTTCCCATCTCACCTGGTTAATTCCTACATTTTCTTCTGGTATCAGCTGAAATGCAACTTTCTCTGCCTCACCTCAACCAGTTGAGAGCCTCTGAGCTGGATCCCCTCTGCCCATGCCCCAGAGTTCCTCTTCTGGACTTGTCACACTTTAATAATTACTTACTGTATTTAATGCCTTCCTGAATAGCCTCTAACTGCTATCAGCACATTGCTTGCCTTGCTTCCAGTCCTCTCAGTCCTGGCACGCGCAGGCACTTAACAGGCATTTGTTAAATGAATGGCAGGGGTCGTGCACAGATTATGAAGAGAAACAGATAGCAGTGTCTCATGGGGATCGGGAGGAGAGCAGGTGGCGCATCAGAGGAAGCTTCCCAAAAGAGATGGAGACTACGCCCTAAAGAGGAAGCTGGAGTTCGCCAGGTAAAGAAGGGAGGTGAGGCTGCTGGGGTGGTGGTGGGATGACTTGAGATGGAGGAGTCTCCGCAAAGGCCGGGGAGAGCTCGGCAAGTTCAGGCAACTGCAGGTATTCTAGTCGACAGAATTGTCAGGGAGTGGAATGGGCCAGTGACCCTTACCACGTAGAAAGACTTGGTTTACTGGAAGGATGCTGCACACAGAGCTGTGATCCAACACCTCACACCCCGGTACACGTGCAGCCCTGCTGGGGACAGACGCAGCATTGTGTCACTTCAGATCCCTTGTCTCTCTCAGGTGGGATGTTTATGGGGAAAAGCCTTCACCAACTTGATTCCTCTCATGCTGGATTGACCAGCAAGGACTATCTCAAGGTGATTTTGACTGGCTGTCAACATCTTGGACAAATCTGAGTGTGAAATGCCGGGAAAGCGGTAAGACGGAAGGTGAGTCAGATCCAGGGGAGAAGGAAAATTAGATATGTGTTTGTATTTATTCATAAAATGATATACTGTTTTCAAAAAACAAGAATTTAAAAATTACTCAGTTTATGTGCCTGTGTGGACTATCTTTTAAAGGATACACAAAAAACTGATACTAGTGACTGCTTCCTAGGATGGACACTGGATGGCTGGGGACAGACACCAGAGGAAGACTTATTTGTCACCACATACGCTTTTGTATGTTTAACATTTTGTCCCATATAAGTGTATTAGCTATTGAAGATGTATTTTTAAATTAGTGTGTGCATAAAAAAACTGTAAGGAAGCATGTCAAAAAAGCTAACAGTGCTTATATCTGGATG
Source organism: Homo sapiens (assembly GCF_000001405.40). Taxonomy (NCBI): domain Eukaryota; kingdom Metazoa; phylum Chordata; class Mammalia; order Primates; family Hominidae; genus Homo; species Homo sapiens. The sequence goes on along the minus strand of NC_000004.12, from coordinate 185,032,649 downwards.
GTGGGACAGGTGTTTTTGTGTCTGCTTTATCCTTTCTATGTTAGCATGCGTTGCTTTGGTAAACAGTTTAAAAGGGATGTTGGCTGGGTGTGGTAGCTCATGCCTGTAATCCCAGAACTTTGGGAGGCCAAGGCAGGAGGATTTCTTGAGCCCAAGAGTTTGAGACCAGCCTGGGGCACAGAGCAAGACTCCATCTCTACAAAACCAAAAAAATTAGCTGGGCATGGTGGCATGTTCCCAGAGTCCCAGCTATTCAGGAGACTGAGTTGGGAGGATCACTTAAGCCCGAGAGGTTGAGACTGCAGTGAGCTATGATTACATCACTGTGCTCCCCAATCTCTAAAAAAAACAACAAAAGAAATTTGTTAATGGAAAGGGATGTGATTTTTTTTAAGCTGAATTTTAAAGACTACATTGGGACACTCAACTGCTCAGTTTTGAAGTCAAGGAGGACTACAACTTTACACCAGGAGAGAAGAGCATTTCTAAACTTAGCCTTAGACCTTGCTATTCTAAGAGAGTATAAAAATGTTGTTGATTTCGCAGCTGCTGCATAGAAGAAAGCGCACTAGACTGGGAAGCAAACATATTGTAGTTGCAATCCTGGTGCTGCCATGGAATAGTTATGTGACTTTGGAGAAGCTGTGTTGGCCCTCAGCTGCAGGCTGTGTGTAATGATGCCTACTGCAGAGGTTACTGTGGGGATGGAATGGAGTGACTACGTGTGAAAGTACCTACCACCGTGACAGGCACTGGGAGGCGTCAAAGAGGCTCTTTTGGGTGAGGTGGCCCCCTCTTGATTTCCACCAGCTCCACGAAGCCCACTCCAAACAGTGTGTTTGTTGTGTGAATGCAGCTTTAAGACAAATCCTCTGCCCTTTTCCACCCCAGTGGCTGCTCTGCACTCTTAATACCGGGATCTTCTGGAGCCATCTTTGTACCTGATCCTTAGCAAGTTCTAACAAAGATCTCTGGGCCAGGCGTGGTGGCTCATGCCTGTAATACCAGCACTAAAAAAGATCTCTGTCTTCCTTCCTTTTAAAAACTTTTTAGAGATGGGGTCTCTGAACATTGCCCAAGCTGGTCTAGAACTCCTGGGCTTGCGTGATCCTCCCCCCTTGTTCTCCCAAGCAGCTGGGATTACAGGCGCACACTGCCATGCAGGTTCCTTTCTTCCATTCTTAATATTTTCCCTGATGCAAAGAGGGAAATGCTTTAAAGTCACTGACCCAGGAAAACAAAAGAAAAAAGAGGGAAATGCTAAAACTAAGACTGCTTCAAGGAAAAAAAAAAGACAGTGAATTGACAACATAAACAATTTTTTCAAAAATTCAATATTGTAAGTAGAAGTAGGTAACCAGTTTCAAAGGATACAGTTTTCATCCATATCAAAATCTCACACAGATTTCAGTTCTTTTTTTTTTTTTTTCCCCGAGATGGAGAGTTTCACTCTGTCACCCAGGCTGGAGTGCAGTGGCACAATTTTGGGTCAATCTTGAGTCACTGCAACCTCCACCTCCTGGGTTCAAGCGATTCCCCTGCCTCAGCCTCCTGAGTAGCTGGGATTACAGGCACACGCCACCATGCATGGCTAATTTTTGTATTTTTAGTAGAGACAGGGTTTCGTTGTGTTGGCCAGGCTGGTCTCGAACTCCTGACCTCAGTTGATCTGCCGACCTCGGCCTCCCAAATTGCTGGGATTACAGGCGTGAGCCATGGTACTCGGCCAGATTTCAGTTCTAATAGCTAACAGCTATGGGGTTGAAACTATTATCCAGCCGCTGCTCTGTTGACTTCTTGAATCCTCCCACCCACCAGTGGGATAGGCACAACTGTCCCATTCACCTGGTGCAAACTGAAGCCCAGAGCTGTGAAGCCGTGCACTGGAGGTCATACAACTAGAAAACAGCTGAGCCTGGACTCCAGCCCAGCAGTCTAGCTCCAGGGCCATGTTCTTAATCACCACGCCTCTCAGTGATGATATAATTAATGCCTCTAGCAATGGTATTGTTTGACTACAAGAATTAACGAAAGTCCAGAGAAAACATAGAACACGCATTCCATATAATTTTGTCAGCATTTCATACCTAGGGTTTCTGAAGCCATTCCAGAAACAGGTTTATATGAATGGGGACAATGTCGCTACAATTACGCCTTTCCCTTCACCTGGTGAGGATAAGGACCAACCTTTCACTGGAGAAGAGTCAGCAGGGCTGGGTGTGCTGACCAATCGCCTAAGGGAAAAGGTACTTGGGACTTTTCTTTGCCTCTCAAACACAGCATTCCCAAGAGCCTGGCATGGAAGAGAGCTCCATCCACCCGAGAAATGAAGGAAGTCAGTGTGCCTGGACGCTGATTTGGGGTAATGTCAAGCAAAAAGGCTTGAGAAATAAATATGCAGGGGCCTCCACGGGAAGATCTCACAAGGAACTTGGACTTCATCCTAAGAGCAACAGGAAGCCACCGAATAATTTTAGACAGAGGAATTTAAGATGTGAGTTTCAGGAAAAAATCACTCTTCCTGCTATGCTGAAAATGAATTAGAGGGAGCAAAAATGGAGGCTGGGAGAATTGGTGGAAAGCGGGGACGGGGTCTGAAAAGGAACATTGGTAGCCTGGCCTGTGGTGAGGGCAGAGAGGATGGAGAGAAGCGAAAGTATTCAAGGCAGGTGGCAAAATTGACAAGACGTGGAGTTCAGGAGAGAGAGACTGATCTTGGGATGAGGTGGATCAAGGGAGAGAGGTTGCGTGAGTCTCCCTGGGGTGAAGGCAGATCAGGAAATGAGACCAACGTGTGATTTTCCTATATCACATGGGATGATTTTGCCTAGATTAAGGGCCTCAAAAGAAACCTTCAGGATAACTGAATCCTGCCCAACAGGAAAAAAGCTGGGAATCAGGGTAGGAGGCAGAGAGAAAGAGGAGAGACGAGAAGGGCAGAAACATTTATATTTTGATATGTTTATATTTATTTCGGGAGGAAGAGTTTATTTGTCCAATAAGTTTCTCTTCTGTAGCTCCAGGGTGACTGGAAGACTCTACAGAGAGCTTCTGAGAAGCATTAGATCAGTTCTTAAGCTCTGCAACTTCCTCCTTAGTGAAGACAAGGTTTATCATACCATGTCAAAGCATGACGAGAAGTTAGATGGGAAAATTGATTAAACATCTTTTTTGAAAGAAACTTGCAAATCACAGTGAACACCTGATGCCAGAGAGCCACCATCAAGTGTACTGTACATTTATCAATGCTCTCTCTACCCACATCACTTGCTTATTATCTACAGGACTGTCCTTCTCACAGAAAAATCATTTGATGCTTCTTGGAAATTACTGTTATCTAAACTCCATTTATCCAGTGAGCATGTTCACCTTTCTGGGTGTCTCTTTCTCTAATACATAAATGAAAAGGTTTGAAAGTATTGTCTCATTGATAAGTGTTCTTTTCACATCAAGGAAACAGATAACACGATCCTAGTTTCCATCATTTTAGAAATTATCTTTTCATTTTTTAATTGTATTCTGAGAAATTGTTTATTCAATTTCTTTGTTCTGAAATTAATGACAGAGCAATGAAATGCCTTCCCCAGTAGCCTTCCTTCACCACATATATTTGGGCCATCATCAGCCTGGGTTCAAGGCCAGAGTCACTATCATTCGGTTCTAATACGACAATATCCACGCTGCTCTCGTCTTTTTGACCGAGCTGTGATGTAGTTCAGATGGGATTCACTTGTATTCACATCTACCTCTTTACTGTAACTCAGAGTAGGAAGGGTTTGTGGAATCAGGTTCTGCAAGCTTTCACAGATTTATTGCTTGTGGCCAGAATGTAAGGTTGCATATGACACTCTCCGATTTGACTTTTTTCCAAAACAGCTTCTCCAAGTGCCCAGAACTGGCTTTGCTATACTCCCGCAGTATTGCGAGGGCTATCTGGTTTGCAGTTATGGCTATGCATAGAGCATATAATACATCCAAAAAGTACAGGGACAGGGTGCAACTTCCAGTCCTAAAACCTCAGGCAGTTTATTTCTGGCTACCCTCTATAGGAATTTTTTCTTCACTTACCACATTTTATGTTGTATTTAGAAAGAGCAACAAGGCTAGACCACAGTTTTTTTTTTTTTGTTTTGTTTTTTTGAGATGGAGTCTCACTCTGTCTCCCAGGCTGGAGTTCTGTGGTGCAATCTTGGCTCACTGCAACCTCTGCCTCCCGGGTTCAATTGATTCTCCTGCCTCAGCCTCCCGAGTAGCTGGAATTACATGCGCATGCCAACATGCCCGGCTAATTTTTGTACTTTTAGTAGAGATGGGGTTTCACTATTTTGGCCAGGCTGGTCTCAAACTCCTGACCTCAAGTGATCCACCTGCCTCAGCCTCCCAAAGTGCTGGGATTACAGGCATGAGCCACTGCGCCCAGCCTAGACCACAAATTTATATTCTGACAAATATAAAACAAAAATCATGTTTATGTAAAAAAGGGAGTCCTGGTACTAGCGGGTGGAAATGCAAAAATTTTATTGTGAAAAACCTCTACTAATATAACTAACAACATTATAGGGAAGTCTTGCTTTTGTGTCATTGCAAACATTGCAGGTCATCTAGAAATATCATAGTGATAAAGTTTCATTATATTTATAAAGTTTTAACTAATATATTTTATTGACTCTTGCTTTTAAGCTAAACATTATAGTAAATGAAGCAAAAATGCTCACTTTCCCAATTCTCATGGGGTCCTTTTTCCTCTCACTCTCTCTATAGTCTAGCCCAGAGTTCCTACCCCATTCAATTTCCCATCCCCATTTACTAGCATTTCAATAACTTCCCATCTCCCATGCCCCTATTCAGCATAACGCTGCTTGCTGCCACTCTTCTGTTTTGCTTCAGTCCTACTCACTATAGAGGGAGATGGTCAAAAAGCATAATCGCACAGATTTGCAGACTTTCTTTATTGTTATTATTATTATACTTTAAGTTCTGGGATACATGTGCAGAATGTGCAGGTTTGTTACATAGGTATACGTGTGCCATGGTGGTTTGCTGCACCTATTGACCAATCCTTTCAGTTCCCTCCCCTTGTTCCCCACCCCGTAACAGACCCTGGTATGTGTTGCTCCCCTCCCTGTGTCCATGTGTTCTTATTGTTCAACTCCCACTTATGAGTGAGAACATGCAGTGTTTGGTTTTCTGTTCCTGTGTTACTTTGCTGAGGGTGATGGCTTCCAGCTTCATCCATGTCCCTGCAAAGGACATGATCTCATTCCTTTTTGTGGCTACATAGCATTCCACGATGTATATGTACCACATTTTCTTTACATAGGTTGTCATTGATGGGTATTTGGGTTGGTTCCATGACTTTGCTATTGTAAACAGTGCTGCAATAAACATACGTGTGCATGTGTCTTCATAGTTGAATGACTTCTATTCCTTTGGGTATATACCCAATAATGGGATTGCTGGGTAAAATGGTATTTCTGGTTCTAGATCCTTGAGGAATCGCCACGCTGTCTTCCACAATGGTTGAACTAATTTACATTCCCAGCAACAGTATAAAAGTGTTCCTATTTCTCCACAGCATCTATTGTTTCTTGACTTTTTAATAATCGCCATTCTGACTGGCATGAGATGGTATCTCATTGTGGTTTTGATTTGCGTTTCTGTAATGATCAGTGATCATGAGCATTTTTTTTCATATGTCTGTTGGCCGCACAGATGTCTTCTTTTGAGAAGTGTCTGTTCATATCCCTTGCCCACTTTTTGATGGGTTTTTTTTTTTCATGTAAATGTGTTCAAGTTCCTTGTAAATTCTGGACATTAAACCTTTGTCAGATGGGTAGATTGCAAAAATTTTCTGCCGTTCTGTAGGTTGCCTGTTCACTCTGATGATAGTTTCTTTTGCTGTGCCTGAGCTCTTTAGTTTATTTAGGTCCTGTTTGTCAATTTTGGCTTTTGTTGCCATTGCTTTTGGTGCTTTCATCATGAAGTCTTTGCCCACGCCTATGTCCTGAATGGTATTGCCTAGGTTTTCTTCTAGGGTTTTTATGGTTTTGGGTTTTACAGTTAAGTCTTTAATCCATCTTGAGATAATTTTTGTATATGGTGTAAGGAAGGAATCCAGTTTCTGTTTTCTTCATATGGCTAGCCAGTTTTCCCAGCACCATTTATTGAATAGGAGATGCTTTCCCCATTGCTTGTTTTTGTCAGGTTTGTCGAAGATCAGATGGTTGTAGATGTGTGGTGTTATTTCTGAGGTCTCTGTTCTGTTCCATTGGTCTGTATATCTGCTTTGGTGCCAGTACCCAGACTTTCATAATGATAGTTTCTTATCTCCCATGTGAGTGAGAAGTAAGTTGGGTCCATCGAGCTCTAACCTAGCAATTCTATTCATTGGGGAGCTCTTTCCTCTGGCCCTAGTTTTTCCTTCATGCACACCCTTGTGTACACAAGCATACACCCTGCACACACGTATGTGGCACTCCTGGGCCTGCACCGCGCATGCACACAGGCATGTATGTATATCTCCATTCCTAGCTGTACACTGATAAGCACCCAGGTTCTGGGTTTTTAGGATAGCCAATAGCCGTTTTTTCTTCCTACTGTTCCCAGAACCCTTTGATATATAGATGTAGGTGTCAGGTGGAGATAAAAATGTCTATTTTGCAACTGACAGGAGGATGTGACATCAGTTTACAGGGACAGTGGGCTTGCAACATTTCACCTTAGAATTAAGCTTATCCAGGCTGGGCACGGTGGCTCACGCCTCTAATCCCAGCACTTTAGGAGGCCGAGTCGGGCGGATCACGAGGTTAGGAGATGGAGACCATCCTGGCTAACACGGTGAAACCCTGTCTCTACTAAAAAAATATAAAAAATTAGCTGGGCATGGTGGCGGGCACCTGTAATCCCAGCTACTTGGGAGGCTGATGCAGGAGAATAGTGTGAACCCGGGAGGCAGAGCTTGCAGTGAGCCGAGATCACGCCACTGCACTCCAGCCTGGGCAACAGAGCGAGACTCTGTCCCCCCCACAAAAAAAAGAAAATAAAAGAATTAAGCTTATCCATCACAAGCACAGGAAGAGCTAGACATCTTCCACCCAGCCAGTTGGGCATGCTTGCTTTTTTTCTGTGGGCAGGCTGACACCAAAGACAAAGGGGCTGAGTGGAGCATGCCTGGGTCCTGCTTCCAAACACTCCAGTCAGATCACTGGGGAATATGAAAGGAATGCTGAGAGGTGCTGAGTGTTACTCTAGTAATATCCCTCCACATGGAGCCAGGAGCAGTGGGAAATAAAAGTCCCTCTCAACCACACATGTAAGTATACACGGCCACACATGTACATGGATCAATTCTCTCACCAGGCCGTGGGTGTTGGGGAGTCAGACCTCAGGAGCCAAGCACCCAGAAAACCAGGGAGAAGGAGAACTGAAGGCCGAGCAAGAAAGGGAGGGGAGTTGGGGGACAGAGTCTAGGGAGCTGGGGGCTGCAGCAGGGCTGGAACCTGCATCTGGGGCTGACTCCTCAGGCTGACTGTGAACTCAGGAGTGGAGCAGTAGGTGATGAATAGGATAGGAAAAGGAAAAAATGGAATGGAAAACTTAAACAGAAAATGGGGGAGATGCTGAGAAGAACATCGAGGTGCTACCAAAATTGCATTTAATGGACATTGAATTAGTTTGTGTCCCTCATGGTCCAAAAAAAATTTGCAATGGCCAAGATTTGTAGATGAAGAGCATTGCACTGTAGGGAGTGTGTGGCTGCAGGTGCAAGAGCTGTCATACAACAACACGAGGCCAAATTTCTGTATATAAAAGATTGTAAGGGATAGCCTTCCAAATTTACTAGAGGGGCTCTGAGGACCAATCACAGCTTGAAGCAGGGCGCACAAGTCCAAGGCTGATCATGGGATGAATTAGAAACCCCTATCCTGACTTCTCCTAAATGAAGACAATTGTCTGTCCCAGAGCACGCCTTGGGAGTTTAAAAAGCCCTGGGATTAAAGACTTTTTTCATGATTTGCCTGGGCATTTTGTTTTTTAGTTTGAACTAGCCCTAAATATCTAACTCTTTGGAAGGCAGAGGTAGATTAAAAATAGCTTATTATAATAGCTAACATATGCTGAGCATCCCCTATGGGCCAGGCACTGTCTGCAGTGCTTTGATGTCCCAACTCACTGAATCCTCATAGCAACCCCAGGGAGTATGCACTTTTGATAGCTTTGTGTTATGGATGATGAAAGAGACTCTGAGAGGCTGAACAACTTGTCCAAAGACACACAGCTAGTAGACAGCAGAGCTGGAGTGCAAATCCAGGCTGTCTGACTCCAGAAGCTACATTCTGCATAATAAATGGAGCAGAAAGGAGGGTGGAAGCTGACTTGGCCCAATCTGGAGCTTTTCTATGTGAAAGGAGCAGAAATCCATCAAGCTAGTTCCGAATCCAAATTCTACATCGTGTTCTGCATTGAGCTGGACCTGCAGGGAGAGTTTGCTGCTTTACCCAAGCAGGCCAGGCATGGTCTGCTGCTGCCAGACCACAAGGTAGAATGTCCAGGCAAAGGCAAGACCGTTGCTCGTTCTGACAATCCTCAGAATGTGTGTGGAGTGCTCCATGGATTTCTGGGTGGATGTACAATTACTTGCTAGTCTCTGATGACACAGGGTGGCGACTGAGGATAGGGAGGACCTGATACAGAACTCCAAGAGCTCAGCACTGTTAGGCAGTTCATTCAGCCATTCCCCAAGTATTTATCGAACTCTTCCTCACGCCCATGTGGCCTTTCTTTTCTTGTTGTTACTCTATGCAGACACTCACTACCAGGTTCCCAGAAGTCCATGCCTCTATGGGCTCAGGCACTTCCCATGGCAGCTCCTCCACCTTCCTTTCCTGGTATCCAGCAGCCCGGACTGGAGGGGCTGTCACTGACACATGGGGCTGTCTTTGTTCAACAACGCTTGGAAGCACAAGTGAGCTCTGTATTACCGCCCTTTCGGCAAGGGCGGCTGGAGTGCCTGGAAGCGACTAGTTCCAGCCCTGCTGGGCCACAGGGACCGACCCCAAGCACCAGCCATCAGCTTTGTTCCTCGAGCTTCTGGAGAAAACCTTTGATTTCACGGGGATGATTATTTTTATTCTTGCCCACTCAAGGATGAAGCCCAAGAAACAAGAGGTTGCCCCTTTCAGAGGCATCACAATGGGTTACCTCCAGCCAAACCCACTGTTTTTTGTTATTTCTAGGTTTGGTTGGGCCTCTCTTGGAAACCATTACTATACAACTTACTTAAAGAAAGTGGAGGGATTGGGCATAAGAGACTCAGACAGAGGGAGACAGGAGCGGGGGCTATAGCTGGGAAGCTGGAGGTAACGTATTGTCAGAGACAGTGCAAGAAGAACACATTCATGTCACAATCAGATTTGAATCCATTCCATTTTGTAGTGACATTTTTAATCTTTTGCAAAGTCAAACTATTCCAAGATTGACTTTTAGCCAAGCCTGGAGAATTGGGACTTTGGGTGAAGGTTTCAGAAAAAGACACAAAACATACACACATACACACACACAGGGGGGGGGGAGAGAGAGAGAGAGAGAGAGAGAGAGAGAGAGAGAGAGAGAGAGAGAGAAAGGGGCAAAGAGAGAAAGGGGAGGGAGACTTTTATCCTAAAGTCACTGTAAATCCAAAGCAGGGTTTTATCCTCCACAGTTAAATGAGAAAAGAAAAAAATCAAGAACACCAACATTTGAGGTACAAAGACTGTCATGGACCAGTGGAAGTTTGCAAAATTATATGTAAATGACCGCAGTTTTTACTGTGGTGGCCCTGTGCATTCCCAAAGCTAATCCCAAAGAGAAAATCTACTTAGCAAAAGAAAGTTTTGTCTAATTTGGTTAACAGTTGAGAAGTGACAAAAATGCTGAATATATTAATAATTTATATTTCCAGGGTAACATTATATCTTTAATGCTTCACTGCCGAAGGGAATTCAGATTGGCTTAATGCTCAGAGAAGAAAACTCTGAAAGGCCTTCTTCATATTCTGTATCCAGCGCTGATGAAAATGGGTGTAAGACATGTGTTCCCATAATAGGCACCACCCATTCTCCCCATTTCTGCATAATTTGTTTTTATCCCATATTGCTCAATGTATATTTGTTATCCGGGAGGGCCGCCTGGTCTCACTCTCACTTCCATGCTCCATCACTTCATAGAAAGGAGAGAGCTCACATTTTATACACAAGTTATTTCAAGAACCTCTCACATGCAAGACCTTTTCTAAAGTTTAAGATTTTCTCCTGGCAAAACATATACGTGTAAGTTTCACTTTACGGGCAATGTAATGAGGGCTTTTTTTTTTTTTTTTTTTTTTTTTTTTTTGCCTGTCTCTGCATAATGAAGTTTGATGGTTTACAAATTGCAGGTCATCCCATTCCATGACCTCAGCAAACAGTCTAGGTCAGAGCTTTCTTAAACCCTGTCCAGAGAAAATAGAATAAGTTAATTTACAGTCCTCCAGCCGATCTGAGAGAAGACAAATCACCACAGTTCAGCGAAATGGCCTCTGGAAACAAAGAGGAAAACGTGCTACCTAATTTCGAATTATTTATTTAAAAGGCATTAAAGTTAATGAGGCACAAAAGTTCAAAGAAAAATTTAAATACCTACAAACACAAACTTAGCCAGTTGGATACATTGTTTATTTTACCTATTTACATGAAACAACGGGGAGCCCTATTTTGCCCTTTGAGTCTTACAGAAACAGGATTTTAGCTTTTGCCGTTGTAGATGCATCGCTGTGGGTAGGGCACAGATGTCCTGGAAGTGAAAATCACAATCCCTTAAAAGACCAATAGCCAAGTCTCTCCTGGATTCCAAACTTTCCTCACCACGTTCTGGGTGGGGCGAGATAAAAAAAAAAATCTCACTGGGGAAAGGATAAGGAGGACTTTTCTCTCCAAGCCTGAGAACTTAAACGGAGACCCCAGGGTCTCCATCCTGCACCAGTGTCCGAATGGTAAAGGATGGCGTGTAGGGAACAATCCCCTAAGGGGTGGGGAAGGGGCGTCTCCCAACCCGGCAGGTGCCGACCTCTCGCCGAGACGCCCAGCGCCCCCGAAGCTGGCCTGCTCTGTGCGCAAAAGGCAACGCCAGCTTCTCGGAAGCCTCTGGCGCTGAGCAGTTGTCATCAACGATGTTGTTTCTAATCCGCAACTCAGAACTGTACTTGGTTCCGGTATTTTTTAGAGGATTTTTAATTCTGTAAACTCAGCCACGCGCCCCGCTGGCCCGGGTTTCGCCGCATTCCAGACCCGCGGGCGTGCGGTGCGCGCGCGTCGGGCACTTGGCTCCGGGTAGGACGGGCGCCCGGGTCGCAGCTGGCAACGGTCCGCCTAAGTCAGTTTGGGGCAGGTCCTTCAATTTGCATTTTCCTGAGAGCCAAGGGCAGTGTTCTTCGCCTCCCCTGTTTCTCTGAGGCTAATGCTCAAGATGGGGCGGGTGCAGGAAGCCGCGAATCCCGCCCTTAAGCGATGCCTAGAATATCTGCCTGAACCTCCATTTAACGTCCCCCTCCCTCAGACTCCACAGCGGGCCCCTCACCAAGTTACTGAGGGCTGTTACCTTGAACCCTGTCAGCCTTGCGCCCTGGGCACCGCGGAGGGGACGGGTGTGGATGAGCAGAAGGTAATACATAAATCCCTCTCTTTGGGTCTTTATCAGAAAACGTTTATTACCAGGGGGAGATCCTTCAGAAGACTCATTCGCTCTTTGCCTCCCCCAGCCCAGATTTTTGGGGTACAATATTTACACATTATGTGTACAATATATACAGCATTTCTCCTAAAAGCGCCCAAAGCGAGGAGAAATCTGGCGGGCGAGTGGGCGTCAGAGCACCGGGGGGTGCTGGGGCGTGTGCAGGTTAAGGGCGTTGGGGTGCGCGTGGCCGATCAGGTTGAGGTAATGCCGGTCCAGGCCCTGCACCGGTGTCAGGAAGGGGCTGTGCTGCTGCGCTGGGCTAGCGAGCGGCACTGGCGCGCTGGGCAGGTAGGGCAGCGCGGGGCTGCGGGCCGCGCCAGGCGGCCAGGGGAAAGGCCCGGCACCAGAGCCCTGCGGGAACACAGCGGCCTCGCCCGGGCTGTGACCAGCGAATTCGGGCCCCGCAGGGTGCAGCTGATAGGAGAAATCCGGCTCCGGGAGCGAACCCAGCGGCGGAAAGGCGGGCTCCGCGCCCAGGCGGGCCTTGGACTGCAAGAAGGCGAGGATGCGCGCGTACTTCGTGTCCTTGGTCTCCATCCGCTCCACCGTGGTGAGGTAATGCACCAGGTTCTTCATGCACTCGTGGTAGCCATAGTGGAAGTAGTTGGCAAACTCCGCTAGAAGTTCTGCTGGAGGAACGAGAAAGCCCGTAGGACGGACACACCCTGAGTGCCCCTTCCCCACGCGAGCCCAAAGCGGGTGCAGGGCACCTCCCACCACATTTTCTGGCCAAAGTTCCCATTTGAGGCCCGCCCTCTCCTCTGCGCAGTCTTAGAGACTGGCGAGGCACGCGCAAACGCCCTCTTTCCCTGAGAGCCTGACCCCACCCACCCCACCCGGGAGAAGGAGGTGGAACCAGCCTCCCTGGGAACCAGTTCTCCCTCGCCGCCTTGCTGTCGCCGAGCAGGGAGAGGCGCCTTCGCAGGACCCCTGCCCTCCTGGAGAGTGGAGCTCTAGTAGAGCTCTCGGGAACACTCAGTCACTCCCCTCCCAGCCCCAGGGTCTCTGGGTGGCGCAGGCGCCTGGCCCAGGCGTCCCATTCCCTAACCTGTGCCCACCTTTTTCCCTTCCCCGGGGAAAATCAGCGGAGTGCAGTGCTCTCAGGTACTGAACGGTCATCTCGAGGATCTCCGCCTTCTCCAGCTTCCCGGAACTCTGCAAAAGGAGGAAGGGCCCCTCGCAGCGGCCCAGCGCCTGCTGGTCGGGCACTGTGGCGCTGGAGAGGACCAGCGAGCGGACGCGGCTGCGGATCTGCGCCAGAGCCTCCTGAGGTTCGCCCTGCGCTCAGGCCCCCCGCCTGGGAGGGGCCCGCAAGTGAGGTCCTCTGTGTCCGCGGGCTCGGGCGTCTCCGCAGAGTGGCCGCAGAGGCCTCCCAACGCCTGGCACCCGGCTCCGGGTCGCCAACGTTACCTGCTTCGCCAAGGCCATGGGCACTGTCTTGCCCAGCTCGTTCAAGCAGCGGTTGATCCTGTCCCTCCTCCGCTTTTCTATCACTTTATGAGAAACGGGGGTTCTCTGCGAAGAGAGGGTTGTATGTTTAGGATGGCTTTGCCCGGGAAGTCGTCAAAGGCGCGGCTCTAGCAGCTGGGTGCAAGCCGCCTCTCCAGCCGCGCACACTGCTCAGATTCGCTCTAGGAAGGGACTCCTGGCCCGCCACGCTCGGGCCAGGTGAGCTCTGCCTTCTGACGCCCGCGCTGGCGCGCTCCCCTTCCAGCCACCCTACCCAGGCCTTTGGGGAGGTGGCCGCCAGCCTCCAGGCAGGACTTCTACCTGGTTGAGCACCCTCCTCTCTCTACCCCACCCCCTTCCCAAACCACTCGAGATTCCTCCACACTCAAAGTCCCGTGCGGGCACTTCCCTGCCATCGGTCCACCCAAGTGGCGGGTCGGTGAGTCAGATGCCTCCACCACCAGGGCGCAAGTGCCATTTGGGCTCAGCCGACTCACTTTGCGTTCCTTGAGCTTGTCTGACATCCTGGTCAGTACGCGCCCTCGGGAGAGGCGGTGGCGCGGGGCACCCGTCCACTTTTCCGCCTCGTGTGCCTCCTCGAGTGTCCCAGGTAGACTGCAGCCTCCCAACTCCGAGGGCTGCCTTATAAAGCGGTCATCTAGGGCTCCAGATGCATTCACGAGTTGAATTATTCCATAGGATTAGGGGAGCTGCGTTTGGAGGATGTATGCATTCAAGATCAGTTTTAAAGAAGTTAAGAAAAAAAAAAAATTAGCAGCCGAGGGGGGCGAGCTGGGGGCAGATCAGCTTTGTTAATCCACGTGGCCCTTCAAAGGACACGTGATCGGCCCAGGAATAACATTTGCATGGCAACAGCTCGGGCGGGAAAAGGAGGCGGTAAACTGGGGCCGGCGGGCGAGCAAGCGCCTGCAGCAGTCGCGGGCGCGGAGCGCAGGGGCGCAGCGGCCGCGGGCACCGGGGGGCGAGGACCCTCACAAAACAGTGTCGCCTCTTTTAGTCCCACCGCTGAGTCTCACATGATCGCCTGTTTACAAATCCCAGCAAGCCCGCCGTCCCAGCGCCGAGTGCGTTTTAAAGCCTGTCCAGAGTCATTAAAGTAATTAAGTAAGCCTTTAATAGGCTGTTCCGCCGGGTTCAAGGGAGAGCTCTTGGAGACGGAGGCGCCCCGTTTGTTCCCAGGCTTTTCTCACACGACTTGGTGACACGTCCTTCTCCCCCCTTTTTGTTTACACCGCTTTATTTGTCCGGACATCCCGGCAGGTGTGGGGCTGCGGCTGGCACACGAGGCTCCCGCCTCGCCTCGCCTCGCCCCTCCCGCCGCTGTTTGGCACGCGACGCTCCCCCCTACTCCCTGACCACGTCGCTGGCTTTCTTTTCTCCCCACCCCTCCTGCTCCCTCTTCGCGGGGGGAAGAGGCTCAATTTGTAGCCTATTATCCTATACGAAAATGTCCATTGAAAAGTATGAATAGTTTCATTGGGCTAAATTTTAATAATGCCAGAGGGTGGGGGAGGAGAGACTGGCGGGCGTGTGTGTGTGTTTGTGTGTGAAGGGGCGGGTGGGAGGATTGGGGGGCAACACGGAGAAGAGTGGGCCGAGAAGAAAAGGGGGAATGCAGCTGGCCCAGGCAAGCATTATGCAACGTCACCTGCGAGAGGGGGCGCCTACAGACCCCTATTCATTTGCCTAATTTTGGTCAATTTAACAAACTTCAGGAGAAATTATTGTGGCTTTGTCAGGGAGGGTGAAGCCTTCTGATCGAATTAACAGCATGTTTTGATCCGGTAAATGTCATTAGAAAGGGAGAAACAATCGCGCTTAGAGGGCTCTGAGTAATGCGCCCAAGTGGAGACGCCAAAGCGCACGGCTCACAAAGGGAGCAAGTAGCTGCCACAGGGAACTTTTGTACCCGCCCATCGCCCAAGTTTTGACACAAAAAGGCATTATTTCATACTTGAATACGTTTAATCCAACGATTGTCTATTTTCTGCAAACATATTTTCACAGCATTGTTAACTTTTTATGTCTCCCTTTCGCTGGCGTCTTTTCTTAACGTTTGGGGGCGGGAGAGCGCAGACACTTTGGGCATCAATATTTGTCACTGAAAAGGGCCCTGTGAAGTTTGGGAAGTTGATCTCTTTTTTATGGTTTTAGAAAGCGAAAATATCGGGGGGAGGAGGAGGGAGGGAAGGCACGAACAGAAACGAGGGAGGAAATTTGCTGGACGGGCCCAAGGGGAAGGAGGGGGGCGGCGGCGGCTGGGAACTCTCTTGGCCGCCTGCGCCTCTGAGGGCAACCTGGCCCCGCGGCCAGAGGCCACCTCCCCCAGGACGGGCCTCGCTCACACTTGCTGCCTCGGATCCTATACTCTGGGGGCTCTGAGCTTGTGGGGTGTGGGTGGGGGGTGAGCTTTCTTGCAGATTGAAACGATAAAAATGATTTTTGTTTTATGGCCCTTTCTAGAGCCACCGAACTCTCACCTCTCTAATCTTTTCCATCTGGGAACAGCTGAGACCGCTTCTCAGATTTTTCTTCTTTTCTGCCTGCCCCTAACCCTGCCTAAATTCTCTCTGTTCTGCAGGGAGATGGCAGGGCCCAGCGCCCCCCTTGGGGTCGTTAGACCTTGGCAGGGGTGGGTAGGCGGCGCTCTTCTAGCTGGTGGGACCTGGGAGCCTCAGGGCGCAGAGCCAGGCCTGGGGTGCCAGGCCTCGGGGAAGCCATCGGCCCACCTGCTGCGGCCTGGGAGATGTGAGGGCTCGGTCTGCACCTCGCACCCCTAGGGTGTCCCTCTCGGTCCTGCCTCTAGTCTCCTCACGATGTTTCCTTTCTGCTTCACGCCAGATTGGACACGATCCGCACCCTCCCAGGTTGCTCTGCCAGCCGCGAGTGCCCTCTCAGGGGTTGTCGATTTCAGGATATTCACTCGCACACAAAGAGATTAAACGCGAACCCTTATCATCCAAATTAACTAACGTGAATGGGTAAAAAGGAGCGCGCACACTTCGCACTCCCACTCCCATTTTTAAGCCAGCGGCCCGGGCGTTGATCCTCTTACTGCCGGTGTTAACCGCCAGCTGCAGGCACCTTCCACGGACCACATTTCATTCCATGCACACTGTTTAATTTCCCGGGTTTGGTCTCGGCGCTTGGCTCAAGGCTTGCCCAGGGCTAAAAGTACCCGCGTGCAGGTGAGGGGGCAAGGGAAGGCCGGTGAGTGGAGACTTGGGCTCAGGGGCGCAGCCTCGCCCGGTCCTTGCGCGGCTGCAGCACTACCTGCGAAACCTGGAACGCCCTCCGCTTCAGGATAGGGAAGGACGTATTTCCTTTCTCCCTTCTCGGTCCGAAGGCCTGGGTCACACACGCTGCCCCAGAGTGGGGCGCCTCAGGGCTGTCTTCTCTTTGCTTCTCCTCAGGGTGAAGATCAGGAGTTCCCTGATCCTGGCCTAGTTTCCACGCAACATAAGAGCAGAGTAGGGAAGAGCCGAGGTTCGCCGGAGCCAGCCAGCCTGTTCAGATCCCAGCCCTACCGCCCACCAGCTGGGTGAGACTCGAGGCATCGTCCTGAATCTACTGTCCCTCAGTTTCCTCATCTGTAAAATGGAAATAATGTTTCTACTATGTTACCGGGTGGTCACTCCAGTGAAATAAGTAAATACAGACGAGGCACCTAAAAGAAGACTGGATCGTGCAGTTAGTGGTTTTACTTTGCCTGCAAATCTCTCCTACGGTGGCTCTTCTGTGTTTTACAGGGTAGTGTGGAGTTTGCACTGTTAGATGATTTTTCCACTCATTTCATTTTTTGCCCTCATCCCAGAGAAAGCTCTAGCCTCCCTGAAAAAGCCACAGTAATTCCTCCTGAAGTTTGTTTAATTGACCAAAATCAGGCAAATGAATGGGGGCCTTCAGGCACCCAGGTGACATCACATAGTGCTACTGGCCAGCTGTGTAGTCCCAGTGTGTGTGTGAGGCTGAAAGGGACTCTAAGCACAGGACCCCTCAGCATCATAGCCGTTCTCAAGGGACGCAAATATTAGCATCAAAATCAAAAGAAAGCTAGGAAGCAAGACTGCCTGGAAATTAGACAGTGCTTATTAAATATTGCTCTGCGTTCAGCCTCCTGGCAGCTAAAGACCTCTACTGGAGAACACAGCAATCACAAGCCGACCATGTTTATTATCGTTATTTTTAATACTATTTCTTTGGCTCCATAAGTTTGACAAGCAGATTGCAAACACAGAAGGATGGCTTATTATGTGTTTGCTTCCAGTTTTTAGAAATTGAGGATTTGTGGGCTTGGGGGCAGGGGATGGATGGAAAGAAAAGAATACAGTAACTTTAGACAAATTGCACTAAGACAAAGAATTCCAGGTAATTTCAAATCCCTCCCTCCACCCCTGCCTCCAATACACAAGTTGACTTTCTAGACACATTAACAGGACTGGAGATTTCATCAAATGTGAGGAGCCCTGGCTGAGAGCGGGAGAACACCAGCATGGCTGGCCCTACTGACTTCTGAGGTGCTGGGAAGATGAGGCCTGGAGGGAGCCCAACTCCTGGGCTCTGTTATGAAGTGAGCAGGATCTCAGGCTGCTCCTTCTGGAAAGGCCCATGAGAGCATGGCTCCAGCACCCCACTTCACGCTCGAGGGCCCTGAGGAACCACGAGGAGACTGGGATGCCCAATGGCAGGCGTGAGCGGCTGCCGGAAGTCTCCCATTTAGCATTTGTTGATTTGCTGTGTGAACTCCTCCAGGGCTGAGGAGGAGGGCTGGCTTCCTCCTGTCACTATCAAGGAGGATCTGGTCAGACTCCTGTGATTAGGGCTGGCAGCCCTTCTGTGGGACACCTGCTGCCCGTGGCTTGTATGATCATTGTCAGGAGGCATTGGCCGTGTCTATGCCCCCTTTACGCCTTTTTCTACCTCTCATGAGTCCAGTGGTAATGGCACATGCTGAGCACCCACAATGAGCCCAAGCTGGCAATTCCAAGTAGAAAGGGACTTGGTCCTGCCTATTACAAATGTGCGCTTGAAGAAAGAAGAAAGTATTCATACTGATGGTCCCAGTACAGCAGTCTCCACACAGCAGTCACTCCCAATGTCCGTCGCAGCAGCCATGGGTGGCATTGGCTATCCTGTTGGGCTGGCAGCTTCTCTGGAGTTTCCTTGCTCAGCACGCTAATTCCTCTGCTCTCTCTGGTCACCGGTAGTATTCTCAACCCAATAGTGACGCCACCAGGAAGAATCTGCCAGGAGATGCTTGTTGGTGCAGTCAGGCGGCAGTGAGAGGGGTCCTGGGGAGCACTTCAATCTCTCTAACCACAAGGACACACATTGAAGATGTCTGCTGCTATCTGAACCCCAGACCTGAAAGGAACCCAGAGACATGAGAAACTTGTATCCAATGCGAGGTGATTTCCCAGGGCTTTCGTTTTTAGCCCCTTCGTTCTTGTCTCTGAAGCAGCTTAGTTCTCTGCTTTCCAGCGCTCTTTTTAGGTTTAGTAACAGGCAGTGGACGTAGCAGCAGGGAAGCCACAGTCAGCACCACAACCTGTCAAATGATTCATGCGCTTTCACCTTCTCTACCCTTTGGAAGAAGTGTTGGAAACGATACACACACACCACTAGAATCTCCTGCCTCCAGAAGTTGGGTTTGTTTTAAGTAAAAACTAAGTGCTCTAATTCTTTGCTACTGGAAACGTGGTCCTCAGAACAGCAGAATCTCACCACCCAGGAGCTCGTTAGGAATGCAGAATCATAGGCCTCTCCCCTGACCTCGCTGAATCAGAACGTGCATTTGAATGACACTCCCAGTTGGTGTGTGCACCGCAGAGTTTGAGAAGCACTGCCGTAGCTGAAGCTGGAAGGCACCATGGCTACCTGATGAGCAAATCCCAGGTGGGAATGGCCGCCCCAGAAGGACAGTGGGGAGCAAAGGTGAAGGGAACTTTCAGGTTGACCTAACTGGAACCAATTAACTGCACGGACGAAAAAGTCTTCCTGTGAAGCACTCCTTGTTCAAACTGTGATATTTCCATAGGATATTTCCAGGACTTCCACCTACTCCTATATGCAACAATCTATTTCTTTCATGTCTCTCTAGACTTTGAGAGTAGTAGATGCTCAGAATAGTTGTTTTGTTGTTTTTTGTTTTAGAGACGGGGTCTTGCTCTATCGCCCAGGCTGGAGTGCAGTGGTGAGATCATAGCTTACTGCAGTCTTGAACCCTTGGGCTGAAGCAATCCTCCTGCCTCAGCCTCCTGAGTAGCTAGGACTATAAGTGCATGCCACTGTGCTGGCTAATTTTTATTTTTTTTGTTTTTTGTATGGAGAGGGTCTGATCTCAAACTCCTGGCCTCAAGCAATCCTCCCACCTCAGGTTCTCAAAGTGCTGGGATTATAGTCCTGAACCATCTTGCCTGGCCTCAATATAGTTTTGTTGAATGAACAAAAACTGGGATGGGGACTTTAAAAATTATTTTGGCATCAATTTTGGAGCAAATTCTATAGGCAGTCTTTCACTTGGTCATATTTTACAATTTATTTTTGGACTTTTTTTTTTGAGACGGAGTTTTATTATTGTTGCCCAGGCTGGAGTGCATTGGCATGATCTTGGCTCACTGCAACCTCTGCATCCTGAGTTCAAGCGATTCTCCTGCCTCAGCTTCCTGAGTAGCTGGGATTACAGGCACAAACCATCATGCCTAGCTAATTTTTGTATTTTTAGTAGAGACGGGGTTTCACCATGTTGGCCAGGCTGGTCTCAAACTCCTGACCTCAGGTGATCCACCCGACTCAGCCTCCCAAAGTGCTGGGATTACAGGTGTGAGCCACCACGCCTGGCCTGTTTTTGGACTTTAAAAGGCACTCAGGGCCAAACATTGGCCTGCACCTGTAATCCTAGCTCTTTGGGAGGCTGAGGCAGGAGGAGGGCTTGAGCCCAGGAGCTTGAGACCAGCCTGGGCAACATAGTGAGACCCTGTTTGTATAAAAAATTTAAAAATTAGCCAGGCATGGTGGTGGTGCATGCCTGTAGTCCTAGCTACTCAGGAGGCTGAGGTGAGGGGATCAGTTGAGCCCAGGAATTAGAGGCTGCAATGAGCCGTGATTGCACCACTGCACAAAGTGAGACTCTGTCTCTAAAAAAAGAAAAGCAGCAAGTGGAGGGAGCATATATATAAGGATTGAGAAAGAATACTTCGAGGAAGGCAGCAGGATAGCTGGAGGTGTTGCTTTCCATATTTTGATGTTAACATCACTTAGAAAGCGTGTTGCGGGTGCCATTAACTGTGTTCATTATGGGCTCTGATTATTCTCGGCCATTGCCTTTTTCTTTGGGCTGACAGTTACAGCTTCTTGCACCATGTTAACTGGAGCAACCATCCAGAAGTCATCGCCCTGCAGAGCTTTGGCTTACTGTATTGAGGGGCATTTTCCATCCAGAAGTCATCACCCTGCAGAGCTTTGGCTTACTGTATTGAGGGGCATTTTCCATCCAGAAGTCATCATCCTGCAGAGCTTTGGCTTACTGTGTTAAGGGGCATTCTTTTATGGCTCTCAGGGAGGTGAAGTCAGCACTTCACAGAAAGATTTCATCTGCTTTCTGGGGCTCATTTTCACAGAAAACTGAGGTACATGTTGCTGAAAATAAATTATTGTAAACTGCATCAGATGTGGGGAATCTGGGGACAAAGTTCAAGTTTAGGAGAAATGTAGATTGCAGTTACATGAATAAGGGGTTCTGTTTTATGGGCAGGAGTCAAGCTGCAGGCATTGGACGCGCCACCAGCCAGTGCCAGCAGGGGGCTGCTCCACTGCTTGCTCTGGGAATGCCGCCCCTCCTCTGTGGCACTCTGAGATTGCTGCTGTCATTCATTCCCCTCCAGAATTCGCTGTTTACTGTGCGCCAGGCACTGGGCTGGGTGGCCTTGGAGTCACTGGGAGCGAACGTGGAGCTTTCTGCACTTACAGATCCCCACGTGTGGGCAGAAGAGCCATTCTAAGGAGATAGCCTTTGAGGGGGATCCCTACACCTAAGCAGGCCAATGTGCCTCGTTTGTTTGTCCACCGGCCTCAGATTGCACCCCCTGCTTACAGTTTCAGTTCACTTCATTTTTTTACATGAATCTAACCAATTTGAGATTTGAGGAGTTACAAATCCCCTCCTTTAAAAACTGAGTTGGCTCTGGGAGCACGAAGGAGCGCCCAGTAGGGTGAACTGACATAATGAGATTGCGTCCTCCCTGACATCAAACTGATGAACGCCGTTGGGAAACAAGTTTTGATTGGGATGAAGGTAGGTTTGGAAGATCTGGCTTCCTGCAGCTGCTCTAACAGATGACCCCAAACTTGGTGGCTTCAAACAATAGAGCTGTATTCCCTCGCCATCTGGAAGTTTGAAGCGTCTGGAACCTGCGACCTGGGCTGAAGTCATGATGTCAGCAGGGCCACCTCCCTTTGGGGGCTGAGAGGAGAATTCATTTCTTGCGTCTTCAGCGTCCTGGCTGTTGGCATGCATTGGCTTGTGACCGTGTCGCCCCATCCTCTGCCTCTGGCACGGCCTTCTCGTCTTCTGTGCCTCAAACCTCTTTCTACCTCCCTCTTAGAAGAATGCTTCGGTCTGCATTTAGGACCCACCAGGATAATCTCTCCATTTCAGGATCCTGAACTTCATATCCACAAAGTCCTTTTTTTGCCATGTAGGGTGACATTCACCAGTTTCAGGAATTACGACCTGGATGCCTTTATGGGGGGGTCCTTATTTAGCCTCCTGTGCTGGGGGAAGTGCCATAGTAGAAGCTGAGACAGCATTTGTGCCCTGAGACACTGAGGCCACCAGAAAGGGCAGAGCATGGATAAGAGGAAGAGGAGGAGGGAGGTGAAAGGAAAACATGTTTTGTTTCAAAACTTGAGCAGAGCTCTCCCTCTCCTCTTCCTCTTCTCCTTTCTCCCTTCCCCATCTCCTTCTTTGTCCCTTCTCATCTCTCTTACATCACAAGACCCTTGCTCCCCAGTCTCAGAATTGCTGCTGCTGTAAGATATTTATGCTGCATTATGAGTTAGATTGTCTTTAGTGCACTAACCTAAGGCTCTCATTGCCGTTTACACACACACACACACACACACACATGCACACACGCATGCACAATGACTCTGTCTCACAGCTAGCCTGCTCATCCAGATCCAGTCTTTCCCCACCCTCCTCCCATATCTCCTCTTTTTCTAATTGCCGCTGGGCTTTTGAACATGTCGTGCTCATGCTGGCCAGGACCTGGGATGGAGAGATCTGGATATACATCCTGACTCTGCTCACTGAATGGTCTCAGGCAAGTTGCTGAGCCTGTTTCTGCAACCGTAAAGCAGCGATGATGGCACCCACCTCCTAGGCTTGCTGAGATGACTCAGTGCAGCGGTGTCTGTGAAGTACCTGGCATCACACCTGGACCAGGAGGGGCACAGGGGCTGAGATGCTCATGCGTTGATCTGGGTGAGCACCTGCTAAATCCTGGAACAGTGCTGGATCCCATATTACCATGAGGGCAGAATGCAGTCGCTGCTTTTCAGGAGTTTATGGAGTGAGACAGACACAGGAAGGGAACTTAGTACAAGCCGGCAAGAGGTGGGTGATGATGGAAAGATCCAGTGAAGGCTTCCTGGCATAAATGTTTCATGAACTGAGGCCTGAAGAATTAAAGTATTAGTTTCCTAGAGCTGCTGTAACAAATCACCACAAACCTGGAGACTGAAAACAATGCAGATGTGTTTCCCCTCACAGTTTTGGAGGCCACAAGTCAAAAATCGAGGCAGTGGCACAGCCATGCTTCCTCTGAGGTCTTTAGGGGAGGTTTTGCTCCTTGTCTCCTCCAGCTTCTGGGGCTCCAGGGGCTCTCCAGTTTGCAGCAGCATCACTCCCAGTCCACCTCCATCCTCACTTGCCTTCTCCCTTTTGCATGCCCGCGTTCTCTTTTCCTATCAGGTCCTTGCCATTGGATTTATACTGCCTGGAGAAGCCAGGATGATCTCATCTTGAGATCCATAATTTAATTACATCTGTAAAGACCCTTTTCCCAAATCAACTCACATTCTCAGGTTCCAGGTGGACACATCTTTGCAGTGGGGGGAGGCGGGAAACCATCCGACCCCCTACAGTAAGAGGGTACCACACAAAGACAGGCAGGAAGGGTGATTTCAGGACAGGGTTTGGCATGAGGAAGGGCACAGGGGCATGAATTAGCTCTTTGATCTTGGGAAACCACACACAGTCTTACTAGAACCGTGAGGGAGAGTGTGGTAGAAAGTGAATGAAGAGTCAGGTCAGCAGGCAGGGATTGGGGGGGTGGACTTGGCACCAAGGATTTTAACTTCTTTGTGCCACAGTGGTTCAGGTAAAGACCATGAGGTTCTGAATCAGGGTTAGGGATGGGCTGAGCATGTTGGAGAGATAAAATCGGAAGAACCGGGGGAAGGATTAAACATGGTGGGAGAAGAATAGGAAAGATGATTGCTGGATTTCCGGTCTGGGAATGGACTAGGTGGTGACTCCGTTGACTAATATTGGCAATAAGGAGGAAGACAAAGCCATTTTCAGGGGATGGGTATGTATATGTGGACAGGGAGTGTAGGAGAAGATGATTCATTTAATTTTGGATATATTGATTCTAAAGTTCAAATGGACACCCCATTAATGGATGCCTGGAAGACAGCTGAGATGTAAAACTGAAGGTCAGGGATAACAGTGTCAGCTGCAGGACTGGCAGAGCATGATAGTGGATGAAATCACTTAAAAAGAGCTCAAAGGAGCGGGGTGTGGTGGCTCACGCCTGTAATCCCAGCACTTTGGGAGGCCAAGGCAGGAGGATCGCTTGAGCCCAGGCATTCGAGACAAGCGTGGGCAACATAGCAAGATCCCATCTTTACAAAAAAGTTTAGAATTAACTGGCCATGGTAGTGTGCATCTGTGGTCCCGCCACTTGAAGGCTGAATTGCAAGAATCACTTGAGCCTGGAAGGTCAAGGCTGCAGTGAGCTGCGACTGCACCACTGCACTCCAGCCTGGGCAACAGAGTGGAACCCTGTCTCAAAACAACAACAGCAATAAGAGCTACAACAATAAAAACAAAAACAAAAAGCAAGAGCTCAAAGGAGAAGGTCAGGGTGCCCAAGATAGAATCCTGGGGAACCCTGATGGACAAGGAGAGTAGGTGAAGGACATCCACCAGGAAGATGGATGGGAAGGAAAGGGAAGGAAAGAGAAGGAGAGCTCAGAAGGCTGCTACGGTGCCTAGGAGCAAAGGTGCAGGTGGCTTCAAGAAGGAGGAGATGGTCAGTAGCATCTGAAAGGAGAGGTACAGAAAAGGTTTATAGGATTCTAAAGACCCATTGGATTGAACATGGAGGTCATCATTAAAGTCTATGCTTTTGGCCGGGAACAGTGGCTCACACCTTAATCCCAGAACTTTGGGAGGCCGAGGCAGGCAGATCACTTGAGGTCAAGAGTTTGAGACCAGCCTGGCCAACATGGTGAAATCCCATCTCTACTAAAAATACAAAATTAGCCGGGCGTGGTGGCATGCACCTGTAGTCCCAGCTACTTGGGAGGCTGAGGCAGGAGAATTGTTTGAACCCGGCAGGCAGAGGTTGCAGTGAGCCAAGATCAGGCCACTGCACTCCAGCCTGGGCAACAGAGCAAGACTCCGTCTGGTCATCCGCCAGCTGGAGCTGAATGTGGAATATGTTGTAATAGATCCGAGACAGCCAAGGGTACTGGTGCCCTGCAGGGGGCAGTGGTGGTGCCATCCTGCTCTTCTTTCTCATAGGTTAATCATGACAATGGTCAGGTGCAGATCGCAGCTCTTACTCCTCTGGGCACTAAGCTGCTCCTCATTCACTTAGTCCTCCCAATGGTGGGATGGGCAATTCGTTTATTTTACATAAGAAAACTGAGGCTTGGGGAACTCAAGGACATTTGACTCAAGGGCACATAACTGTTAGGTGGTGGAGCAGGGTACCGGATGAGGCTGATCTGACTCCAAAACCAGTGTCCCTTCCAGCAGTGTGCTGGGCCTTGCTGTCGCTTCAATCCCACTGAGATTAGAAGTCATAGGAAGGACTTCTCAGCCAAGAGACTTGCACTCACCTTCCAAAGACCGAGTGTAGCTGCTGGGTAGTAAAGCAGGGGAGCATGGTCTCAGTATGCCTGGGGACCTTGGAGATTTATTGTCCTTCTTATCATGCCCAAAGGTACAAATCACCAAAAAGTCATCAAATATTCAAATTCAGTCTGTTCTCCCCATTTCTGATACCCTTTTACACACCAGAAGCCTTTTGACAACACACATTTCTAGAGCCCATCACAGACCTAAGACTTAAAAAGAATCTCTGTAGATGTGAATCTGTTTCTTAAAAAAAAAAAAAAGAAAGAAAAACCCCTCAGGTGATTCTGATGCACACTGGGATGCACTGGTCCACGGTCCTGCATTTATTTGATACCATTGCTATACAGCAGCTTGTCAATAATGTGAGGTTATGTGTGGTTGTGTATTGACATTAGACATTGGCAGTTAGGATAATGAGCAAAGGTTTTAAAAAATCTTTTATATCATTTTTCTGGTAACGTATTAATAAGGCAATCTTTGGTCTCTTTTCTCTGCATTAGGATAGCTTGACTTCCTCACCCCTTAACTTACAGGCTCAAGTGTAAAGTCTGTTCATGAATGGATAAAGAAAATGTGGTTCTTGGGCTGAGCGTGGTGGCTCACACCTGTAATCCCAGCACTTTGGGAGGCCGAGATGGGCGGATCACCTGAGGTCAGGAGTTTGAGACCAGCCTGGTCAACATGGTGAAACCCCGTCTCTACTAAAAATACAAAAATTAGCTGGGCTTGGTGGTGCATGCCTGTAATCCCAGCTACTTGGGAGGCTGAGGCACAAGAATCCCTTGAACCTGGGAGGTGGAGGTTGCAGTGAGCTGAGTTCACACCACTGTACTCCAGCCTAGGCAACAGAGGGAGACTGTCCAAAAAAAGAAAAAAGGAAAGAAAATGTGGTTCTTATACACAATAGAGCAATATTCAGCCATAAAAAAAGAATGAGATCCTGTCATTTGCAACAACATGGATGGAACTGGATGTCATTACGTTAAGTGAAATAAGCCAGGCCCAGAAAGACAAACTTTGCATGTTCTGTGGGATCTAAAAATCAAAACAATTGGATGGGTGCGGTGGCTCATGCCTGTAATCCCAGCACTTTGGGAGACCGAGGCAGGCGGATCACCTGAACTTAGCAGGTTGAGACCAGCCTGCCCAACATGGTGAAACCCCGTCTCTACTAAAAATACAAACATTAGCCATGCGTGGTGGCGGGTGCCTGTAATCCCAGCTACTCAGGAGGCTGAGGCAGGAGAACTGCTTGAACCTGGGAGGCGGAGGTTGTAGTGAGCCAAGATCGGGCCACTGCACTCCAGCCTGGGTGACAGAGGGAGACTCTGTCTCAAAAAAAAAAAAAAAAAAGATCTCGTGGACATAGAGAGTAGATAGACGGTTACCAGAGGCTGGGAAGGGCAGTAGGATGGGGGGTTGGGAGGTGGGGAGGGTTGATAGGTACGAAAGTATAGTTAGAATGAATAAGATGCAGTATTTGACAGCATGACAGGGTGACTATAGTCAACGATAATTTATTGTACACTTAAAAATAACTGAAAGAGTATAATTAGATTGTTTGTCACACGAAGAAAGAGTAGATGCTTGAGGGGGTGGATACCCCATTTACCCTGACGTGATTATTATGAGTTGTATGCTTATATCAAAACATCTCATACCCCATAAATATATACATCTGCTATGGACTCCCAAAAAATGTTTAAAAAGAGTAAAGTCTGTGCAGCCAATGTAAAGCTTGCCTCAACTGCAGGGCTCATTTTGAGAAAAGACAAAAGCTATTCGTGTTCTATGACGGTGGAGCTGGGAGCCGCGACCCGGTGCTGAGGCTCCCTCACGACGTGGGCACATTTGGATCCATCGAGGGTTGGCTGGTGCCCTCTAGTGGTTGAAGCGGTTCTGCCGCTTCTAAGGAGAGGCTGGCTGGGGAGGAAACTGGATTTGGCCGTTTCTTGGCGGGACACCTCGCCGCTCTGGCTGCAGTGTTTTAATGTATAAATAAATAGGAAGGTTGGATGACGGTATCGGTGAACAGGGAGTCAGTACGTCCGCCGGGCTACCCAGATCAGGCCTGGGTGGAGCCTAGGCTGGAGGTGGGGTGTGCCCTGCTGGGTCGCACAGGGCTGCCCCCTCCACTGGCGTGTGAGTGCTCTGAGCCTGGGGCCTTGGCTTGGTCATGGTACCCTCGCACCTGGCACAGTGCCTGGCATGGAGGGAGTGCTAATACATGTTTGTTGAAAGGTAGGTCGGGCTTGACTGCGTCTGCTCAGGAGGTGGCGGGGCAGGAGTGAGTCTTGTGAAGTGGAGCTCGGCACTGCAGCCCCTCACACACTTGGGAGCAGGTGGCGCGCTGTTCTCGAGGAGCAAACGCGCTGGATTCTGACGCCTGACCTGACGCTTGGTGTCGCCGGGATCCTTCAGCCCCCAGCATCTGCGGGCTGGCAGGTTCTGCCTGCAGGAGTAGAGCCGGGCTCCGTGGAGCAGGATCTCTCGGAAGTGCAGGCTGCAGGAGTTCTGCTCTCCTCTAAGGGCCTTTGTTCCTGGTCAGCCTTCCCCTGGTGAGAGTTGGCACAGTTAGTGGAAAGGGCACAGGCTGCCTCGAGCCCTGGGGGCTGGTGCTGACTTTCCACTGGTGCAGTCTGACCTTGAAAAGTCCCTTTCCTTGTGATTTCCTTTCATGCCAACAGAGAGGCTCTTCTGGGATGAGTGTGGTCACGGCGGGGCCTTTCTGCTTCACTCCATCCCTCCCGTGTCCTGCAGCTGACGGGACCCCCGGCACACCTGGAAGAAACCACAGGGAGGGAGACACACACAGGAGGAAAGAAAGGGGGAAAATGGGAAGAAAAGGGAGAGGCATGAAAGAGAGCAGACAAAGGAGGGAGGAAAAGGAAGAGAATGGAGAAGATAAACACATCATAAGCAGGTCTCAAGACTTCACACATCATCACCAAAGGCTGTTTTTACTTGGGGTGATGCTTAATTTTTTGTGTGAACCTGGCTGCACCATGGTACGCAGATGTTTGGTAGAACACCAGCACAGGTGTTGCTGCGAAGGTATTTTAAGATGAGATTAACATTTACATCAGTAGACTTTAAGTAGGTTATCCTCTGAATGTGGTGGGCCTTGTCCAATCAGTTGAGGGCTTGAAGAGAAAAAGACTGAGGTTCCCTGAGGAGGGGTATTCTGCCTCCACACTCACTTCCTTAGGACTCAAGCTGCAACAGCAGCCGTGCCCTAGGTCTCCGGCCTGCCCACCTACCCTGCAGATTTGGGGCTTGCCAAGCCTCCACAATCGTGTAAGTCCATCCCTGAAGACAAACCTCTGTCTGGCGTTGCATTCGCTACTGGATAGAGGGGTAAGCAGACCCACCTGTGAGGAGCATGCCGTCCAGTGGGAGTGAATCTGCCACCTCGGGGTCTTGCACTGGGTGAGAGGTTTGGTGATAGACCCGGCGGAGACACGGGGGAGCGATGACTGGGGAGCAGGTGTGGTCAGAAGTGACCTCGAGAGGGACGGTGCTGAAGGGAGTCTTGGCTGAGGAGGGGCACCTGCTCTAAGCACCACTTGCTTTTGCTGTAGGTACGTCAAGTGGAGGGAGCTGTGCAAAGAAGGGCCTGGCAGCGTGGAATAGCTGACGGGTGAGGCTTGTGAGGCCTGAGGAGTCTCCCCAACCCGTCTCCACTTGTGTCTGCACTGACTTCTCAGTTTTCTGTCACTTCTTCGGAGAAGCCTTTCTGGCCACTCTATTTGATCGAAGCCCCCTAAGATATGGTCCCATAGCATCAGGTACCTCTGTTGTCATACATAGTCACAGTTAACATTTATTTGAGGGATTACGTGATAAGTAATCTGTATCTGATGCCAGAATGGATTGGAAGAGCTTGCTACTGGTGACAGGTGAAAGAATTAGGAGGCTCTTGCCAAAACCCATGAGGGAAATGATGGAGGTGGAAATAATGGGGGCTGCTTTGATGCTGAAAAGGGAATGGACTAGACAGGTGTCGAGGACATGGGTCTGTCCCCATCGGAGGCACAGACCATTTCTTTCCTGCCTATTATGTCCCCCTCAGAACCTAGTGTGGTGGCTGGCAGAGAGCGAGGACCGAACAATGTTGGTTGAAAGGATGAAGGAAGGACTGATAGATGCCCTTCCTTGCACACACGGTGCTTTCTAAATCATGGTTTAGGGGCTACACAAGTGAATGGCTCCATTGCATCCCAGCATTGTGTCTCAGTGCGAGCCACGGCTGTTGGATCATTGCTGTCAGGGCTGAGGCATTGCGACACTTCCGTGTCCTGTGCTACATTCTAAAGGCTGCTCTGTGAAGGTCGGAGCCAGCCGGACGGTATGCACACAGAGAGGTGTCCTGTGGATGACAGGTTTGGGAGATTCCTTATTTCCCTTTCTGTTAAACAGAAAGCCTGGTTCCATTTTGGGACTGCAGGCTGAGAGTATGTCCTTCCTCAGACTTGCTCTGGGAGTGAATCCCGACACATATCTGGTTTGCAGTATGTGCCAGGAATGGGCTTAGGCACTTCACACACGTTATCTTACGTAATATTCATAATTCTTTGAAGAGGTACAATCTTAATTTTTTAGTGCAGGAAACTAAGACCATAAGGCTAATGACCTCCCCAGGGTCACTTGGCTGGTAAATCCTAGAGTGGGGAGGGGCATCCCGCAGGCTTGAAACCCCTCTCTTTATGCCAGTGGGTCTCAACCCAGGCTGCCCACTCCAGTCCCCTGGGGAGCTTTCCTCTAGGCCCGGGCCCGTGACATTAGACGCTCTGGGGTGGGGCCCAGAATGAGAGGCTGTCAGAGCTTCAGGTGTTTCCAGTGTGCAGCCAGGGTTGAAAAGCAGCACCCCACAGCCTCAGCCTCCACCTGTGTCTCCTAAATCCAGATTCCTGCCAGGCCATTCCACCTGGATGTCCCAAATTTGGGACATCCTAAACAGCACTCCCTCTCCAACAGCCTCGATTTAGAATTCCTTCACCAAAACACTCCAGACAGAAATGCTTGAGTTGTTCTTGACTTCCGCTCTGCTCTGACCACAATCCATAGACATTAAGTTCTGTTGATTCCTTCCTGACACCCCTTCACTCCGACCCCCGCAGACACCACACTGACACCCCACAATTTCTCATGGGTTTCTGCAAGAGTCGCCTTATTTTTTTGCCCATCACCAGAAAGCTACTACGTACTGGTGTTAGGGTGATCTGTCTAAAATGCTTAATAGCCTTCAGTTGCTTCCATTGACTTTAAGAAAAGTATCCCGACTCCTCTCGTGTCGTGCCTTGCCCTGAGATAGCAGTCCTCTCCTGCTGTGTTATTTCAGGCGGCCTGCAGTGTTAAAGTACTCGTAGTTTTCCCTCCAAGCACTCAACGCCCTGTGCCTATCTGCCTCCGCACAGGCAGTTTCTCATGCTTATAATGCCCTTCTTTCCTGGGCAAATCCAATTCATCCTTCAACACCCTATTCAGAGGCGCCCTCTTCCAGGAGTCCCCTTAGACCACCTCTGCCCAACAGGCTGGCTTAGGTATTTTTTTTTGAGATGGTGTTTCACTCTTGTTGCCCAGACTGGAGTGTGATGGTGCAATCTCGGCTCACCGCAACCTCTGCCTCCCGGGTTCAAGTGATTCTGCCGCCTCAGCCTCCCGAGTAGCTGGGATTGCAGGCATGCGCCACACCATGCCCGGCTAATTTTGTATTTTTAGTAGAGATGGGGTTTCTCCATGTTGGTCAGGCTGGTCTCGAACTCCTGATCTCAGGTGATCCACTGGCCTCAGCCTCCCAATGTGCTGGGATGACAGGCATGAGCCACCGTGCCCAGCCTCTTTCTACCCTTTCTATGTACCACAATTGTAGCACTTTAAATTAGGTTGTATTTTCCTATTTGGTTGTCTGTCTTCTCCACGAGATTGAGAGCCTCTTGATATTGGGCTTTGCCTTACTCATATTTGCATTCCCTGACCCAACATTGCCCAGCATCACATGGCCACACAGCATGCCTTTGCAAAATCAAGAAGAGCTAAAAGATTACATAAAGCATGGACTCTGACCCCAGACTGCAAAAACATAATGCCAGAGGACTGGGTCCAGTGGCTCACACCTGTCATCCCAGCACTTTGGGAGGCCGAGGCGGGTGGATCACCTGAAGTCAGGAGTTTGAGACCAGCCTGGCCAACATGGTGAAACCCTGACTCTACTAAAAATACAATAATTAGCCAGGTGCAGTGGTGCATGACTATAATCCCAGCTACTCAGTAGGCTGAGGCACGAGAATTGTTTGAACCCTGAAGGCGGAGGTTTCAGTGAGCCGAGATCATGCCACTGCACTCCAGGCTGGGTGACAGAGTGAGACTCTGTCTAAAAACAAAACATAATGCCAGAGAGTTCGGTAGGATGGCTTGGAGAAAGGAGAAGAAAGGTGGGAGCCATCGGAAAAGATTCTAGTATCCTGGGTAAGAAGTTGTAAGCTTAGAATAAGAGTTTAGGCTATAGGGCCAGGCATTCTGGCTCACACCTGTAACCCCAGCACGTGGGGAGAACAAGGCAGAGTATTGCTTGAGGCCAGCAGCTCAAGACCAAGCAGGCAACATAGCAAGACCTGTTTCTAAAACATAAAAATTAAAATATTTTAAAAAAGAGAGCTCAGGACATAGAAACGGGGAGGAAGACATGATCCTAAAAGAAGCAAGAAAGGCAAAACTTGTGATCACAGATTATTTTCTGGTAAAGGTAGGGACATTTTTAGACAACCTCCTGCATGCATCCAAATACATTTTTTTAAAAAACCCCAACTACCTACAAAATTATATCAGGGGAATATCTGGTTATAGGTTCTTGAACTATTTTTAGTTAGGAGCTAAGTATCTATATCTGAAACTACAGTAAGACTAATGTAGAGGTATTTATCATATTCGTGACAAACATGGTCTTCTATGTCTTGGAGAAATCCCCATATTATGAATTCTCCTCTTGAAGGTAGAAGCTACAATTCAATGTCCAGCCTCCCTAGAAGCTACAATTCAATGTCCAGCCTCCCTAGAAGCTAGAGCAGAGGAATTGACCTGGGTTCTGTCAGTCAGACTTTTATTTGGAAGAAGACAGTATAAGAAAGGAGAGCTGTGTGGAGTCTCTTCCTGGAAGGAGTGGTGTGTTGTGGTGGAGAGAAATCCAGCTTTCAGAATAGCAGTGGCAGAGGTTCTCATCTAGTCCTCCATTGCTCAGTGTTAGGGGTGTGAACTGCAGGGTCAGTGCCCAGGTGTGATGGGCCATGCCTGAGAGAAGTTCTGTGGGGTGAATGGATATTGTCCTGGCTTCATAGCCCCCTGGACAAATTCTTTGGCTCTCCTTGAAATACTGTGAGCTATCAAATACCCTTTAGTAAACTTATTTTCTAAATAAATTTCTAACAGAATCACTAAAGTGGATTCTGTTGCTTGCAACCAAAAACCCTGACTGATACGATTGCTTATATATAAAAGTGTTCAGAAGAATGATATGATCAAAATTGGAAACAAAATACAAGCTACAGTATAACAAGCAAATACAAATAGAAAGTAGAGGTCTCAATGTTAATATCAGACAAGATGGAATTCAGGCCAAAAAAAACATTAAATAAGTGCACTTTATAATGCAAATAGGTGTAATTATTAAGAATATATAATTGTAATGGGTGTTTATGCATCAATAACATAGCAACTTGGTTAACAAAGTAGAAATTACAAGAGATAAAGGGAGAAGGTAGAAACTACATTAGTAGACTACTTCTTCTAGTTTGTAACATTAAGTAAGGTAAATCTAACTGATATATATTAAATAAACTGTACCCTGGAAACAGAAAATGAACTTTTTAAATGTCCAGGTTACATTTGTGAATGACAGATATTCCAAGAGTATAAATAGTACAGGAAATATTTTCTGATGATCACGTAATAACATCAGACATTAACAATAACGCCAGAAAAAAACCTCCCTTCCACTAGGAAATTCAAAAATCTTTATTTTCATATTGAAATGTTTGTAATAAGATGATAAGATATCTGGGATTTGCAGTAAGATGAACCAAAATTTGTCATATATTGATAATCATTGAGCTGTGTAATGGGTATATGGAAATCCTATATCCTATTTCTCTACTTTTGTTTATGTTTGGAATTTTCAATTTAAAAAAATTTAAAACCATTTTTATCAAATACTCTCTTTTTTTAGATGGAGTCTCACTCTGTTACCCATGCTGGGGCTGGAGTGAAGTGGTGGGATCTTGGCTCACTGCAACCTCCACCTCCCAGGTTCAAGCGATTCTCCTGTCTCAGCCTCCCAAGTAGCTGGGACTACAGGCGTGCCATCACGCCCGGCTAATTTTTGTGGTTTTAGTAGAGAGGGGGTTTTGCCATGTTGGCCAGGCTGGTCTTGAACTCCTGACCTCCAGTGATCCACCCACCTCGGCCTCCCAAAGTGCTGGGATTACAGGCGTGAGCCACCACACCCAGCCCAAATACTCTTGATATAAAGAAGATATAGATATCAAAAATTGTAAAATTTCTAGAAAACAGCAATTATGAAACCTGTAAAAAATAAGGCAGAGCTCATGGGAGATTTTAGTCTTAAGTATTTAAATCAGTCCAAAAAGGAATAATGGAAAAAAGGTGAATTAGTATCCAACTCAAAAAATTAAGAAAAGAAAAGAGTGCAACAAAATACACCAAGAAAAGAGGGGACACATTAAACACAGATAAAAGCAGATAATACTGAATTAGAAAATGGAAAAAGGTAGTGCCAAATCTAAAAGCTGGTTCTTTAGTACAAAATAAACCACTGGATGACTAGAACTAACTGGATCAGAGGCTTATTAAAATAATGCTAGAATGCATGGCTTTTTACCCAGAAATGTTTGCAGTGATTGCCCAATTAGACCATAAACTTGATTATACAGATGTTAATAGCAAAGGCAGACCCAACTCAGAATACTCATGCAGGAGGGAAAGTATTTTGAAAAAGGAATTCTGAAAAGATAAAATGAAGCAGTTGCACCATAACTGATTTTCAGTTAATTTCTGCCTAACATTGAGATGTGTCCACGGGCAGAATATTTTTCTTTCTGCTTATTATTTTGGCCTGGATGACCTCTCTTAGTTCTTGCTTCTACTTACCAGAACCAGATATAAGTAGCAAGTACAGCCTCCTGCAAGCCATGGCGTACCTCAATTTCAGCACTAAAGTATTAGGTTGGTACAAAAGTAATTGTGGTTTTTGCCATTGGGGATTATAAATCATTCTACTATAAAGACACATGCATACATATGTTTATTGCAGCACTGTTCACAATAGCAAAAACTTGGAACCAACCCAAATGCCCATCAATGAGAGACTGGATAAAGAAAATGTGGCACATATACACCATGGAATACTATGCAGCCATAAAAAAGGATGAGTTCATGTCCTTTGCAGGGACATGGATGAAGCTAGAAACCATCATTCTCAGCAAACTAACACAGGAAGAGAAAACCAAACACTGCATGTTCTCACTCATAAGTGGGAGTTGAACAATGAGAACACATGGACTCAGGGAGGGGAACATCACACACTGGGGCCTGTCAAGAGGTGGGAGGCTGGGGGAGGGAGAGCATTAGGATAAATACCAAATGTAGATGACTGGTTGATGGGTGCAGCAAACCACCATGGCACGTGTGTACCTATGTAACAAACCTGCACCTTCTGCATATGTATCCTAGAACTTAAAGTATAATAATAATGTAAAAAAACACAATTGCTTTTGCACCAAACTAATACTTTTTTTGATAAATTTCTAGCTAGCAACCTGAGGCCAGTTAATTTTGGCCTCTCATCCCCACGGTCTCCAGCCCCTTGACTGCTGTTCCCTCTCTCCTTTCTGCCTGTGCTTCCTCTCCCCAGCTCGACATGGCTCTGTTGAGGTCACCTTGCTGCATCTCGCCTCTTTCCCTCCATGGCTTGGATCTATCATCCCTTGGAAGTACTCCACCTGTGGGAGTCCATATGCCTCTCTGCCATAATCCAGTCTCTCCCAGACCTTCCAGCTCTCTCATTAAATATTCAACAAAAAATTAATGAGCACCCGGTGTGTAGGAGGGACTGTGCAAGGGACTGCGATACAGCGATGAACCACACAGGCATGGTCCCTTCTCACAAAGACCTGCACCTGGGGCAGAGCACAGTGATCCAATGATGACTTAACTAAAGGCTTAGTTACAACCAAGGCAAATGCTGTGAAGAAAGCACCACTTCACATCCCATCTCCCCCACATCCTCCAAGTCTGATGAACCACTTCCTATGTTCACTTTTGTCCTTTCTAGCCCAGACCCCACAGAACAGCAATTCCAACACTCTCTTACCAGCTCCCTCCACTCCATTGCCCTCTGTTCTTTGGCAAACCACCAAGCATGGAGTAAATTAATTTATTATTATGTATTTTGAGATAGGATCTCACTATGTTGCCCAGGCTGGATTTGAACTCCTGGGTTCAAGCAGTCCTCCTGCCTTGGCCTCCTAAGTAGCTGGGACTGCAGGTGTGAGCCACCTTACTCAGCAACATGGAGTAAATTCAGATTTACATCTTCCTTCTTTATACCAGGAACCTGAATGATGCTGATGAACCATACTTCAGCGTGAATGGGAGCCCCAGTGCTTTGACTCCAACTGCACTGCCCACTCCTTTTTTTTTTTTTTTTTTTTTTGAGACAGAGTCTCACTCTGTTGCCCAGGCTAGAGTGCTGTGGTGTGATCTCCACTCACTGCAGCCTCTGCCTCTCAGGTTCAAGCAATTCTCCTGCTACAACCTCTCGAGTAGCTGGGATTACAGATACATGTCACCACACCCAGCTAATTTTTGTATTTTTAGTAGAGACGGGGTTTCACCATATTGGTCAGGCTGGTCTCGAACTCCCAACCTCAGGTGATCCACCCACCTCAGCCTCCCAAAGTGCTGGGATTATAGGTGTGAGCCACTGCGCCCGGCCTGCACTGCCCACTTCTTAGCAATGTTCACATACACACTCTTCATCTCCACAGCGGCCGCTCCACACTGCTCCGTACTGTCTCCAGATGATCTCACCCTCTTTTCACAAGGTGCCTTTGTGACTTACTTCACAAAGAAAATAATCACCGCCGTCAGGAACTCTCCTCTCTTGCTCCACCCACTCACCTGTCTATGTTATATTCCTTCTCACCTTCTTCCATCGCTCTGATAAGGGCCCCTTCCGTCTCTAAGGTGAATTTCTCCTCCCACTGCCTCCTGCCCTGCCCCTGTGCTCTGGGTCCCATTTAGTTTCTGCTCCTAAGAATTGGTTCCGTTAGTCACGCGTCTTTTTCCATGTCATCTTCTCTATCCCTCATTGGTCCCTTCCCCTTAGCAGACAAACACACTCAACGTTTTCACGTCCTGAAACAGACAACAATAAAATTCCCTCTCTTGCCTCTGGTTTTCTTTCTAGCGCTCTATTTCCCTCTGATTGCTTAGCCAAGCCCCTGGCAAGAATGAGCTCCATGGATTCTGAATGTTCCCAACACAATGATAAGTGTTCGAGGTGATGGATCTGCTAATTATGCTATTTGATCATTGCACATATATACATGTATCAAACTGTCACACTGTACCCCATAAATATGTATAATTATTATGTGTCAATTAAAAGTAATATTAAAAGGAAAAAAAGGCCGGGCGTGGTGGCACACGCCTGTAATCCCAGCACTTTGGGAGGCCGAGATGGGTGGATCACGAGGTCAGGAGTTCGAGACCAGACTGGCCAACATGGTGAAACCACGTCTCTACTAAAAATACAAAAATTAGCCAGGCATGGTGGCGCGCGCCTGTAGTTTCACCTACTCAGGAGTCTGAGGCAGGAGAATCACTTGAACCTGGGAGGTGGAGGTTGCAGTGAGCCGAGATTGTGCCACTGCACTCCAACCTGGCAACACAGCAGGACTCTGTCTTAAAAAAAAAAAAGAAGGGTTCCATTCTCTGTCTCCACTCACTGTGTCCACCTCTCTTCTGCTTACAACCCCTGCTGAAATCCTCGGTTTCCATTTTCACCAAACCAGTAGAAGTGTCCCGTACGTCTTTGTGGTCAAATGCAGTGGCCCTCTGAGTTCTTTTGGCACTTGGTACAGGTGAGCCCCTCCTTGCTGGAACTCCTTACTCTCTTGGTTTTCATGACACCACTTCCCTGGTCTTTACGGTATTTCTGGCCTCTTCTCAACCTCTTTTGTGAATTTTTGGTTTTGCCTCTGTCGTCTTTTAAAGCTGTATCCCCAGGATTCCGGCCTTGCTATCAAGGTTCTTTGTCTACTCTTTCTACTCAGCTTGAATGATTTTGCTCACAACCAGGTTTTCAGCCGTCATCCCCCTGCTCTTTGTGCCAAGTTCTCTCGCCCATTCTTTCTCTGGAGAGCTTCCTCCTGACCTCCAGACACACTCCCCCACTTGGCTATGCCCTTGGCAGATCTGTCATGCTCCGCATTTCGGGCCTGCATCCGTCTTCTTCCTCTCCACACCTCAGGACACGCCAGGATTTCTGTCCTGCGCTTCACGTCTCAGTGGATTGCAGCACTGCGGACGACTGCCCAGAGAGAAAAGCGTTATCACGGGGGCCTTCTGCCCCCCACTTTCCAACACTGCTGACACTTTCTCTGAAATATATTCACCCCTGCCCTCTAAGCAGCACCTCTTCCCACTCCAGTCATGCTGCCAAAACCTAGGTTCAGATGCAGAGAGGCCGTGGGCCAATTTCCAGCCTCCTGCTTCCATCCTCTCCCCATCTATGCTGGCCTTCAAAAAAATCCGAACAGAACTTTGCGTCCCACAGATCGGATCATGCTTTCTTCAGCAGAACTTGTCCTGAGCTCCCCGTGGGCTGTAGAACAAAGCCTAGTATCTTTCCCCTCGGGCCACGGCCCTTCATTGAGGTCCCCACTGTGGTGTCTTCAATCCTGCAATCTATGCTCCCACAGCACGGACTTGCTTGCGACACTCTCTACTGAGGGCACCCCTCTTCCGTTTGTCCTTCTAGCAGATGCTTCCTCTTCCAAAGGACGTGGCTCCAATGTGCCTTCGGGGAGGCACCTCAGAGATGCTCGGCATGCGCCTCCCACTGCCCTTCCTTCACGACTCCATGGCAGGAATCGTCCTGCAGTGCCGTCACCTTTTCTCAAGTCTGACAGTCAGCCCCTGCGGACCAGATGCCACATCTTCCTACAGGGATGTCCCAAGTTTCTAAAGCAGTGCCCAGGACCTTGCTAATGCCCAGTAGATGTTTGCTGGGATGATCTTGACCTCCCAAACTCCTTGTTAGTTGTTGCCTCTTTCTCTGTTGCAAACACAGCTTCCGTGTCAGGATTGCTGAGGGGCTGCCCCACCTCTCAGAGATATTTTCTCTTCCTTCTCCTTTCTTCACCATGTAGGTGTCCCTTCTCCAGTCTCTCTGTGGGGAGAAAATTCTCTCTCGTGTCATATCTGGAATTTTTCTTCCTTCTATGTCCTCTTGACACGTGGCTTGTTATGTGAAAATGTCCTCTGAAGTCCCCAGCCCAGCCCAGCTCTGTGGCGGGGCAGAGGGGGAGCCTGGTACCAGGGTCATGGGAGCTCTCTGGCCTGGCGTGCCCCCTTGCTGGGTTCATCTCAGCTAGTGGGCTTTTTGTATCCCAGTGCCA
Organism: Homo sapiens; assembly: GCF_000001405.40. Taxonomy (NCBI): domain Eukaryota; kingdom Metazoa; phylum Chordata; class Mammalia; order Primates; family Hominidae; genus Homo; species Homo sapiens. The sequence goes on along the minus strand of NC_000004.12, from coordinate 184,993,583 downwards.
ACTCTTGGGCTATTTCCTTTTCTAGTCTTGGTTTCAAGTTTCTTCTTCTGACATTTAATTACCAGGAAGAAAAGTGGGAGGGACATATTTTCTCAGAGAACTCCATGACTGTAAAATCACTGTGCCTGGTGTCAGGGGTGTGGCACCCACAGGGACAGGGCTGGATGCTGCTGTAGCTCGTTCTTGCTTCCCTGTCACACTGGCCTTCTCTGCAGAGGTCAACGCCCTCCTACAGACCCCCTGCCTAACTCTCCCCAGCCTCTTACTTTTTATCTCAATCAGGCTAGAGAAAAATATTCTGATCTCCAAACTGGGACCCTCAACAAAGGAGGTTTTATTCTTTGCGAATTTGTTTGCATAATAAGCCTTAATAAGCCTTACAATTATGTTGCATTTAGGTGATATCTATAATAATTTTATTGAAAAGACATAAATGATACTAAATTGGAATTGTTAGAGAATATGGACTGTAAGCTTGCTGAGGAAAGTAAAACCACTGCAGAAAAAGGATTTAAAGGGGCAGAGAAATAAAATACTCTATTTTAGCCATATTTTCCAGTAAGAGACATTCCAAAGCCGACTTCAATCAAAACTGCTTTTGTATTAGTCAAGAGTGTTGGCATGTACAATCTATCATTTAAAAATAGTTTCCAAATACAATAGAAAGTGAGAAATGACAAGGTCCGTGAGAGGATTCCTGTGTGCTGTCACTAAGTGTGTGTGTCTGGGAAGTCGAGGCAAGGATGTGTTATAGGTGAATTGTGTCCTTCGGAAGGATACGTTGACGTCCTGTCCCCAAGAACTAACCTTGAAAGTACAGTCACTGCAGATGTGATTCGTTAGGACAAGGTGATGCTGGAACAGGGTGGACCCGTCATCCGATATGACCAGAGTCCTCAAAGAAGACGGCGTGAGGACATGGAGGACACCATGTGACAGCAAAGGCGGAGGCTGAGTTTCGCCATCGCCAGCTGAGATCACCAAGGGCTGCAGCCACACAGAAGCTGAACGGCGGGGAGCGGTGAGAGCCTGGCCCTGCCACACTTCCATTTTGGACCTGCAGTGTCCAGCACCGTCAGTGAACACATGTCTGCAGTCTGATCCAGTTTGTGGTAACATGCTACAGCAGCCCTAAGAAACTAACAGGCAGGAGATGAATGTCCAAGGCTGTGTGTTTCTTCCAAGGGTGAAACCCAGTTCCTGTGTGGCCTCGTTCACGGCACCATCCGGGTTAACACTCCGGTAGTTCGGCTTGCCACACTAAGGAAGCGCTAGTGAAAACTAATGCAGGATGGCTCCACGCTGAAATGGGACACATTGTTTATAAATTGTGGTCAATTCATACATATACTTATTTGTCTTTTGCCAACGACACTACCCTATAATTAGGTATCTTTCATTTGTGAAAGGGTGTGGCGGATGTTGGTTGATGTTAGGTCAGTTTAATAAGAAACGATTTGCCAAGATTTAATGTTGCAGAAATAAAATTTGCCTGATGATAAATTCATTGAATTTACCGCATTTGCTGACTTACTAAATTTATCATTCATGTTGAATCGCTTTAATAGCAAACAGAGCTCTAGAAAGAGTTAATTGGTTTTCAGTTTTGTTGGTGTTATCTAGCAGTATTTAAGTAAGGTTCGATTTCTTGAAGGCTAACAGTTGAGGGTAATATAGTCCTCTATGAATGAATATATTTAGAATCCAATAATGCATATTTTACCATCAGAAAGCCCAGTTTCAGGATTTCATATGAAAACTTTTTCTGTTAGAATATCAATGTTTGCTTGACAAACTTTTCTTCGGATAGTGGTTATAAGATTCTTTTTCCAGCTTCTCAAATACTCCATCAACCTTCGCTGGTGATTTCTAGCCATTAGTAGTCCAAATATTAGTACATGTTAGAGTCATTCCTGTCACTTCCTAGTTTGTTTCTTACTCTATCCTTATTTTAACTTTTAAAACACTATTTTACTATCTTTTATTCTTCGCATTTTTGTCATTATGGTATAGGCATATTACATTTGAGGCACTCATCCTACAGTCTTTTGTAGTAATACCTTCAGTCATCGCCACCTTGAAAGGTTTTATCTGTTCACATTGAATCTTTCTCCAAACTGTCGCCAAGCCTGTCTATCCCTAAGCTTTCTGTTAGAGTTCAAAATGTGAGCACTTCTTAAAATCTAAGCGTTTATAAAAACACTTAATAGTCTGGGTGTGGTGGCTTACACCTGTAACCCCAGCACTTTGGGAGGCTGAGGTGGGCAAGATCACTTGAGGTCAGGAGTTGGATACCAGCCTGGCCAACATGGTGAAACCTGTCTCTACGGAAAAATACAAAAATTAGCCAGGCACACAGGTGATGTGTGCCTGTGGTACCAGCTACTCAGGAGGCTGAGGTGGGAGAGTCACTTGAACCTGGGAGGCAGAGGTTGCTGTGAGCCAAGATTGTGCCAGAGTGAGACCCTGTCTCAAAAAGAAAAACAAAACCCAAAAACACTTAATAAATATAGTAGTTGATGACTTTAACAATGCCGTGTGCTGCTTTCAATGGTTTCAACAGCCTGAGTCTATTTTATAGTTTTAGTTATAATTTAGTAATTTAGTTCTAATTTAGAGGTGATGGCTTTGCACCAGCCTCTGTGTAGCCTGCCCATTGAACGTCAGTTTCCTGTGTTTCACATTTCAGATTCTGTGAGTCCTCTTTTGCATAAAACATAAGCAAAATATTCATCTGATAGAATAGTTTAACAAATCTGTGGATTGGGGGAAATAAAAAGGCAATTGATTAAGTTGCAAGTATGTCATTGGAAGAAAGAAATGCAACTTGTCATTTATGACATCATTATCACTTCCATATAGCCTGCCCTGACACTGCATAATCTAACCCCTAACACTTCACTGTCAAATCTGAGGCGCAGGTAGTGATTTTGAGAGGTGACAGCGTGCTGGCAGTCCTCACAGCCCTCGCTCGCTCTCGGCGCCTCCTCTGCCTGGGCTCCCACTTTGGTGGCACTTGAGGAGCCCTTCAGCCCACCACTGCACCGTGGGAGCCCCCTTCTGGGCTGGCCAAGGCGGGAGCCCGCTCCCTCAGCTTGCAGGGAGGTGTGGAGGGAGAGGCGCGAGCGGGAACCGGGGCTGCGTGCGGCGCTTGCGGGCCAGCTGGAGTTCCGGGTGGGCGTGGGCTTGGCGGGCCCCGCACTCGGAGCAGCCGGCCGGCCCTGCTGGCCCCGGGCAATAAGGGACTTAGCACCCGGGCCAAGGGCTGCGGAGGGTGTACTGGGTCCCCCAGCAGTGCCGGCCCACCGGCGCTGCGCTTGATTTCTCGCCGGGCCTTAGCTGCCTTCCCGGGGGGGCAGGGCTCAGGACCCGCAGCCCGCCATGCCTGAGCCTTCCACCCCCTCCACGGGCTCTTGTGCGGCCCGAGCCTCTCTGATGAGCGCCGCCCCCTGCTCCACGGTGCCCAGTCCCATCAACCACCCAAGGGCTGAGGAATGCGAGCGCACAGCACGGGACTGGCAGGCAGCTCCACCTGCAGCCCTGGTGCAGGATCCACTAGGTGAAGCCAGCTGGGCTCCTGAGTCTGGTGGGGCCTTGGAGAGCCTTTATGTCTAGCTCAGGGATTGTAAATACACCAATCAGCACTCTGTATCTAGCTCAAGGTTTGTAAACACACCAATCAGCACCCTGTGTTTAGCTCAAGGTTTGTGAGTGCACCAATCGACACTCTGTATCTAACTAATCTGATGGGGACTTGGAGAACCTTTGTGTCTAGCTCAGGGATTGTAAACGCACCAATCAGCGCCCTGACAAAACAGACCACTCGGCTTTACCAATCAGCAGGACGTGGGTGGGGCCAGATAAGAGAATAAAAGCAGGCTGCCCGAGCCAGCATTGGTAACCCGCTGGGGTCCCCTTCCACACTGTGGAAGCTTTGTTCTTTCCCTCTTTGCAATAAATTTTGTTACTGCTCACTCTTTGGCTCCACACTGCTTTTATGAGCTGTAACACTCACTGCGAAGGTCTGCAGCTTCACTCCTGAAGCCAGTGAGACCACGAGCCCACCGGGAGGAACGAACAACTCCAGGCGCTCTGCCTTGAGAGCTGTAACACTCACCGTGAAGGTCTGCAGCTGCATTCCTGAGCGAGTGAGACCACGAACTCAGCAGAAGGAAGAAACTCCAAACATACCTGAACATCAGAAGGAACAAACTCCAGACGCGCCACCTTAGGAGCTGTAACACTCACCGCGAGGGTCCGCGGCTTCATTCTTGAAGTCAGTGAGACCAAGAACCCACCAATTCTGGACACAATTACATGTGAAAGTGTTAAAGCACCTCTCAAGTCAGAATGAATTCCTTACAGGCCAAGGCAGCTGAAGATGATGTCTCTGGCTTCGTTGCTCTTTTGTTGGTTGAAGACAGGGTATGGGTGACATTTGATTCAGATTGGGTCAGAATTCGGCGCTGTGATGTCGTGCGCAGCTCCGGTCTCCTGTGACTTCCCAACGCAGGGGCTGGAGAGGAGGGCATAGCCTCCAAGCAGCCCTCAGCAAACCAAAGACCCAAGGCAGCCAGACAGGCAAACAATGCTAATTAAAGTGGTTTCCAAGCGTTCCAGAGTATGTGGGAGAAACTATACCCTTGGAAATGTTGAAATGTTTTCTAAGCAAGCACATCCAGTTCCCGGGCAGCTCCAACTTGCTTGGCTCTCATTTGCCCGACGGCTCAGCTGCAATGCTGCCTAGGAAAACAATCATTGAAAGTCACACAGGTAAGGCGTGGTGTCACAAATCAGTCACTCCCTGCTGCTTGCCACAGGGACAAACTGATGACGTTGCAGGAGACACAGATGTCTTTACCTCTGAGTGGGAGACTGATGTGGCCCCACTCTCTCCATAGGAAGCTGTGACCGAGGACAATGCTCGGAGCAAACCTCTGGGTGGTTCCCAGAATGTGGGGTGACCCAGCTGCATACATGAGCCTGTCACACCACCCCGGGCTCCCTGTCACCAGCACTCATCTGGGCGGCACAACCTTCTCAGAGTGGACTGGGAATGTTCTCATCATACTGCATGTATTCATTTTCTATTGCTTCTGTAGCAAATTACACAAACTTGGTAGCTTCAAATGACACAAATTTATTCAGAAGTCCAAAATCGGTTTCATGGAGCTAAAGTAGAAGTGTTGGCAGGACTGGCCTCCTCTGAAGCCTCCAGGGCAGAATCGCTTTGCCCTTTCAGCTTCTAGCAGTCACCCTGATTCCTGCACTTGTGGCCCCTTCTTCTGCCTTCAAACTGTCCCTCCAGTCTCTGCTACCATCATCACAGTCCCTACTCCTGTTCTGTGATCAGATCTCCCCCACCTCCCCACAAGGACTTTTGTGATGACACTGGGCCCACCTGGATAATCAGGAGCATCTCTGCATCTCAAAACCCTCAACTTCATCACATCTGCGAAGTCTCTTTTGCCATATAAGGTGACATGTACAGGTTCTGGGGATGAGGACATGCGTATCTTTAGGGGCTGTACTCAGCCTTCCACACTGGGCCAGGGTGTGCACTCACCATTGATGAAAGCTCAGTTTATCACCCACCATTCCCGGAAACAGGTAAAGCCAGGGGAGGGCTGGGGGAGATCCTCCTTCACCAGAGCTTGCAGGGACCATACAACCATCTTGAGTGGGAATAGGTCTTTCAGTGCTGTTGCTGCTACTCCTGCAAAACACAAACACATGCACACACGCACGCACACTCACATGCACACTCACACAGGCATGCACACACTCACGGGCACACACGTGCACACTCCACACACTCAAATGCACACACGCATACTCACACTATCACACATGCACACTCACGCTCACACACATGCACACACTCACGGGCACACTCACACACGTGCACACTCCACACATGCACACACTCACGCACACTCACACTATCACACACGCACACTCACGCTCACACACTCACATGCACACTCATGCACACTCACATCCACAATCACACACATGCACACTCACACTCACATGCACACTCACACATCCACACTCACACGCACACTCACACTCACACACACTCACATGCACACTTTCTTATCACTAGTAAGCCATCTCGCTGGTTACATTTCATGCCAGTTTATTTTCTCCAGTGAAAACCCCAGACTCTGTCACTAGAGCTGGTCTGATTTGAAGGCCTTCACCAACCTCAGTGCCATGTAGAAGGGAGAGCACTGGGAATCACACCAGGCAGTGGATTGCGGCCCTGGTTCTGCCATTCATTGTTTAACCTTGGCTAAGCCACTTCATTTCTCCAGGTTCAGCTTTTATGCCCCAATCTGAGTTTGTCTAGAGCTGGATTTCCATAGAATGTGGTGTATAGCATAACAGCTGCTCCTTGTAAAGAAAGGGTATCTTGACCGAATACACTGGGAAACTGTTTCAGCGTGCATATACCTCCATCCCTCTTGGAGAGTCATAATGTACATAAACTTGGCAAAGTCTCTGAGAAGTCCTGCATAAATGCAGTTGGGTAACTCTTTAACCTAGTATTTTGTAAACCATTTAAAAATCACAGAACACCCTCGCTTGTTTTTTTCTTTTTAAATACTGAAGAGCGGACTTTGAGAAATGCTCATCATGGTAGTCTCTAAGGAAATCAGGATTCCTGCTCCATTACCTTGAGGGTGACTTTTGAAATTGAGATGTTTTGCCAACAAGCTGCCCCCTGAGAAAGGTGGAAAATGTCTCATGTTGCCTTACCTGGCCTCTTGGAGGCCTTGTTCATCTTCATCATTAATCTTAAGGGGTGCCAGGCCTGCAAGCTAGAATCCATGAGCCAGCCCTGATAGTGAGATGCCCACCTTATAGAGGCCCTTCTTCCTGCCATCCTCCCTTTAAAACTCATTTTCATTCCCCAAGGATTTCTTCATTGTCTTCTAGGAGCTTAGGCCTGGGGATGGGGACAACAGAGAGACCTTGAGAAACTTAACATTTCTGTTGAGCAAATGACCATCTCCGCACAAGCCAGAGAAAGGAAAAGGAACAGCCAGGCACTGAGCCTTGGCCAGGAGAGGGCTGTGCTTCCTTCATTTTAATTGAGCCTTGTGAACATCTTCTGAGGTAGATGTTACTCTTCCCTTGAGAAGGCAGAAGCCCAAGGCCGAGAGAAGTTAAGTCACTTGTCCAAGGCCACATGCTTAAGTTGTGGCAGAATCAGGATTCAGCGTTGCTCAGATGAGGTGTAAGAAGGCGTGGCACATACAGGTAGACAGGGCCAGACCTGGGGGAAGAAGGAAGGTGCACACCAGGCTGGAGGAATCCGGGACTGTGGGGAGAGCCGTGGCTGGGAGGCAACATAACATCCAAGTTCAAGTCCTGGGTCTGTGCCGTTAGCCTTTTTGGTTTTCTCAAGTGAGGACACTGGAAACGATGCTCTTTTAGCTGTGAAGTTAATGAATCCACTTCTAGTTAGGGGGTGAGACTTGAGCAAGTCTGGGAAAGAGATTAGAAGGCAGAGGCAAGCAGGAACAAAAACCAGAAAGTGAAGAAAAGCTTGTGTGCACTCAGAAAAATATCCAGCGCTATCTGGCAGACACCATGCTGGGACCTGTGCGCATCACAGGGAACAAAACAGAGCCAAGCCCTGATCTTCATGAAGGTTACACACTTGAAGGGAGACACACAAAACTGAAAATATTAGAAGGTGATGAGTGTCAAGGAAAAAAAAATGCAAAGGAAAAGGAACCAGGAGTGGGGTTGTATCCTAGATAGGATGGTCAGGGAAGGCCTCCAGTGAAGATGATATTTGAGCAGAAACTTGAAGATGACCGAGAAGTGGATGGGGTAGATTCTGGAGTATCCTGAGCAGAGGAGCAGCCTGCGTGTAGGTGCTGAGGTGCGGAGACGCTGTGGTTGCCATCTTCAGGGAGGGACAAGGAGGCTACCAGCAAGTGGAAGGTGAGGGAGGAGGAGAGTGAAGAGATGAGGCTAGTAATGTTGACCTCTTTCATTATGCAAAAACTTGGGGAGAAAAGTTCAGTGGTATAGGCATTCTATTTGTTGGATACAAATATTAGAAATTTTAAAATAAAAAGTTTTGTGACTTAGTCCAAAATTCTAGAGGACACGGGCCTCGGTCCTTGGTTAGACTCTGTGTCCAAGAAACAAATAGCATCCCAAGAATTGCCTCTCCCTCTCCCTGGGGACCTAGGTACCATGTCTCTCTTCTGCTCTCTCAAGGATATCCAAGGCTCTGCGCATGACTGAAGCATGCACAGACAATGGTTGGTAACATTTGTCACATTTTTACGTTGCTTTACATGACTTTTGTCAACATTGATGTGGAAACCAGACTGTCTAGCATCACATGAGTTGGTTGTAAAAGCCATGGGTTTCTTGTTATTTAGAATGGCTTTTCCTAGCACTGGACTCCTCTGACTTTACCACTAATGGTGTGCTCTTGATCCAATCACTTAAATCACTCTGAGTGTTGCTTTATTTGTCTATTAGGTGGGTGGGTGTAGACTAGATGATTAGTAAAGTTCCTTTATTAAACAGATCTGAAAACCCCCTGTTCTACCCTTTCTAGCAAACAACATTCCTTTCACCCAGTGTCTCTCTTCTCAGAGGTCAAACTGGTAATTATCCATCCCTTTTGCCTGTGTGTACGACATGCATAATTCATAGGTAGCCTTGCAAAATGGAAACGGGTGTCCATTCCCTGGTCCCCACATGACTAGTGCTCATGCACCAGAAAGGTTACCAAGGACAAATTCTGTTTTTCTTCCACCTCCAGCCCCTCTCATTTCTACCAGCCCCCAAGACGTCTATATAATAATCAATTGCAAGACTATTTATCACCCATTTATACAATGTTAGATCCTGTAGTTCCATAGCCTCATGTGACAGCTAAGGACACTGAGGCTCAGAGAGATGGCTGACTTTCCCAAAGCCACAGAGACATGCCATGGGGCCGGAATGAAACTGCAGTTTCTGAACACGAGCTGAGATTCCTTCCCCAACTTCTTGTTGCCTCTATTTTGCCAAGTACTAACCGTGCCCTGCAAATTATAAGATGTCTAAAAATACGTTTTAAGGATGATGATGGAGAATTCTGAAAAGAAGCTTTTTTGTTTTGTTTTTAAATACGCCCTCATAGATCCAATGCAGTTGAAACGGCGATCAAAGCCAATTTCCCTAGAAACACCAGATCGAAAACACGTGGTGAGGCTCTGATCTGTAGTGCTTCATCCTAAACAATACATTTTACAAACCCTGAAAAATAAAGAAAAAGGAAAGACTCAAAAGAACATTCTGGGCCTGTCACGGTTGCTTTTCATCCCTTTTATCACTAGGTGTCCCCTTGGTTTGCAAAGCCCATCTGGAGGGCTGCGTCCCTGCACATCCTTCCCGGAGTGCAGGTGCGGGGAAGAGTCAGCCACAGTGGGAAGCTTCCTGCCCGGTGGGCCGTGGAGGGGCGGGGCTTCCTGAAGGGGCGGGGCTTGTGTGCTGGCAGAGCCACTCGTCTGACACAGAGGAAGAGCCATCCTTGAGCTAAGAGGATTGGCTGTAATTAACATGGAGAGATTAAATGGGAAAGGAACACTGTCAAAAACCAATTTCCACCACAGGAAATGAGCGTGGCCTAGAATAGATGCAGAGCGTGATTGAACTGCAGGACGGTCTCGGGAGGGTGGGTGAGCGGGCACACATCTCCCGGGAGCCGCCCCAGACCTGTGCTTGGGACCACTGCTGAGTCAGATCCATGGAGACGGTTCTTTGAGGATGATGCGGAGAAACAGGATGCTAGGCGTCTTTCGGGGTAGGCTCCTAACTGTAACGATCCAAAGCCATTTTTATTACTTAATGTCTAGTTTCTAGGGTCCCATGGGAGCCACAGCTCTGGGCACCCCCACTACTAGCCCACACTTAATCATCAGCCTGTTGTCTGGATTCCTGCCCTTTAGGAACTCAGGGTCTAGTGGGAGGCACTCACACTCGTGGAGAAATGAAAAATTGTGCAAGGGCTTTAAGAGATGTGGCTGCTGGGGGAAAGAGATGTGGCTGTGCTGGGGAAACTTTCCTGGAGGGCCTCAAAGGATGAGTGAGCTTGCCAGAAAGGGAGGCACGCTAGCATCAGGCACAGAGTGTGAAGGGTGCAGCAGGCACACCTTGGAGAGTGGCTGGAGGGCTTGCAGCTGGGAGGCTGGTGGGAGAAGAACTGCACAGTTGGCCTGCAGGTCAGACACTGAGGGCTGCAGGGTTTGAATGGATCCTTTGATGGCCTTAAACAGATTGGTCTCAGGAAGGCAACCCTGCGGCAGAGTGGAGGGCAGGAGAGGTGGAGGCTGGAGGCTGGAGGCAAGGAAGTCTGTTGGTGGAGGGCTGCAATAAGCCCAGGGAGTAGGTGGAAGCCTCAGAGACAGTCAGGCAGGATGCCCAAATCTTATTTCTGACCCAGTGTCTATGGGTTTGGGGACCAGCTGGCTGGGGATGGAGGAAGACAGGGAGGAGGGATGACTCTCAGCTTGCCAGTTTGGGAGATTGCACGGGTGCTTCTGAGGGAGCTGAGAGTTCTGTGTTGAGGCTTGTGGGCTGGAGGCACATGTGGAAAATTTAGTAGGGATGTCCAGGTTGCTGGAAATGGAGGAGTGGAGCTCAGTCCAACTTGGCGAGAGATTTGGGGATTTTTGGAGGCTGGGGAGTAGCTGAAGCTCTCGAGACAGGTGAAGGCAGGCAGATCACTCGGAGCTTTTAAAGGCTGTGTGAGCTATTTGAAGTCAGAGTTGCCACCAGATCCTCACATCTCTTTGCAAGTGTAATAAGTGACAGTGGCAAGGGTTGAGGTGCAGCTTTTTTTACCCACCATAAAGATCCTGCTTCCAATGCTGATTGAACCATCCACGCTCCCACAGAGGCAAGTCCTGGCAGCAAAGAATGTGGAAACCCATACAGGCAGGAGGCAGACAGCCCGAGAGGGCCAGAGGCGGATGCCAGGTGCATCCAGATGTTACCTGGAGCACTGGCATCAAACCTGCAAAGGGGTCTAAGGTCAGGATTCCCGTTCCGGGGAAGGGTGTAGGGAGCAGGGCAGGAGCTCTGGAGCAGGGGCAGGGAACTGAGGCAGATACTCCAGCATGAGGAGCAAAACAGGACTCTGTTTCCTGGTACTGGGGTATAAGGCAGAAGGCCCAGTGTTCACAGCAAGGTTAGAGAGAGTCAGAGTGGGCCCTATAGCTGGCTCACTGGATGCTGGCTGCCAAGCTACTTATTGGTCCTTCCATTTCTCCTGCAAGTCTAGAGTTGTAGACTTGCACTGTCCAGTATGGTAGCCACTAGCTTCATCTGGCTATTTATTTATTTATTCATTTTTTAGAGGCAGGGTCTCGCTCTGTTGCCCAGGCTGGAGTGCAGTGGTGTGGCCATAGCTCACTGCTCTCTCAACATCCCATGCTCAAGTGATCCTCCTGCCTCAGCCTCCTAAGTAGCTCGGGCTACAGGCATGCACTACCACACCCAGCTAATTTTTAAATTATTTTTTAGAAATGGGAATCTTGTTATGTTGCCCAGGTTGGTCTCACATTCTTAGCCT